>NC_000003.12:91891672-92207389 GCF_000001405.40 Homo sapiens | reverse complement strand
GAAGGCCTCAAAGAGTTCCAAATATCCACTTGCACACTGTACAAACTAAGTCTTTCCAAACTGCTCTATGCAAAGAAATGTTCAACCCTGTGAGTTTAATGCACACATCAGAAAGCAGTTTCTGAGAATGATTCCCTCTAGTTTTTATATGAAGATATCCTTTTCTACCATTGGTCTCAAGGCTCTTGGAATCTCCACCTGAAAATTCCGCAAAAAGCGTGTTTCCAATGCGCTCTGTCTAAAGGAAGGTTCAACTCTCCGAGTTGAATACATACATCCCAAAAGAAGTTACTGCGAATTCTTCTGTCTAGCATTATGTGAAGAAATCCCGTTTCCAACGAACGCCTCAAAGAGGTCCTAATATCCAGTTGCAGAATTTACAAACTGACTGTTTCCAAACTCATCTATGAAAAGAAAGGTTAAACCCTGTGAGTTGAATGCACGTATCACAAAGTAGTTCCTGAGAATGATTCTGTCTAGTTTTTATACGAAGATATTTCCTTTTCCACCAATGGCCTCAAAGTGCTTGAAATCTCCCCTTGCAAATTCCACAGACAAGTGTTTCAAATCTGCACTGTCTAAAGGAAGGTTCAACCCTGTGAGTTGAATACACACACACAGAAAAAAATTCACTGAGAATTCTATTGTCTATCATTACACGAAGAAATCCCGTTTACTACGAAGGCCTCAAAGGTGTCTAAATATCCAGCTGCAGACATTACAAACTGAGTGTTTCCAAAGTGCTCTATGAAAAGAAGTGTTAAACACTGTGAGTTCAATGCACACATCCCAAAGCAGTTTCTGAGAATGATTCCGTCTATTTTTTCTACGAAGATAATTCCTTTTCTGTCGTTGGCCTCAAAGCGCTTGAAATCTCCACTTGCAAATTCCACAAAAAGAGAGTTTCAAATCTGCTCTGTCTAAAGGAAGGTTCAACTCTGTGAGTTGAATACACACCACAAAAAGAAGTTACTGAGAATTCTTCTGTCTAGCATTATATGAAAAATCCCGTTTCCAACGAAGGCCACAAAGAGGTCCAAATATCCACTTGCAGATTCTGCAAAAAGAGTGTTTCCAAACTGCTCTATGAAAAGAAACGTTAAACTCTGTGAGTTGAACGCAAACATCACAAAGTAGTTTCTGAGAATGACTCCGTCTAGTTTTTATACGAAGATATTTCCTTTCCTACCATTCACTTCAAAGCGCTTGAAGTCTCCCCCTGAAAATTCCACAAAAAGTGTTTCCAATCTGCTCCGCCTAAAGGAAGCTTCAACTCTGTGAGTTGAATACCCACAACCCAAAGAAGTTACTGAGAATTCTTCTGTCTAGCATTATATGAAGAAATCCCGTTTCCAACGAAGGCCTCAAATACATCCAAATATCCAGTTGCTGACTTTACAAACTGAGTGTTTCCAAACTGCTCTATGAAAAGAAAGGTTAAACACTGTGAGTTGAACACACACGTACCAAAGTAGTTTCTGAGAATGATTCTGTCTAGTTTGCATACGAAGATATTTCCTTTTCTACCATTGGCCTCAAAGCTCTGAAATCTCCACTTGCAAATTCCACAAAAAGAGAGTTTCAAATCTGCTGTTTCTAAAGGAAAGTTCAACTCTGAGAGTTGAATACACACCAGAAAAAGCAGTTACTGAGAAGTCTTCTGTCTAGCATTATATGAAGAAATCCCATTTCCAACGAAGACTTCAAAGAGGTCCAAATATCCACTTGCAGATTCTGCAAAAAGAGTGTTTCGAAACAACTGTATGAAAAGAAAGGTTAAACACTGTGAGTTGAACGCACACATTGCAAAGCAGTTTCTGAGAATGATTCCGTCTAATTATTATACGAAGGTATTTCCTTTTCTATCATTGGCCTCAAAGCGCTTGATACCTCCACCTGAAAATTCCACAAAAAGAGTGTTTCCAATCTACTCTGTCTAAAGGAACGTTCAACTCTGTGAGTTGAATACACACACACAGAAAGAATTCACTGAGAATTCTTCTGTCTGGCATTACATGAAGAAATCCCGTTTCCAACGAAGGCCTCAAAGAGGTCCAAATATCCACTTGCAGATTCTGCAAAAAGAGTGTTTCAAAACCGCTCCATTAAAAGGAATGTTGAACTCTGTGAGTTGAATGCAAACATCACAACTCAGTTTCTGAGAATGCTTCTGACTAGATTTTATGGTAAGATATTTCCTTTTCTACCGTAGGCTTCAATGCCCTCTAAATACACCCTTGCAAATTCTACAAAGAGACTGTTTCATAACTGCTCTATAGGAAGAAAGGTTGAACTCTGTGAGTTGAATGCAGAGATCACAACGTGGTTTCTGCGAATGATTCTTTGTAGTTTTTACATGAAGATATTTCGTTGTCAACCGTAGGCTTCAAAGCACTCAAAGTATTCACTTGGAACTTTTACAAAAAGAGTGTTAGAAAACTGCTCTTTCCAAAGTAAGGTTCAACTCTGTGAGTTGAATGCACACATAACAATCAAGAAGTTTCTGAGAATTCTTCTGTCCTGGTTTATATGAAAAAATCCCGTTTCCAACGAAGGCCTCAGAGACGTTTAAATATCCACTTGCAGACTTCACAAACAGAGTGTTTCCAAACTGCTCTATGAAAAGAAAGGTTAAACTCTGTGAGTTGAACGCACACATCACAAAGTTGTTTCTGAGAAAGATACTGTCTAGTTTTTATACGAAGATATTTCCTTTCTACCATTGGCGTCAAAGCGTTAGAATTCTCCACTTGCAAATTCCACAAAAAGAGTGTTTCCAATCTGCTCTGTCTAAAGGAAGGTTCAACTCTGTGAGTTGAATACACACACACAAAGAAGCTACTGAGAATTCTTTTGTCAAGAATTATAAGAAGAAATCCCGTTTCCAACGAAGGCCTCAAAGAGTTCCAAATATCCACTTGCACACTGCAAAAACTAAGTCTTTCCAAACTGCTCTATGCAAAGAAATGTTCAACTCTGTGAGTTTAATTCACACATCACAAAGCAGTTTCTGAGAATGATTACTGTCTAGTTTTTATACGAAGAATATTTCCTTTTGTACCATTGGCCTCATACTGCTAGAATTTTCCACTTGCAAATTCCACAAAAAGAGTGTTTCCAATCCGCTCTGTCTAAAGGAAGGTTCAACTCTCTGATTTGAATACATACATCCCAAAAGAAGTTACTGAGAATTCTTCTGTCTAGCATTATGTGAAGAAATCCCGTTTCCAACGAAAGCCTCAAAGAGGTCCAAATATCCAGTTGCAGAATTTACAAACTGACTGTTTCCAAACTCATCTATGAAAAGAAAGGTTAAACTCTGGGAGTTGAATGCCCATATCACAAAGTAGTTCCTGAGAATGATTCTGTATAGTTTTCATACGAAGATATTTCCTTTTCCACCAATGGCCTCAAAGTGCTTGAAATCTCCCCTTGCAAATTCCACAGACAAGTGTTTCAAATCTGCACTGTCTAAAGGATGGTTCAACCCTGTGAGTTGAATACACACACACAGAAAAAAATTCACTGAGAATTCTACTGTCTATCATTACACGAAGAAATCCCGTTTACTGCGAAGGCCTCAAAGAGGTCCAAATATCCAGTTGCAAACCTTACAAACTGAGTGTTTCCAAAGTGCTGTATGAAAAGAAGTGTTAAACACTGTGAGTTGAACGCACACATCACAAAGTAGTTTCTGAGAATGATTCCGTCTATTTTTTCTACGAAGATAGTTTCCTTTTCTGCCGTTGGCCTCAAAGCGCTTGAAATCTCCACTTGCAAATTCCACAAAAAGAGAGTTTCAAATCTGCTCTGTCTAAAGGAAGGTTCAACTCTGTGAGTTGAATACACACCACAAAAAGAAGTTACTGAGAATTCTTCTGTCTAGCATTATATGAAAAATCCCGTTTCCAACGAAGGCCACAAAGAGGTCCAAATATCCACTTGCAGATTCTGCAAAAAGAGTGTTTCCAAACTGCTCTATGAAAAGAAACGTTAAACTCTGTGAGTTGAACGCAAACATCACAAAGTAGTTTCTGAGAATGACTCCGTCTAGTTTTTATACGAAGATATTTCCTTTCCTACCATTCACTTCAAAGCGCTTGAAGTCTCCCCCTGAAAATTCCACAAAAAGTGTTTCCAATCTGCTCCGCCTAAAGGAAGCTTCAACTCTGTGACTTGAATACCCACAACCCAAAGAAGTTACTGAGAATTCTTCTGTCTAGCATTATATGAAGAAATCCCGTTTCCAACGAAGGCCTCAAATACATCCAAATATCCAGTTGCTGACTTTACAAACTGAGTGTTTCCAAACTGCTCTATGAAAAGAAAGGTTAAACACTGTGAGTTGAACACACACGTACCAAAGTAGTTTCTGAGAATGATTCTGTCTAGTTTGCATACGAAGATATTTCCTTTTCTACCAGTGGCCTCAAAGCTCTGAAATCTCCACTTGCAAATTCCACAAAAAGAGAGTTTCAAATCTGCTGTTTCTAAAGGAAAGTTCAACTCTGAGAGTTGAATACACACCAGAAAAAGCAGTTACTGAGAAGTCTTCTGTCTAGCATTATATGAAGAAATCCCATTTCCAACGAAGACTTCAAAGAGGTCCAAATATCCACTTGCAGATTCTGCAAAAAGAGTGTTTCGAAACAACTGTATGAAAAGAAAGGTTAAACACTGTGAGTTGAACGCACACATTGCAAAGCGGTTTCTGAGAATGATTCCGTCTAATTATTATACGAAGGTATTTCCTTTTCTATCATTGGCCTCAAAGCGCTTGATACCTCCACCTGAAAATTCCACAAAAAGAGTGTTTCCAATCTACTCTGTCTAAAGGAACGTTCAACTCTGTGAGTTGAATACACACACACAGAAAGAATTCACTGAGAATTCTTCTGTCTGGCATTACATGAAGAAATCCCGTTTCCAACGAAGGCCTCAAAGCAGGTCCAAATATCCACTTGCAGATTCTGCAAAAAGAGTGTTTCAAAACCGCTCCATTAAAAGGAATGTTGAACTCTGTGAGTTGAATGCAAACATCACGACTCAGTTGCTGAGAATGCTTCTGACTAGATTTTATGGTAAGATATTTCCTTTTCTACCGTAGGCTTCAATGCCCTCTAAATACACCCTTGCAAATTCTACAAAGAGACTGTTTCATAACTGCTCTATAGGAAGAAAGGTTCAACTCTGTGAGTTGAATGCAGAGATCACAACGTGGTTTCTGCGAATGATTCTTTGTAGTTTTTACATGAAGATATTTCGTTGTCAACCGTAGGCTTCAAAGCACTCAAAGTATTCACTTGGAACTTTTACAAAAAGAGTGTTAGAAAACTGCTCTTTCCAAAGTAAGGTTCAACTCTGTGAGTTGAATGCACACATAACAATCAAGAAGTTTCTGAGAATTCTTCTGTCCTGGTTTATATGAAGAAATCCCGTTTCCAACGAAGGCCTCAAAGACGTTTAAATATCCACTTGCAGACTTCACAAACAGAGGGTTTCCAAACTGCTCTATGAAAAGGAAGGTTAAACTCTGTGAGTTGAACGCACACATCACAAAGTAGCTTCTGAGAATGATACTGTCTAGTTTTCATACGAAGATATTCCCTTTTGTACCATTGGCCTCATACTGCTAGAATTTTCCACTTGCAAATTCCACAAAAAGAGTGTTTCCAATCTGCTCTGTCTAAAGGAAGGTTCAACTCTGTGAGTTGAGTACACACACACAAAGAAGCTACTGAGAATTACTTTGTCAAGAATTATAAGAAGAAATCCCGTTTCCAACGAAGGCCTCAAAGAGTTCCAAATATCCACTTGCACACTGCACAAACAAAGTCTTTCCAAACTGCTCTATGCAAAGAAATGTTCAACTCTGTGAGTTTAATACACACATCACAAAGCAGTTTCTGAGAATGATACTGTCTAGTTTTTATACGAAGATATTTCCTTTTGTACCATTGGCCTCATACTGCTAGAATTTTCCACTTGCAAATTCCACAAAAAGAGTGTTTCCAATCCGCTCTGTCTAAAGGAAGGTTCAACTCTGTGAGTTGAATACACACACACAAAGAAGCTACTGAGAATTCTTTTGTCAAGAATTATAAGAAGAAATCCCGTTTCCAACGAAGGCCTCAAAGAGTTCCAAATATCCACTTGCACACTGCACAAACTAAGTCTTTCCAAACTGCTCTATGCAAAGAAATGTTCAACTCTGTGAGTTTAATACACACATCACAAAGCAGTTTCTGAGAATGATACTGTCTAGTTTTTATACGAAGATATTTCCTTTTGTACCATTGGCCTCATACTGCTAGAATTTTCCACTTGCAAATTCCACAAAAAGAGTGTTTCCAATCCGCTCTGTCTAAAGGAAGGTTCAACTCTCTGATTTGAATACATACATCCCAAAAGAAGTTACTGAGAATTCTTCTGTCTAGCATTATGTGAAGTAAATCCCGTTTCCAACGAAAGCCTCAAAGAGGTCCAAATATCCAGTTGCAGAATTTACAAACTGACTGTTTCCAAACTCATCTATGAAAAGAAAGGTTAAACTCTGGGAGTTGAATGCACATATCACAAAGTAGTTCCTGAGAATGATTCTGTCTAGTTTTCATACGAAGATATTTCCTTTTCCACCAATGGCCTCAAAGTGCTTGAAATCTCCCCTTGCAAATTCCACAGACAAGTGTTTCAAATCTGCACTGTCTAAAGGAAGGTTCAACCCTGTGAGTTGAATACACACACACAGAAAAAAATTCACTGAGAATTCTATTGTCTATCATTACACGAAGAAATCCCGTTTACCACGAAGGCCTCAAAGAGGTCCAAATATCCAGCTGCAGACATTACAAACTGAGTGTTTCCAAAGTGCTCTATGAAAAGAAGTGTTAAACACTGTGAGTTCAATGCACACATCCCAAAGCAGTTTCTGAGAATGATTCCGTCTATTTTTTCTACGAAGATATTTCCTTTTCTGCCGTTGGCCTCAAAGCGCTTGAAATCTCCACTTGCAAATTCCACAAAAAGAGAGTTTCAAATCTGCTCTGTCTAAAGGAAGGTTCAACTCTGTGAGTTGAATACACACCACAAAAAGAAGTTACTGAGAATTCTTCTGTCTAGCATTATATGAAAAATCCCGTTTCCAACGAAGGCCACAAAGAGGTCCAAATATCCACTTGCAGATTCTGCAAAAAGAGTGTTTCCAAACTGCTCTATGAAAAGAAACGTTAAACTCTGTGAGTTGAACGCAAACATCACAAAGTAGTTTCTGAGAATGACTCCGTCTACTTTTTATACGAAGATATTTCCTTTTCTACCATTCACTTCAAAGCGCTTGAAGTCTCCCCCTGAAAATTCCACAAAAAGTGTTTCCAATCTGCTCCGCCTAAAGGAAGCTTCAACTCTGTGAGTTGAATACCCACAACCCAAAGAAGTTACTGAGAATTCTTCTGTCTAGCATTATATGAAGAAATCCCGTTTCCAACGAAGGCCTCAAATACATCCAAATATCCAGTTGCTGACTTTACAAACTGAGTGTTTCCAAACTGCTCTATGAAAAGAAAGGTTAAACACTGTGAGTTGAACACACACGTACCAAAGTAGTTTCTGAGAATGATTCTGTCTAGTTTGCATACGAAGATATTTCCTTTTCTACCATTGGCCTCAAAGCTTTGAAATCTCCACTTGCAAATTCCACAAAAAGAGAGTTTCAACTCTGCTGTTTCTAAAGGAAAGTTCAACTCTGAGAGTTGAATACACACCAGAAAAAGCAGTTACTGAGAAGTCTTCTGTCTAGCATTATATGAAGAAATCCCATTTCCAACGAAGACTTCAAAGAGGTCCAAATATCCACTTGCAGATTCTGCAAAAAGAGTGTTTCGAAACAACTGTATGAAAAGAAAGGTTAAACACTGTGAGTTGAACGCACACATTGCAGAGCAGTTTCTGAGAATGATTCCGTCTAATTATTATACGAAGGTATTTCCTTTTCTATCATTGGCCTCAAAGCGCTTGATACCTCCACCTGAAAATTCCACAAAAAGAGTGTTTCCAATCTACTCTGTCTAAAGGAACGTTCAACTCCGTGAGTTGAATACACACACACAGAAAGAATTCACTGAGAATTCTTCTGTCTGGCATTACATGAAGAAATCCCGTTTCCAACGAAGGCCTCAAAGAGGTCCAAATATCCACTTGCAGATTCTGCAAAAAGAGTGTTTCAGAACCGCTCCATTAAAAGGAATGTTGAACTCTGTGAGTTGAATGCAAACATCACAACTCAGTTTCTGAGAATGCTTCTGACTAGATTTTATGGTAAGATATTTCCTTTTCTACCGTAGGCTTCAATGCCCTGTAAATACACCCTTGCAAATTCTACAAAGAGACTGTTTCATAACTGCTCTATAGGAGGAAAGGTTCAACTCTGTGAGTTGAATGCAGAGATCACAACGTGGTTTCTGCGAATGATTCTTTGTAGTTTTTACATGAAGATATTTCGTTGTCTACCGTAGGCTTCAAAGCACTCAAAGTATTCACTTGGAACTTTTACAAAAAGAGTGTTAGAAAACTGCTCTTTCCAAAGTAAGGTTCAACTCTGTGAGTTGAATGCACACATAACAAACAAGAAGTTTCTGAGAATTCTTCTGTCCTGGTTTATATGAAGAAATCCCGTTTCCAACGAAGGCCTCAAAGACGTTTAAATATCCACTTGCAGACTTCACAAACAGAGTGTTTCCAAACTGCTCTATGAAAAGAAAGGGTAAACACTGTGAGTTGAACGCACACCTCACAAAGTAGTTTCTGAGAATGATACTGTCTAGTTTTTATACGAAGATATTTCCTTTTGTACCATTGGCCTCATACTGCTAGAATTTTCCACTTGCAAATTCCACAAAAAGAGTGTTTCCAATCTGCTCTGTCTAAAGGAAGGTTCAACTCTGTGAGTTGAGTACACACACACACAAAGAAGCTACTGAGAATTCTTTTGTCAAGAATTATAAGAAGAAATCCCGTTTCCAACCAAGGCCCTCAAAGAGTTCCAAATATCCACTTGCACACTGCACAAACTAAGTCTTTCCATACTGCTCTATGCAAAGAAATGTTCAAATCTGTGAGTTTAATACACACATCACAAAGCAGTTTCTGAGAATGATTCCCTCTAGTTTTTATACGAAGATAGCCTTTTCTACCATTGGCCTCAAGGCTCTTGGAATCTCCACCTGAAAATTCCGCAAAAAGCGTGTTTCCAATGCGCTCTGTCTAAAGGAAGGTTCAACTCTCTGAGTTCAATACATACATCCCAAAGGAAGTTACTGCGAATTCTTCTGTCTAGCATTATGTGAAGAAATCCCGTTTCCAACGAAAGCCTCAAAGAGGTCCAAATATCCAGTTGCAGAATTTACAAACTGACTGTTTCCAAACTCATCTATGAAAAGAAAGGTTAAACCCTGTGAGTTGAATGCACATATCACAAAGTACTTCCTGAGAATGATTCTGTCTAGTTTTTATACGAAGATATTTCCTTTTCCACCAATGGCCTCAAAGTGCTTGAAATCTCCCCTTGCAAATTCCACAGAAAAGTGTTTCAAATCTGCACTGTCTGAAGGAAGGTTCAACCCTGTGAGTTGAATACACACACACAGAAAAAAATTCACTGAGAATTCTATTGTCTATCATTACACGAAGAAATCCCGTTTACTACGAAGGCCTCAAAGAGGTCCAAATATCCAGCTGCAGACATTACAAACTGAGTGTTTCCAAAGTGCTCTATGAAAAGAAGTGTTAAACACTGTGAGTTCAATGCACACATCCCAAAGCAGTTTCTGAGAATGATTCCGTCTATTTTTTCTACGAAGATATTTCCTTTTCTACCGTTGGCCTCAAAGCGCTTGAAATCTCCACTTGCAAATTCCACGAAAAGAGAGTTTCAAATCTGCTCTGTCTAAAGGAAGGTTCCACTCTGTGAGTTGAATACACACCACAAAAAGAAGTTACTGAGAATTCTTCTGTCTAGCATTATATGAAAAATCCCGTTTCCAACGAAGGCCACAAAGAGGTCCAAATATCCACTTGCAGATTCTGCAAAAAGAGTGTTTCCAAACTGCTCTATGAAAAGAAGCGTTAAACTCTGTGAGTTGAACGCAAACATCACAAAGTAGTTTCTGAGAATGACTCCGTCTAGTTTTTATACGAAGATATTTCCTTTCCTACCATTCACTTCAAAGCGCTTGAAGTCTCCCCCTGAAAATTCCACAAAAAGTGTTTCCAATCTGCTCCGCCTAAAGGAAGCTTCAACTCTGTGACTTGAATACCCACAACCCAAAGAAGTTACTGAGAATTCTTCTGTCTAGCATTATATGAAGAAATCCCGTTTCCAACGAAGGCCTCAAATACATCCAAATATCCAGTTGCTGACTTTACAAACTGAGTGTTTCCAAACTGCTCTATGAAAAGAAAGGTTAAACACTGTGAGTTGAACACACACGTACCAAAGTAGTTTCTGAGAATGATTCTGTCTAGTTTGCATACGAAGATATTTCCTTTTCTACCATTGGCCTCAAAGCTCTGAAATCTCCACTTGCAAATTCCACAAAAAGAGAGTTTCAAATCTGCTGTTTCTAAAGGAAAGTTCAACTCTGAGAGTTGAATACACACCAGAAAAAGCAGTTACTGAGAAGTCTTCTGTCTAGCATTATATGAAGAAATCCCATTTCCAACGAAGACTTCAAAGAGGTCCAAATATCCACTTGCAGATTCTGCAAAAAGAGTGTTTCGAAACAACTGTATGAAAAGAAAGGTTAAACACTGTGAGTTGAACGCACACATTGCAAAGCAGTTTCTGAGAATGATTCCGTCTAATTATTATACGAAGGTATTTCCTTTTCTATCATTGGTCTCAAAGCGCTTGATACCTCCACCTGAAAATTCCACAAAAAGAGTGTTTCCAATCTACTCTGTCTAAAGGAACGTTCAACTCTGTGAGTTGAATACACACACACAGAAAGAATTCACTGAGAATTCTTCTGTCTGGCATTACATGAAGAAATCCCGTTTCCAACGAAGGCCTCAAAGAGGTCCAAATATCCACTTGCAGATTCTGCAAAAAGAGTGTTTCAAAACCGCTCCATTAAAAGGAATGTTGAACTCTGTGAGTTGAATGCAAACATCACAACTCAGTTTCTGAGAATGCTTCTGACTAGATTTTATGGTAAGATATTTCCTTTTCTACCGTAGGCTTCAATGCCCTCTAAATACACCCTTGCAAATTCTACAAAGAGACTGTTTCATAACTGCTCTATAGGAAGAAAGGTTCAACACTGTGAGTTGAATGCAGAGATCACAACGTGGTTTCTGCGAATGATTCTTTGTAGTTTTTACAGGAAGATATTTCGTTGTCAACCGTAGGCTTCAAAGCACTCAAAGTATTCACTTGGAACTTTTCCAAAAAGAGTGTTAGAAAACTGCTCTTTCCAAAGTAAGGTTCAACTCTGTGAGTTGAATGCACACATAACAATCAAGAAGTTTCTGAGAATTCTTCTGTCCTGGTTTATATGAAAAAATCCCGTTTCCAACGAAGGCCTCAAAGACGTTTAAATATCCACTTGCAGACTTCACAAACAGAGTGTTTCCAAACTGCTCTATGAAAAGAAAGGTTAAACTCTGTGAGTTGAACGCACACATCACAAAGTAGCTTCTGAGAATGATACTGTCTAGTTTTTATACGAAGATATTTCCTTTTGTACCATTGGCCTCATACTGCTAGAATTTTCCACTTGCAAATTCCACAAAAAGAGTGTTTCCAATCTGCTCTGTCTAAAGGAAGGTTCAACTCTGTGAGTTGAGTACACACACACAAAGAAGCTACTGAGAATTCTTTGTCAAGAATTATAAGAAGAAATCCCGTTTCCAACGAAGGGCCTCAAAGAGTTCCAAATATCCACTTGCACACTGCACAAACTAAGTCTTTCCAAACTGCTCTATGCAAAGAAATGTTCAACTCTGTGAGTTTAATACACACATCACAAAGCAGTTTCTGAGAATGATACTGTCTAGTTTTTATACGAAGATATTTCCTTTCTACCATTGGCGTCAAAGCGCTAGAATTCTCCACTTGCAAATTCCACAAAAAGAGTGTTTCCAATCTGCTCTGTCTAAAGGAAGGTTCAACTCTGTGAGTTGAATACACACACACAAAGAAGCTACTGAGAATTCTTTTGTCAAGAAATTATAAGAAGAAATCCCGTTTCCAACGAAGGCCTCAAAGAGTTCCAAATATCCACTTGCACACTGCACAAACTAAGTCTTTCCAAACTGCTCTATGCAAAGAAATGTTCAACTCTGTGAGTTTAATACACACATCACAAAGCAGTTTCTGAGAATGATACTGTCTAGTTTTTATACGAAGATATTTCCTTTTGTACCATTGGCCTCATACTGCTAGAATTTTCCACTTGCAAATTCCACAAAAAGAGTGTTTCCAATCCGCTCTGTCTAAAGGAAGGTTCAACTCTCTGATTTGAATACATACATCCCAAAAGAAGTTACTGAGAATTCTTCTGTCTAGCATTATGTGAAGAAATCCCGTTTCCAACGAAAGCCTCAAAGAGGTCCAAATATCCAGTTGCAGAATTTACAAACTGACTGTTTCCAAACTCATCTATGAAAAGAAAGGTTAAACTCTGGGAGTTGAATGCACATATCACAAAGTAGTTCCTGAGAATGATTCTGTCTAGTTTTTATACGAAGATATTTCCTTTTCCACCAATGGCCTCAAAGTGCTTGAAATCTCCCCTTGCAAATTCCACAGACAAGTGTTTCAAATCTGCACTGTCTAAAGGAAGGTTCAACCCTGTGAGTTGAATACACACACACAGAAAAAAATTCACTGAGAATTCTATTGTCTATCATTACACGAAGAAATCCCGTTTACTACGAAGGCCTCAAAGAGGTCCAAATATCCAGCTGCAGACATTACAAACTGAGTGTTTCCAAAGTGCTCTATGAAAAGAAGTGTTAAACACTGTGAGTTCAATGCACACATCCCAAAGCAGTTTCTGAGAATGATTCCGTCTATTTTTTCTACGAAGATATTTCCTTTTCTGCCGTTGGCCTCAAAGCGCTTGAAATCTCCACTTGCAAATTCCACAAAAAGAGAGTTTCAAATCTGCTCTGTCTAAAGGAAGGTTCAACTCTGTGAGTTGAATACACACCACAAAAAGAAGTTACTGAGAATTCTTCTGTCTAGCATTATATGAAAAATCCCGTTTCCAACGAAGGCCACAAAGAGGTCCAAATATCCACTTGCAGATTCTGCAAAAAGAGTGTTTCCAAACTGCTCTATGAAAAGAAACGTTAAACTCTGTGAGTTGAACGCAAACATCACAAAGTAGTTTCTGAGAATGACTCCGTCTAGTTTTTATACGAAGATATTTCCTTTCCTACCATTCACTTCAAAGCGCTTGAAGTCTCCCCCTGAAAATTCCACAAAAAGTGTTTCCAATCTGCTCCGCCTAAAGGAAGCTTCAACTCTGTGACTTGAATACCCACAACCCAAAGAAGTTACTGAGAATTCTTCTGTCTAGCACTATATGAAGAAATCCCGTTTCCAACGAAGGCCTCAAATACATCCAAATATCCAGTTGCTGACTTTACAAACTGAGTGTTTCCAAACTGCTCTATGAAAAGAAAGGTTAAACACTGTGAGTTGAACACACACGTACCAAAGTAGTTTCTGAGAATGATTCTGTCTAGTTTGCATACGAAGATATTTCCTTTTCTACCATTGGCCTCAAAGCTCTGAAATCTCCACTTGCAAATTCCACAAAAAGAGAGTTTCAAATCTGCTGTTTCTAAAGGAAAGTTCAACTCTGAGAGTTGAATACACACCAGAAAAAGCAGTTACTGAGAAGTCTTCTGTCTAGCATTATATGAAGAAATCCCATTTCCAACGAAGACTTCAAAGAGGTCCAAATATCCACTTGCAGATTCTGCAAAAAGAGTGTTTCGAAACAACTGTATGAAAAGAAAGGTTAAACACTGTGAGTTGAACGCACACATTGCAAAGCAGTTTCTGAGAATGATTCCGTCTAATTATTATACGAAGGTATTTCCTTTTCTATCATTGGTCTCAAAGCGCTAGATACCTCCACCTGAAAATTCCACAAAAAGAGTGTTTCCAATCTACTCTGTCTAAAGGAACGTTCAACTCTGTGAGTTGAATACACACACACAGAAAGAATTCACTGAGAATTCTTCTGTCTGGCATTACATGAAGAAATCCCGTTTCCAACGAAGGCCTCAAAGAGGTCCAAATATCCACTTGCAGATTCTGCAAAAAGAGTGTTTCAAAACCGCTCCATTAAAAGGAATGTTGAACTCTGTGAGTTGAATGCAAACATCACAACTCAGTTTCTGAGAATGCTTCTGACTAGATTTTATGGTAAGATATTTCCTTTTCTACCGTAGGCTTCAATGCCCTCTAAATACACCCTTGCAAATTCTACAAAGAGACTGTTTCATAACTGCTCTATAGGAAGAAAGGTTCAACACTGTGAGTTGAATGCAGAGATCACAACGTGGTTTCTGCGAATGATTCTTTGTAGTTTTTACATGAAGATATTTCGTTGTCAACCGTAGGCTTCAAAGCACTCAAAGTATTCACTTGGAACTTTTACAAAAAGAGTGTTAGAAAACTGCTCTTTCCAAAGTAAGGTTCAACTCTGTGAGTTGAATGCACACATAACAATCAAGAAGTTTCTGAGAATTCTTCTGTCCTGGTTTATATGAAAAAATCCCGTTTCCAACGAAGGCCTCAAAGACGTTTAAATATCCACTTGCAGACTTCACAAACAGAGGGTTTCCAAACTGCTCTATGAAAAGAAAGGTTAAACTCTGTGAGTTTAATACACACATCACAAAGCAGTTTCTGAGAATGATACTGTCTAGTTTTTATACGAAGATATTTCCTTTTGTACCATTGGCCTCATACTGCTAGAATTTTCCACTTGCAAATTCCACAAAAAGAGTGTTTCCAATCCGCTCTGTCTAAAGGAAGGTTCAACTCTCTGATTTGAATACATACATCCCAAAAGAAGTTACTGAGAATTCTTCTGTCTAGCATTATGTGAAGAAATCCCGTTTCCAACGAAAGCCTCAAAGAGGTCCAAATATCCAGTGGCAGAATTTACAAACTGACTGTTTCCAAACTCATCTATGAAAAGAAAGGTTAAACTGCTGGGAGTTGAATGCACATATCACAAAGTAGTTCCTGAGAATGATTCTGTCTAGTTTTTATACGAAGATATTTCCTTTTCCACCAATGGCCTCAAAGTGCTTGAAATCTCCCCTTGCAAATTCCACAGACAAGTG
Source organism: Homo sapiens (assembly GCF_000001405.40). Classification (NCBI taxonomy): domain Eukaryota; kingdom Metazoa; phylum Chordata; class Mammalia; order Primates; family Hominidae; genus Homo; species Homo sapiens. The sequence continues at coordinate 92,192,023 of NC_000003.12, read as the reverse complement.
TTTCAAATCTGCACTGTCTAAAGGAAGGTTCAACCCTGTGAGTTGAATACACACACACAGAAAAAAATTCACTGAGAATTCTATTGTCTATCATTACACGAAGAAATCCCGTTTACTACGAAGGCCTCAAAGAGGTCCAAATATCCAGCTGCAGACATTACAAACTGAGTGTTTCCAAAGTGCTCTATGAAAAGAAGTGTTAAACACTGTGAGTTCAATGCACACATCCCAAAGCAGTTTCTGAGAATGATTCCGTCTATTTTTTCTACGAAGATATTTCCTTTTCTGCCGTTGGCCTCAAAGCGCTTGAAATCTCCACTTGCAAATTCCACAAAAAGAGAGTTTCAAATCTGCTCTGTCTAAAGGAAGGTTCAACTCTGTGAGTTGAATACACACCACAAAAAGAAGTTACTGAGAATTCTTCTGTCTAGCATTATATGAAAAATCCCGTTTCCAACGAAGGCCACAAAGAGGACCAAATATCCACTTGCAGATTCTGCAAAAAGAGTGTTTCCAAACTGCTCTATGAAAAGAAACGTTAAACTCTGTGAGTTGAACGCAAACATCACAAAGTAGTTTCTGAGAATGACTCCGTCTAGTTTTTATACGAAGATATTTCCTTTCCTACCATTCACTTCAAAGCGCTTGAAGTCTCCCCCTGAAAATTCCACAAAAAGTGTTTCCAATCTGCTCCGCCTAAAGGAAGCTTCAACTCTGTGACTTGAATACCCACAACCCAAAGAAGTTACTGAGAATTCTTCTGTCTAGCACTATATGAAGAAATCCCGTTTCCAACGAAGGCCTCAAATACATCCAAATATCCAGTTGCTGACTTTACAAACTGAGTGTTTCCAAACTGCTCTATGAAAAGAAAGGTTAAACACTGTGAGTTGAACACACACGTACCAAAGTAGTTTCTGAGAATGATTCTGTCTAGTTTGCATACGAAGATATTTCCTTTTCTACCATTGGCCTCAAAGCTCTGAAATCTCCACTTGCAAATTCCACAAAAAGAGAGTTTCAAATCTGCTGTTTCTAAAGGAAAGTTCAACTCTGAGAGTTGAATACACACCAGAAAAAGCAGTTACTGAGAAGTCTTCTGTCTAGCATTATATGAAGAAATCCCATTTCCAACGAAGACTTCAAAGAGGTCCAAATATCCACTTGCAGATTCTGCAAAAAGAGTGTTTCGAAACAACTGTATGAAAAGAAAGGTTAAACACTGTGAGTTGAACGCACACATTGCAAAGCAGTTTCTGAGAATGATTCCGTCTAATTATTATACGAAGGTATTTCCTTTTCTATCATTGGCCTCAAACCGCTTGATACCTCCACCTGAAAATTCCACAAAAAGAGTGTTTCCAATCTACTCTGTCTAAAGGAACGTTCAACTCTGTGAGTTGAATACACACACACAGAAAGAATTCACTGAGAATTCTTCTGTCTGGCATTACATGAAGAAATCCCGTTTTCAACGAAGGCCTCAAAGAGGTCCAAATATCCACTTGCAGATTCTGCAAAAAGAGTGTTTCAAAACCGCTCCATGAAAAGGAATGTTGAACTCTGTGAGTTGAATGCAAACATCACAACTCAGTTTCTGAGAATGCTTCTGACTAGATTTTATGGTAAGATATTTCCTTTTATACCGTAGGCTTCAATGCCCTCTAAATACACCCTTGCAAATTCTACAAAGAGACTGTTTCATAACTGCTCTATAGGAAGAAAGGTTCAACTCTGTGAGTTGAATGCAGAGATCACAACGTGGTTTCTGCGAATGATTCTTTGTAGTTTTTACATGAAGATATTTCGTTGTCAACCGTAGGCTTCAAAGCACTCAAAGTATTCACTTGGAACTTTTACAAAAAGAGTGTTAGAAAACTGCTCTTTCCAAAGTAAGGTTCAACTCTGTGAGTTGAATGCACACATAACAATCAAGAAGTTTCTGAGAATTCTTCTGTCCTGGTTTATATGAAAAAATCCCGTTTCCAACGAAGGCCTCAAAGACGTTTAAATATCCACTTGCAGACTTCACAAACAGAGTGTTTCCAAACTGCTCTATGAAAAGAAAGGTTAAACTCTGTGAGTTGAACGCACACATCACAAAGTAGTTTCTGAGAATGATACTGTCTAGTTTTTATACGAAGATATTTCCTTTCTACCATTGGCGTCAAAGCGCTAGAATTCTCCACTTGCAAATTCCACAAAAAGAGTGTTTCCAATCTGCTCTGTCTAAAGGAAGGTTCAACTCTGTGAGTTGAATACACACACACAAAGAAGCTACTGAGAATTCTTTTGTCAAGAATTATAAGAAGAAATCCCGTTTCCAACCAAGGCCTCAAAGAGTTCCAAATATCCACTTGCACACTGCACAAACTAAGTCTTTCCATACTGCTCTATGCAAAGAAATGTTCAAATCTGTGAGTTTAATACACACATCACAAAGCAGTTTGCTGAGAATGATACTGTCTAGTTTTTATACGAAGATATTTCCTTTTGTACCATTGGCCTCATACTGCTAGGAATTTTCCACTTGCAAATTCCACAAAAAGAGTGTTTCCAATCCGCTCTGTCTAAAGGAAGGTTCAACTCTCTGATTTGAATACATACATCCCAAAAGAAGTTACTGAGAATTCTTCTGTCTAGCATTATGTGAAGAAATCCCGTTTCCAACGAAAGCCTCAAAGAGGTCCAAATATCCAGTTGCAGAATTTACAAACTGACTGTTTCCAAACTCATCTATGAAAAGAAAGGTTAAACTCTGGGAGTTGAATGCACATATCACAAAGTAGTTCCTGAGAATGATTCTGTCTAGTTTTCATACGAAGATATTTCCTTTTCCACCAATGGCCTCAAAGTGCTTGAAATCTCCCCTTGCAAATTCCACAGACAAGTGTTTCAAATCTGCACTGTCTAAAGGAAGGTTCAACCCTGTGAGTTGAATACACACACACAGAAAAAAATTCACTGAGAATTCTATTGTCTATCATTACACGAAGAAATCCCGTTTACCACGAAGGCCTCAAAGAGGTCCAAATATCCAGCTGCAGACATTACAAACTGAGTGTTTCCAAAGTGCTCTATGAAAAGAAGTGTTAAACACTGTGAGTTCAATGCACACATCCCAAAGCAGTTTCTGAGAATGATGCCGTCTATTTTTTCTACGAAGATATTTCCTTTTCTGCCGTTGGCCTCAAAGCGCTTGAAATCTCCACTTGCAAATTCCACAAAAAGAGAGTTTCAAATCTGCTCTGTCTAAAGGAAGGTTCAACTCTGTGAGTTGAATACACACCACAAAAAGAAGTTACTGAGAATTCTTCTGTCTAGCATTATATGAAAAATCCCGTTTCCAACGAAGGCCACAAAGAGGTCCAAATATCCACTTGCAGATTCTGCAAAAAGAGTGTTTCCAAACTGCTCTATGAAAAGAAACGTTAAACTCTGTGAGTTGAACGCAAACATCACAAAGTAGTTTCTGAGAATGACTCCGTCTAGTTTTTATACGAAGATATTTCCTTTCCTACCATTCACTTCAAAGCGCTTGAAGTCTCCCCCTGAAAATTCCACAAAAAGTGTTTCCAATCTGCTCCGCCTAAAGGAAGCTTCAACTCTGTGACTTGAATACCCACAACCCAAAGAAGTTACTGAGAATTCTCCTGTCTAGCATTATATGAAGAAATCCCGTTTCCAACGAAGGCCTCAAATACATCCAAATATCCAGTTGCTGACTTTACAAACTGAGTGTTTCCAAACTGCTCTATGAAAAGAAAGGTTAAACACTGTGAGTTGAACACACACGTACCAAAGTAGTTTCTGAGAATGATTCTGTCTAGTTTGCATACGAAGATATTTCCTTTTCTACCATTGGCCTCAAAGCTTTGAAATCTCCACTTGCAAATTCCACAAAAAGAGAGTTTCAACTCTGCTGTTTCTAAAGGAAAGTTCAACTCTGAGAGTTGAATACACACCAGAAAAGGCAGTTACTGAGAAGTCTTCTGTCTAGCATTATATGAAGAAATCCCATTTCCAACGAAGACTTCAAAGAGGTCCAAATATCCACTTGCAGATTCTGCAAAAAGAGTGTTTCGAAACAACTGTATGAAAAGAAAGGTTAAACACTGTGAGTTGAACGCACACATTGCAAAGCAGTTTCTGAGAATGATTCCGTCTAATTATTATACGAAGGTATTTCCTTTTCTATCATTGGCCTCAAAGCGCTTGATACCTCCACCTGAAAATTCCACAAAAAGAGTGTTTCCAATCTACTCTGTCTAAAGGAACGTTCAACTCCGTGAGTTGAATACACACACACAGAAAGAATTCACTGAGAATTCTTCTGTCTGGCATTACATGAAGAAATCCCGTTTCCAACGAAGGCCTCAAAGAGGTCCAAATATCCACTTGCAGATTCTGCAAAAAGAGTGTTTCAAAACCGCTCCATTAAAAGGAATGTTGAACTCTGTGAGTTGAATGCAAACATCACAACTCAGTTTCTGAGAATGCTTCTGACTAGATTTTATGGTAAGATATTTCCTTTTCTACCGTAGGCTTCAATGCCCTCTAAATACACCCTTGCAAATTCTACAAAGAGACTGTTTCATAACTGCTCTATAGGAAGAAAGGTTCAACTCTGTGAGTTGAATGCAGAGATCACAACGTGGTTTCTGCGAATGATTCTTTGTAGTTTTTACATGAAGATATTTCGTTGTCAACCGTAGGCTTCAAAGCACTCAAAGTATTCACTTGGAACTTTTACAAAAAGAGTGTTAGAAAACTGCTCTTTCCAAAGTAAGGTTCAACTCTGTGAGTTGAATGCACACATAACAATCAAGAAGTTTCTGAGAATTCTTCTGTCCTGGTTTATATGAAGAAATCCCGTTTCCAACGCAGGCCTCAACGACGTTTAAATATCCACTTGCAGACTTCACAAACAGAGGGTTTCCAAACTGCTCTATGAAAAGAAAGGATAAACTCTGTGAGTTGAACGCACACATCACAAAGTAGCTTCTGAGAATGATACTGTCTAGTTTTTATACGAAGATATTTCCTTTCTACCATTGGCGTCAAAGCGCTAGAATTCTCCACTTGCAAATTCCACAAAAAGAGTGTTTCCAATCTGCTCTGTCTAAAGGAAGGTTCAACTCTGTGAGTTGAATACACACACACAAAGAAGCTACTGAGAATTCTTTTGTCAAGAATTATAAGAAGAAATCCCGTTTCCAACGAAGGCCTCAAAGAGTTCCAAATATCCACTTGCACACTGCACAAACTAAGTCTTTCCAAACTGCTCTATGCAAAGAAATGTTCAACTCTGTGAGTTTAATACACACATCACAAAGCAGTTTCTGAGAATGATACTGTCTAGTTTTTGTACGAAGATATTTCCTTTTGTACCATTGGCCTCATACTGCTAGAATTTTCCACTTGCAAATTCCACAAAAAGAGTGTTTCCAATCCGCTCTGTCTAAAGGAAGGTTCAACTCTCTGATTTGAATACATACATCCCAAAAGAATTTACTGAGAATTCTTCTGTCTAGCATTATGTGAAGAAATCCCGTTTCCAACGAAAGCCTCAAAGAGGTCCAAATATCCAGTTGCAGAATTTACAAACTGACTGTTTCCAAACTCATCTATGAAAAGAAAGGTTAAACTCTGTGAGTTGAATGCACATATCACAAAGTAGTTCCTGAGAATGATTCTGTCTAGTTTTTATACGAAGATATTTCCTTTTCCACCAATGGCCTCAAAGTGCTTGAAATCTCCCCTTGCAAATTCCACAGACAAGTGTTTCAAATCTGCACTGTCTAAAGGAAGGTTCAACACTGTGAGTTGAATACACACACACAGAAACAAATTCACTGAGAATTCTATTGTCTATCATTACACGAAGAAATCCCGTTTACTACGAAGGCCTCAAAGAGGTCCAAATATCCAGCTGCAGACATTACAAACTGAGTGTTTCCAAAGTGCTCTATGAAAAGAAGTGTTAAACACTGTGAGTTCAATGCACACATCCCAAAGCAGTTTCTGAGAATGATTCCGTCTATTTTTTCTACGAAGATATTTCCTTTTCTGCCGTTGGCCTCAAAGCGCTTGAAATCTCCACTTGCAAATTCCACAAAAAGAGAGTTTCAAATCTGCTCTGTCTAAAGGAAGGTTCAACTCTGTGAGTTGAATACACACCACAAAAAGAAGTTACTGAGAATTCTTCTGTCTAGCATTATATGAAAAATCCCGTTTCCAACGAAGGCCACAAAGAGGTCCAAATATCCACTTGCAGATTCTGCAAAAAGAGTGTTTCCAAACTGCTCTATGAAAAGAAACGTTAAACTCTGTGAGTTGAACGCAAACATCACAAAGTAGTTTCTGAGAATGACTCCGTCTAGTTTTTATACGAAGATATTTCCTTTCCTACCATTCACTTCAAAGCGCTTGAAGTCTCCCCCTGAAAATTCCACAAAAAGTGTTTCCAATCTGCTCCGCCTAAAGGAAGCTTCAACTCTGTGAGTTGAATACCCACAACCCAAAGAAGTTACTGAGAATTCTTCTGTCCTGGTTTATATGAACAAATCCCGTTTCCAACGAAGGCCTCAAAGACGTTTAAATATCCACTTGCAGACTTCACAAACAGAGTGTTTCCAAACTGCTCTATGAAAAGAAAGGTTAAGCTCTGTGAGTTGAACGCACACATCACAAAGTAGTTTCTGAGAATGATACTGTCTAGTTTTTATACGAAGATATTTCCTTTCTACCATTGGCGTCAAAGCGCTAGAATTCTCCACTTGCAAATTCCACAAAAAGAGTGTTTCCAATCTGCTCTGTCTAAAGGAAGGTTCAACTCTGTGAGTTGAATACACACACACAAAGAAGCTACTGAGAATTCTTTTGTCAAGAATTATAAGAAGAAATCCCGTTTCCAACGAAGGCCTCAAAGAGTTCCAAATATCCACTTGCACACTGCACAAACTAAGTCTTTCCAAACTGCTCTATGCAAAGAAATGTTCAACTCTGTGAGTTTAATACACACATCACAAAGCAGTTTCTGAGAATGATACTGTCTAGTTTTTATACGAAGAATATTTCCTTTTGTACCATTGGCCTCATACTGCTAGAATTTTCCACTTGCAAATTCCACAAAAAGAGTGTTTCCAATCCGCTCTGTCTAAAGGAAGGTTCAACTCTCTGATTTGAATACATACATCCCAAAAGAAGTTACTGAGAATTCTTCTGTCTAGCATTATGTGAAGAAATCCCGTTTCCAACGAAAGCCTCAAAGAGGTCCAAATATCCAGTTGCAGAATTTACAAACTGACTGTTTCCAAACTCATCTATGAAAAGAAAGGTTAAACTCTGGGAGTTGAATGCACATATCACAAAGTAGTTCCTGAGAATGATTCTGTCTAGTTTTCATACGAAGATATTTCCTTTTCCACCAATGGCCTCAAAGTGCTTGAAATCTCCCCTTGCAAATTCCACAGACAAGTGTCTCAAATCTGCACTGTCTAAAGGAAGGTTCAACCCTGTGAGTTGAATACACACACACAGAAAAAAATTCACTGAGAATTCTATTGTCTATCATTACACGAAGAAATCCCGTTTACTACGAAGGCCTCAAAGAGGTCCAAATATCCAGCTGCAGACATTACAACCTGAGTGTTTCCAAAGTGCTCTATGAAAAGAAGTGTTAAACACTGTGAGTTCAATGCACACATCCCAAAGCAGTTTCTGAGAATGATTCCGTCTATTTTTTCTACGAAGATATTTCCTTTTCTGCCGTTGGCCTCAAAGCGCTTGAAATCTCCACTTGCAAATTCCACAAAAAGAGAGTTTCAAATCTGCTCTGTCTAAAGGAAGGTTCAACTCTGTGAGTTGAATACACACCACAAAAAGAAGTTACTGAGAATTCTTCTGTCTAGCATTATATGAAAAATCCCGTTTCCAACGAAGGCCACAAAGAGGTCCAAATATCCACTTGCAGATTCTGCAAAAAGAGTGTTTCCAAACTGCTCTATGAAAAGAAACGTTAAACTCTGTGAGTTGAACGCAAACATCACAAAGTAGTTTCTGAGAATGACTCCGTCTAGTTTTTATACGAAGATATTTCCTTTCCTACCATTCACTTCAAAGCGCTTGAAGTCTCCCCCTGAAAATTCCACAAAAAGTGTTTCCAATCTGCTCCGCCTAAAGGAAGCTTCAACTCTGTGACTTGAATACCCACAACCCAAAGAAGTTACTGAGAATTCTTCTGTCTAGCATTATATGAAGAAATCCCGTTTCCAACGAAGGCCTCAAATACATCCAAATATCCAGTTGCTGACTTTACAAACTGAGTGTTTCCAAACTGCTCTATGAAAAGAAAGGTTAAACACTGTGAGTTGAACACACACGTACCAAAGTAGTTTCTGAGAATGATTCTGTCTAGTTTGCATACGAAGATATTTCCTTTTCTACCATTGGCCTCAAAGCTCTGAAATCTCCACTTGCAAATTCCACAAAAAGAGAGTTTCAAATCTGCTGTTTCTAAAGGAAAGTTCAACTCTGAGAGTTGAATACACACCAGAAAAAGCAGTTACTGAGAAGTCTTCTGTCTAGCATTATATGAAGAAATCCCATTTCCAACGAAGACTTCAAAGAGGTCCAAATATCCACTTGCAGATTCTGCAAAAAGAGTGTTTCGAAACAACTGTATGAAAAGAAAGGTTAAACACTGTGAGTTGAACGCACACATTGCAAAGCGGTTTCTGAGAATGATTCCGTCTAATTATTATACGAAGGTATTTCCTTTTCTATCATTGGCCTCAAAGCGCTTGATACCTCCACCTGAAAATTCCACAAAAAGAGTGTTTCCAATCTACTCTGTCTAAAGGAACGTTCAACTCTGTGAGTTGAATACACACACACAGAAAGAATTCACTGAGAATTCTTCTGTCTGGCATTACATGAAGAAATCCCGTTTCCAACGAAGGCCTCAAAGAGGTCCAAATATCCACTTGCAGATTCTGCAAAAAGAGTGTTTCAAAACCGCTCCATTAAAAGGAATGTTGAACTCTGTGAGTTGAATGCAAACATCACAACTCAGTTTCTGAGAATGCTTCTGACTAGATTTTATGGTAAGATATTTCCTTTTCTACCGTAGGCTTCAATGCCCTCTAAATACACCCTTGCAAATTCTACAAAGAGACTGTTTCATAACTGCTCTATAGGAAGAAAGGTTGAACTCTGTGAGTTGACTGCAGAGATCACAACGTGGTTTCTGCGAATGATTCTTTGTAGTTTTTACATGAAGATATTTCGTTGTCAACCGTAGGCTTCAAAGCACTCAAAGTATTCACTTGGAACTTTTACAAAAAGAGTGTTAGAAAACTGCTCTTTCCGAAGTAAGGTTCAACTCTGTGAGTTGAATGCACACATAACAATCAAGAAGTTTCTGAGAATTCTTCTGTCCTGGTTTATATGAAAAAATCCCGTTTCCAACGAAGGCCTCAAAGACGTTTAAATATCCACTTGCAGACTTCACAAACAGAGGGTTTCCAAACTGCTCTATGAAAAGAAAGGTTAAACTCTGTGAGTTGAACGCACACATCACAAAGTAGCTTCTGAGAATGATACTGTCTAGTTTTTATACGAAGATATTTCCTTTCTACCATTGGCGTCAAAGCGCTAGAATTCTCCACTTGCAAATTCCACAAAAAGAGTGTTTCCAATCTGCTCTGTCTAAAGGAAGGTTCAACTCTGTGAGTTGAATACACACACACAAAGAAGCTACTGAGAATTCTTTTGTCAAGAATTATAAGAAGAAATCCCGTTTCCAACGAAGGCCTCAAAGAGTTCCAAATATCCACTTGCACACTGCACAAACTAAGTCTTTCCAAACTGCTCTATGCAAAGAAATGTTCAACTCTGTGAGTTTAATACACACATCACAAAGCAGTTTCTGAGAATGATACTGTCTAGTTTTTATACGAAGATATTTCCTTTTGTACCATTGGCCTCATACTGCTAGAATTTTCCACTTGCAAATTCCACAAAAAGAGTGTTTCCAATCCGCTCTGTCTAAAGGAAGGTTCAACTCTCTGATTTGAATACACACATCCCAAAAGAAGTTACTGAGAATTCTTCTGTCTAGCATTATGTGAAGAAATCCCGTTTCCAACGAAAGCCTCAAAGAGGTCCAAATATCCAGTTGCAGAATTTACAAACTGACTGTTTCCAAACTCATCTATGAAAAGAAAGGTTAAACTCTGTGAGTTGAATGCACATATCACAAAGTAGTTCCTGAGAATGATTCTGTCTAGTTTTTATACGAAGATATTTCCTTTTCCACCAATGGCCTCAAAGTGCTTGAAATCTCCCCTTGCAAATTCCACAGACAAGTGTTTCAAATCTGCACTGTCTAAAGGAAGGTTCAACCCTGTGAGTTGAATACACACACACAGAAACAAATTCACTGAGAATTCTATTGTCTATCATTACACGAAGAAATCCCGTTTACTACGAAGGCCTCAAAGAGGTCCAAATATCCAGCTGCAGACATTACAAACTGAGTGTTTCCAAAGTGCTCTATGAAAAGAAGTGTTAAACACTGTGAGTTCAATGCACACATCCCAAAGCAGTTTCTGAGAATGATTCCGTCTATTTTTTCTACGAAGATATTTCCTTTTCTGCCGTTGGCCTCAAAGCGCTTGAAATCTCCACTTGCAAATTCCACAAAAAGAGAGTTTCAAATCTGCTCTGTCTAAAGGAAGGTTCAACTCTGTGAGTTGAATACACACCACAAAAAGAAGTTACTGAGAATTCTTCTGTCTAGCATTATATGAAAAATCCCGTTTCCAACGAAGGCCACAAAGAGGTCCAAATATCCACTTGCAGATTCTGCAAAAAGAGTGTTTCCAAACTGCTCTATGAAAAGAAACGTTAAACTCTGTGAGTTGAACGCAAACATCACAAAGTAGTTTCTGAGAATGACTCCGTCTAGTTTTTATACGAAGATATTTCCTTTCCTACCATTCACTTCAAAGCGCTTGAAGTCTCCCCCTGAAAATTCCACAAAAAGTGTTTCCAATCTGCTCCGCCTAAAGGAAGCTTCAACTCTGTGACTTGAATACCCACAACCCAAAGAAGTTACTGAGAATTCTTCTGTCTAGCATTATATGAAGAAATCCCGTTTCCAACGAAGGCCTCAAATACATCCAAATATCCAGTTGCTGACTTTACAAACTGAGTGTTTCCAAACTGCTCTATGAAAAGAAAGGTTAAACACTGTGAGTTGAACACACACGTACCAAAGTAGTTTCTGAGAATGATTCTGTCTAGTTTGCATACGAAGATATTTCCTTTTCTACCATTGGCCTCAAAGCTCTGAAATCTCCACTTGCAAATTCCACAAAAAGAGAGTTTCAAATCTGCTGTTTCTAAAGGAAAGTTCAACTCTGAGAGTTGAATACACACCAGAAAAAGCAGTTACTGAGAAGTCTTCTGTCTAGCATTATATGAAGAAATCCCATTTCCAACGAAGACTTCAAAGAGGTCCAAATATCCACTTGCAGATTCTGCAAAAAGAGTGTTTCGAAACAACTGTATGAAAAGAAAGGTTAAACACTGTGAGTTGAACGCACACATTGCAAAGCGGTTTCTGAGAATGATTCCGTCTAATTATTATACGAAGGTATTTCCTTTTCTATCATTGGCCTCAAAGCGCTTGATACCTCCACCTGAAAATTCCACAAAAAGAGTGTTTCCAATCTACTCTGTCTAAAGGAACGTTCAACTCTGTGAGTTGAATACACACACACAGAAAGAATTCACTGAGAATTCTTCTGTCTGGCATTACATGAAGAAATCCCGTTTCCAACGAAGGCCTCAAAGAGGTCCAAATATCCACTTGCAGATTCTGCAAAAAGAGTGTTTCAAAACCGCTCCATTAAAAGGAATGTTGAACTCTGTGAGTTGAATACACACACACAAAGAAGCTACTGAGAATTCTTCTGACTAGATTTTATGGTAAGATATTTCCTTTTCTACCGTAGGCTTCAATGCCCTCTAAATACACCCTTGCAAATTCTACAAAGAGACTGTTTCATAACTGCTCTATAGGAAGAAAGGTTCAACACTGTGAGTTGAATGCAGAGATCACAACGTGGTTTCTGCGAATGATTCTTTGTAGTTTTTACATGAAGATATTTCGTTGTCAACCGTAGGCTTCAAAGCACTCAAAGTATTCACTTGGAACTTTTACAAAAAGAGTGTTAGAAAACTGCTCTTTCCAAAGTAAGGTTGAACTCTGTGAGTTGAATGCACACATAACAATCAAGAAGTTTCTGAGAATTCTTCTGTCCTGGTTTATATGAAGAAATCCCGTTTCCAACGAAGGCCTCAAAGACGTTTAAATATCCACTTGCAGACTTCACAAACAGAGGGTTTCCAAACTGCTCTATGAAAAGAAAGGTTAAACTCTGTGAGTTGAACGCACACATCACAAAGTAGCTTCTGAGAATGATACTGTCTAGTTTTTATACGAAGATATTTCCTTTCTACCATTGGCGTCAAAGCGCTAGAATTCTCCACTTGCAAATTCCACAAAAAGAGTGTTTCCAATCTGCTCTGTCTAAAGGAAGGTTCAACTCTGTGAGTTGAATACACACACACAAAGAAGCTACTGAGAATTCTTTTGTCAAGAATTATAAGAAGAAATCCCGTTTCCAACGAAGGCCTCAAAGAGTTCCAAATATCCACTTGCACACTGCACAAGCTAAGTCTTTCCAAACTGCTCTATGCAAAGAAATGTTCAACTCTGTGAGTTTAATACACACATCACAAAGCAGTTTCTGAGAATGATACTGTCTAGTTTTTATACGAAGATATTTCCTTTTGTACCATTGGCCTCATACTGCTAGAATTTTCCACTTGCAAATTCCACAAAAAGAGTGTTTCCAATCCGCTCTGTCTAAAGGAAGGTTCAACTCTCTGATTTGAATACATACATCCCAAAAGAAGTTACTGAGAATTCTTCTGTCTAGCATTATGTGAAGAAATCCCGTTTCCAACGAAAGCCTCAAAGAGGTCCAAATATCCAGTTGCAGAATTTACAAACTGACTGTTTCCAAACTCATCTATGAAAAGAAAGGTTAAACTCTGTGAGTTGAATGCACATATCACAAAGTAGTTCCTGAGAATGATTCTGTCTAGTTTTTATACGAAGATATTTCCTTTTCCACCAATGGCCTCAAAGTGCTTGAAATCTCCCCTTGCAAATTCCACAGACAAGTGTTTCAAATCTGCACTGTCTAAAGGAAGGTTCAACCCTGTGAGTTGAATACACACACACAGAAAAAAATTCACTGAGAATTCTATTGTCTATCATTACACGAAGAAATCCCGTTTACCACGAAGGCCTCAAAGAGGTCCAAATATCCAGCTGCAGACATTACAAACTGAGTGTTTCCAAAGTGCTCTATGAAAAGAAGTGTTAAACACTGTGAGTTCAATGCACACATCCCAAAGCAGTTTCTGAGAATGATTCCGTCTATTTTTTCTACGCAGATATTTCCTTTTCTGCCGTTGGCCTCAAAGCGCTTGAAATCTCCACTTGCAAATTCCACAAAAAGAGAGTTTCAAATCTGCTCTGTCTAAAGGAAGGTTCAACTCTGTGAGTTGAATACACACCACAAAAAGAAGTTACTGAGAATTCTTCTGTCTAGCATTATATGAAAAATCCCGTTTCCAACGAAGGCCACAAAGAGGTCCAAATATCCACTTGCAGATTCTGCAAAAAGAGTGTTTCCAAACTGCTCTATGAAAAGAAACGTTAAACTCTGTGAGTTGAACGCAAACATCACAAAGTAGTTTCTGAGAATGACTCCGTCTAGTTTTTATACGAAGATATTTCCTTTCCTACCATTCACTTCAAAGCGCTTGAAGTCTCCCCCTGAAAATTCCACAAAAAGTGTTTCCAATCTGCTCCACCTAAAGGAAGCTTCAACTCTGTGAGTTGAATACCCACAACCCAAAGAAGTTACTGAGAATTCTTCTGTCTAGCATTATATGAAGAAATCCCGTTTCCAACGAAGGCCTCAAATACATCCAAATATCCAGTTGCTGACTTTACAAACTGAGTGTTTCCAAACTGCTCTATGAAAAGAAAGGTTAAACACTGTGAGTTGAACACACACGTACCAAAGTAGTTTCTGAGAATGATTCTGTCTAGTTTGCATACGAAGATATTTCCTTTTCTACCATTGGCCTCAAAGCTCTGAAATCTCCACTTGCAAATTCCACAAAAAGAGAGTTTCAAATCTGCTGTTTCTAAAGGAAAGTTCAACTCTGAGAGTTGAATACACACCAGAAAAAGCAGTTACTGAGAAGTCTTCTGTCTAGCATTATATGAAGAAATCCCATTTCCAACGAAGACTTCAAAGAGGTCCAAATATCCACTTGCAGATTCTGCAAAAAGAGTGTTTCGAAACAACTGTATGAAAAGAAAGGTTAAACACTGTGAGTTGAACGCACACATTGCAAAGCGGTTTCTGAGAATGATTCCGTCTAATTATTATACGAAGGTATTTCCTTTTCTATCATTGGCCTCAAAGCGCTTGATACCTCCACCTGAAAATTCCACAAAAAGAGTGTTTCCAATCTACTCTGTCTAAAGGAACGTTCAACTCTGTGAGTTGAATACACACACACAGAAAGAATTCACTGAGAATTCTTCTGTCTGGCATTACATGAAGAAATCCCGTTTCCAACGAAGGCCTCAAAGAGGTCCAAATATCCACTTGCAGATTCTGCAAAAAGAGTGTTTCAAAACCGCTCCATTAAAAGGAATGTTGAACTCTGTGAGTTGAATGCAAACATCACAACTCAGTTTCTGAGAATGCTTCTGACTAGATTTTATGGTAAGATATTTCCTTTTCTACCGTAGGCTTCAATGCCCTCTAAATACACCCTTGCAAATTCTACAAAGAGACTGTTTCATAACTGCTCTATAGGAAGAAAGGTTGAACTCTGTGAGTTGACTGCAGAGATCACAACGTGGTTTCTGCGAATGATTCTTTGTAGTTTTTACATGAAGATATTTCGTTGTCAACCGTAGGCTTCAAAGCACTCAAAGTATTCACTTGGAACTTTTACAAAAAGAGTGTTAGAAAACTGCTCTTTCCAAAGTAAGGTTCAACTCTGTGAGTTGAATGCACACATAACAATCAAGAAGTTTCTGAGAATTCTTCTGTCCTGGTTTATATGAAAAAATCCCGTTTCCAACGAAGGCCTCAAAGACGTTTAAATATCCACTTGCAGACTTCACAAACAGAGGGTTTCCAAACTGCTCTATGAAAAGAAAGGTTAAACTCTGTGAGTTGAACGCACACATCACAAAGTAGCTTCTGAGAATGATACTGTCTAGTTTTTATACGAAGATATTTCCTTTCTACCATTGGCGTCAAAGCGCTAGAATTCTCCACTTGCAAATTCCACAAAAAGAGTGTTTCCAATCTGCTCTGTCTAAAGGAAGGTTCAACTCTGTGAGTTGAATACACACACACACAAAGAAGCTACTGAGAATTCTTTTGTCAAGAATTATAAGAAGAAATCCCGTTTCCAACGAAGGCCTCAAAGAGTTCCAAATATCCACTTGCACACTGCACAAACTAAGTCTTTCCAAACTGCTCTATGCAAAGAAATGTTCAACTCTGTGAGTTTAATACACACATCACAAAGCAGTTTCTGAGAATGATACTGTCTAGTTTTTATACGAAGATATTTCCTTTTGTACCATTGGCCTCATACTGCTAGAATTTTCC
Organism: Homo sapiens; assembly: GCF_000001405.40. Taxonomy (NCBI): domain Eukaryota; kingdom Metazoa; phylum Chordata; class Mammalia; order Primates; family Hominidae; genus Homo; species Homo sapiens. Next base: position 92,176,232 of record NC_000003.12, on the reverse strand, counting down.
ACTTGCAAATTCCACAAAAAGAGTGTTTCCAATCCGCTCTGTCTAAAGGAAGGTTCAACTCTCTGATTTGAATACATACATCCCAAAAGAAGTTACTGAGAATTCTTCTGTCTAGCATTATGTGAAGAAATCCCGTTTCCAACGAAAGCCTCAAAGAGGTCCAAATATCCAGTTGCAGAATTTACACACTGACTGTTTCCAAACTCATCTATGAAAAGAAAGGTTAAACTCTGGGAGTTGAATGCACATATCACAAAGTAGTTCCTGAGAATGATTCTGTCTAGTTTTTATACGAAGATATTTCCTTTTCCACCAATGGCCTCAAAGTGCTTCAAATCTCCCCTTGCAAATTCCACAGACAAGTGTTTCAAATCTACACTGTCTAAAGGAAGGTTCAACCCTGTGAGTTGAATACACACACACAGAAAAAAATTCACTGAGAATTCTATTGTCTATCATTACACGAAGAAATCCCGTTTACTACGAAGGCCTCAAAGAGGTCCAAATATCCAGCTGCAGACATTACAAACTGAGTGTTTCCAAAGTGCTCTATGAAAAGAAGTGTTAAACACTGTGAGTTCAATGCACACATCCCAAAGCAGTTTCTGAGAATGATTCCGTCTATTTTTTCTACGAAGATATTTCCTTTTCTGCCGTTGGCCTCAAAGCGCTTGAAATCTCCACTTGCAAATTCCACAAAAAGAGAGTTTCAAATCTGCTCTGTCTAAAGGAAGGTTCAACTCTGTGAGTTGAATACACACACACAGAAAGAATTCACTGAGAATTCTTCTGTCTAGCATTATATGAAAAATCCCGTTTCCAACGAAGGCCACAAAGAGGACCAAATATCCACTTGCAGATTCTGCAAAAAGAGTGTTTCCAAACTGCTCTATGAAAAGAAACGTTAAACTCTGTGAGTTGAACGCAAACATCACAAAGTAGTTTCTGAGAATGACTCCGTCTAGTTTTTATACGAAGATATTTCCTTTCCTACCATTCACTTCAAAGCGCTTGAAGTCTCCCCCTGAAAATTCCACAAAAAGTGTTTCCAATCTGCTCCGCCTAAAGGAAGCTTCAACTCTGTGACTTGAATACCCACAACCCAAAGAAGTTACTGAGAATTCTTCTGTCTAGCACTATATGAAGAAATCCCGTTTCCAACGAAGGCCTCAAATACATCCAAATATCCAGTTGCTGACTTTACAAACTGAGTGTTTCCAAACTGCTCTATGAAAAGAAAGGTTAAACACTGTGAGTTGAACACACACGTACCAAAGTAGTTTCTGAGAATGATTCTGTCTAGTTTGCATACGAAGATATTTCCTTTTCTACCATTGGCCTCAAAGCTCTGAAATCTCCACTTGCAAATTCCACAAAAAGAGAGTTTCAAATCTGCTGTTTCTAAAGGAAAGTTCAACTCTGAGAGTTGAATACACACCAGAAAAAGCAGTTACTGAGAAGTCTTCTGTCTAGCATTATATGAAGAAATCCCATTTCCAACGAAGACTTCAAAGAGGTCCAAATATCCACTTGCAGATTCTGCAAAAAGAGTGTTTCGAAACAACTGTATGAAAAGAAAGGTTAAACACTGTGAGTTGAACGCACACATTGCAAAGCGGTTTCTGAGAATGATTCCGTCTAATTATTATACGAAGGTATTTCCTTTTCTATCATTGGCCTCAAAGCGCTTGATACCTCCACCTGAAAATTCCACAAAAAGAGTGTTTCCAATCTACTCTGTCTAAAGGAACGTTCAACTCTGTGAGTTGAATACACACACACAGAAAGAATTCACTGAGAATTCTTCTGTCTGGCATTCCATGAAGAAATCCCGTTTCCAACGAAGGCCTCAAAGAGGTCCAAATATCCACTTGCAGATTCTGCAAAAAGAGTGTTTCAAAACCGCTCCATTAAAAGGAATGTTGAACTCTGTGAGTTGAATGCAAACATCACAACTCAGTTTCTGAGAATGCTTCTGACTAGATTTTATGGTAAGATATTTCCTTTTCTACCGTAGGCTTCAATGCCCTTTAAATACACCCTTGCAAATGCTACAAAGAGACTGTTTCATAACTGCTCTATAGGAAGAAAGGTTCAACTCTGTGAGTTGAATGCAGAGATCACAACGTGGTTTCTGCGAATGATTCTTTGTAGTTTTTACATGAAGATATTTCGTTGTCAACCGTAGGCTTCAAAGCACTCAAAGTATTCACTTGGAACTTTTACAAAAAGAGTGTTAGAAAACTGCTCTTTCCAAAGTAACGTTCAACTCTGTGAGTTGAATGCACACATAACAATCAAGAAGTTTCTGAGAATTCTTCTGTCCTGGTTTATATGAAAAAATCCCGTTTCCAAGGAAGGCCTCAAAGGCGTTTAAATATCCACTTGCAGACTTCACAAACAGAGTGTTTCCAAACTGCTCTATGAAAAGAAAGGTTAAACTCTGTGAGTTGAACACACACATCACAAAGTAGTTTCTGAGAATGATACTGTCCAGTTTTTATACGGAGATATTTCCTTTCCTACCATTGGCGTCAAAGCGCTAGAATTCTCCACTTGCAAATTCCACAAAAAGAGGGTTTCCAATCTGCTCTGCCTAAAGGCAGGTTCAACTCTGTGAGTTGAATACACACACACAAGAAAGCTACTGAGAATTCTTTTGTCAAGAATTATAAGAAGAAATCCCGTTTCCAACCAAGGCCTCAAAGAGTTCCAAATATCCACTTGCACACTGCACAAACTAAGTCTTTCCATACTGCTCTATGCAAAGAAATGTTCAAATCTGTGAGTTTAATACACACATCACAAAGCAGTTTCTGAGAATGATACTGTCTAGTTTTTATACGAAGATATTTCCTTTTGTACCATTGGCCTCATACTGCTAGAATTTTCCACTTGCAAATTCCACAAAAAGAGTGTTTCCAATCCGCTCTGTCTAAAGGAAGGTTCAACTCTCTGATTTGAATACATACATCCCAAAAGAAGTTACTGAGAATTCTTCTGTCTAGCATTATGTGAAGAAATCCCGTTTCCAACGAAAGCCTCAAAGAGGCCCAAATATCCAGTTGCAGCATTTACAAACTGACTGTTTCCAAACTCATCTATGAAAAGAAAGGTTAAACTCTGTGAGTTGAATGCACATATCACAAAGTAGTTCCTGAGAATGATTCTGTCTAGTTTTTATACGAAGATATTTCCTTTTCCACCAATGGCCTCAAAGTGCTTGAAATCTCCCCTTGCAAATTCCACAGACAAGTGTCTCAAATCTGCACTGTCTAAAGGAAGGTTCAACCCTGTGAGTTGAATACACACACACAGAAAAAAATTCACTGAGAATTCTATTGTCTATCATTACACGAAGAAATCCCGTTTACTACGAAGGCCTCAAAGAGGTCCAAATATCCAGCTGCAGACATTACAAACTGAGTGTTTCCAAAGTGCTCTATGAAAAGAAGTGTTAAACACTGTGAGTTCAATGCACACATCCCAAAGCAGTTTCTGAGAATGATTCCGTCTATTTTCTCTACGAAGATATTTCCTTTTCTGCCGTTGGCCTCAAAGCGCTTGAAATCTCCACTTGCAAATTCCACAAAAAGAGAGTTTCAAATCTGCTCTGTCTAAAGGAAGGTTCAACTCTGTGAGTTGAATACACACCACAAAAAGAAGTTACTGAGAATTCTTCTGTCTGGCATTACATGAAGAAATCCCGTTTCCAACGAAGGCCTCAAAGAGGTCCAAATATCCACTTGCAGATTCTGCAAAAAGAGTGTTTCCAAACTGCTCTATGAAAAGAAACGTTAAACTCTGTGAGTTGAACGCAAACATCACAAAGTAGTTTCTGAGAATGACTCCGTCTACTTTTTATACGAAGATATTTCCTTTTCTACCATTCACTTCAAAGCGCTTGAAGTCTCCCCCTGAAAATTCCACAAAAAGTGTTTCCAATCTGCTCCGCCTAAAGGAAGCTTCAACTCTGTGAGTTGAATACCCACAACCCAAAGAAGTTACTGAGAATTCTTCTGTCTAGCATTATATGAAGAAATCCCGTTTCCAACGAAGGCCTCAAATACATCCAAATATCCAGTTGCTGACTTTACAAACTGAGTGTTTCCAAACTGCTCTATGAAAAGAAAGGTTAAACACTGTGAGTTGAACACACACGTACCAAAGTAGTTTCTGAGAATGATTCTGTCTAGTTTGCATACGAAGATATTTCCTTTTCTACCATTGGCCTCAAAGCTCTGAAATCTCCACTTGCGAATTCCACAAAAAGAGAGTTTCAAATCTGCTGTTTCTAAAGGAAAGTTCAACTCTTGAGAGTTGAATACACACCAGAAAAAGCAGTTACTGAGAAGTCTTCTGTCTAGCATTATATGAAGATATCCCATTTCCAACGAAGACTTCAAAGAGGTCCAAATATCCACTTGCAGATTCTGCAAAAAGAGTGTTTCGAAACAAAACTGTATGAAAAGAAAGGTTAAACACTGTGAGTTGAACGCACACATTGCAAAGCAGTTTCTGAGAATGATTCCGTCTAATTATTATACGAAGGTATTTCCTTTTCTATCATTGGCCTCAAAGCGCTTGATACCTCCACCTGAAAATTCCACAAAAAGAGTGTTTCCAATCTACTCTGTCTAAAGGAACGTTCAACTCTGTGAGTTGAATACACACACACAGAAAGAATTCACTGAGAATTCTTCTGTCTGGCATTACATGAAGAAATCCCGTTTCCAACGAAGGCCTCAAAGAGGTCCAAATATCCACTTGCAGATTCTGCAAAAAGAGTGTTTCAAAACCGCTCCATTAAAAGGAATGTTGAACTCTGTGAGTTGAATGCAAACATCACAACTCAGTTTCTGAGAATGCTTCTGACTAGATTTTATGGTAAGATATTTCCTTTTCTACCGTAGGCTTCAATGCCCTGTAAATACACCCTTGCAAATTCAACAAAGAGACTGTTTCATAACTGCTCTATAGGAGGAAAGGTTCAACTCTGTGAGTTGAATGCAGAGATCACAACGTGGTTTCTGCGAATGATTCTTTGTAGTTTTTACATGAAGATATTTCGTTGTCTACCGTAGGCTTCAAAGCACTCAAAGTATTCACTTGGAACTTTTACAAAAAGAGTGTTAGAAAACTGCTCTTTCCAAAGTAAGGTTCAACTCTGTGAGTTGAATGCACACATAACAAACAAGAAGTTTCTGAGAATTCTTCTGTCCTGGTTTATATGAAAAAATCCCGTTTCCAACGAAGGCCTCAAAGACGTTTAAATATCCACTTGCAGACTTCACAAACAGAGTGTTTCCAAACTGCTCTATGAAAACAAAGGTTAAACTCTGTGAGTTGAACGCACACATCACAAAGTAGTTTCTGAGAATGATACTGTCCAGTTTTTATACGGAGATATTTCCTTTCCTACCATTGGCGTCAAAGCGCTAGAATTCTCCACTTGCAAATTCCACAAAAAGAGGGTTTCCAATCTGCTCTGCCTAAAGGCAGGTTCAACTCTGTGAGTTGAATACACACACACAAGGAAGCTACTGAGAATTGTTTTGTCAAGAATTATAAGAAGAAATCCCGTTTCCAACGAAGGCCTCAAAGAGTTCCAAATATCCACTTGCACACTGTACAAACTAAGTCTTTCCAAACTGCTCTATGCAAAGAAATGTTCAACCCTGTGAGTTTAATGCACACATCAGAAAGCAGTTTCTGAGAATGATTCCCTCTAGTTTTTATATGAAGATATCCTTTTCTACCATTGGTCTCAAGGCTCTTGGAATCTCCACCTGAAAATTCCGCAAAAAGCGTGTTTCCAATGCGCTCTGTCTAAAGGAAGGTTCAACTCTCCGAGTTGAATACATACATCCCAAAAGAAGTTACTGCGAATTCTTCTGTCTAGCATTATGTGAAGAAATCCCGTTTCCAACGAACGCCTCAAAGAGGTCCTAATATCCAGTTGCAGAATTTACAAACTGACTGTTTCCAAACTCATCTATGAAAAGAAAGGTTAAACCCTGTGAGTTGAATGCACGTATCACAAAGTAGTTCCTGAGAATGATTCTGTCTAGTTTTTATACGAAGATATTTCCTTTTCCACCAATGGCCTCAAAGTGCTTGAAATCTCCCCTTGCAAATTCCACAGAAAAGTGTTTCAAATCTGCACTGTCTAAAGGAAGGTTCAACCCTGTGAGTTGAATACACACACACAGAAAAAAATTCACTGAGAATTCTATTGTCTATCATTACACGAAGAAATCCCGTTTACTACGAAGGCCTCAAAGAGGTCCAAATATCCAGCTGCAGACATTACAAACTGAGTGTTTCCAAAGTGCTCTATGAAAAGAAGTGTTAAACACTGTGAGTTCAATGCACACATCCCAAAGCAGTTTCTGAGAATGATTCCGTCTATTTTTTCTACGAAGATATTTCCTTTTCTGCCGTTGGCCTCAAAGCGCTTGAAATCTCCACTTGCAAATTCCACAAAAAGAGAGTTTCAAATCTGCTCTGTCTAAAGGAAGGTTCAACTCTGTGAGTTGAATACACACCACAAAAAGAAGTTTCTGAGAATTCTTCTGTCTAGCATTATATGAAAAATCCCGTTTCCAACGAAGGCCACAAAGAGGTCCAAATATCCACTTGCAGATTCTGCAAAAAGAGTGTTTCCAAACTGCTCTATGAAAAGAAACGTTAAACTCTGTGAGTTGAACGCAAACATCACAAAGTAGTTTCTGAGAATGACTCCGTCTAGTTTTTATACGAAGATATTTCCTTTCCTACCATTCACTTCAAAGCGCTTGAAGTCTCCCCCTGAAAATTCCACAAAAAGTGTTTCCAATCTGCTCCGCCTAAAGGAAGCTTCAACTCTGTGAGTTGAATACCCACAACCCAAAGAAGTTACTGAGAATTCTTCTGTCTAGCATTATATGAAGAAATCCCGTTTCCAACGAAGGCCTCAAATACATCCAAATATCCAGTTGCTGACTTTACAAACTGAGTGTTTCCAAACTGCTCTATGAAAAGAAAGGTTAAACACTGTGAGTTGAACACACACGTACCAAAGTAGTTTCTGAGAATGATTCTGTCTAGTTTGCATACGAAGATATTTCCTTTTCTACCATTGGCCTCAAAGCTCTGAAATCTCCACTTGCAAATTCCACAAAAAGAGAGTTTCAACTCTGCTGTTTCTAAAGGAAAGTTCAACTCTGAGAGTTGAATACACACCAGAAAAAGCAGTTACTGAGAAGTCTTCTGTCTAGCATTATATGAAGAAATCCCATTTACAAAGAAGACTTCAAAGAGGTCCAAATATCCACTTGCAGATTCTGCAAAAAGAGTGTTTCGAAACAACTGTATGAAAAGAAAGGTTAAACACTGTGAGTTGAACGCACACATTGCAAAGCAGTTTCTGAGAATGATTCCGTCTAATTATTATACGAAGGTATTTCCTTTTCTATCATTGGCCTCAAAGCGCTTGATACCTCCACCTGAAAATTCCACAAAAAGAGTGTTTCCAATCTACTCTGTCTAAAGGAACGTTCAACTCTGTGAGTTGAATACACACACACAGAAAGAATTCACTGAGAATTCTTCTGTCTGGCATTACATGAAGAAATCCCGTTTCCAACGAAGGCCTCAAAGAGGTCCAAATATCCACTTGCAGATTCTGCAAAAAGAGTGTTTCAAAACCGCTCCATTAAAAGGAATGTTGAACTCTGTGAGTTGAATGCAAACATCACAACTCAGTTGCTGAGAATGCTTCTGACTAGATTTTATGGTAAGATATTTCCTTTTCTACCGTAGGCTTCAATGCCCTCTAAATACACCCTTGCAAATTCTACAAAGAGACTGCTTCATAACTGCTCTATAGGAGGAAAGGTTCAACTCTGTGAGTTGAATGCAGAGATCACAACGTGGTTTCTGCGAATGATTCTTTGTAGTTTTTACATGAAGATATTTCGTTGTCTACCGTAGGCTTCAAAGCACTCAAAGTATTCACTTGGAACTTTCACAAAAAGAGTGTTAGAAAACTGCTCTTTCCAAAGTAAGGTTCAACTCTGTGAGTTGAATGCACACATAACAAACAAGAAGTTTCTGAGAATTCTTCTGTCCTGGTTTATATGAAGAAATCCCGTTTCCAACGAAGGCCTCAAAGACGTTTAAATATCCACTAGCAGACTTCACAAACAGAGTGTTTCCAAACTGCTCTATGAAAAGAAAGGGTAAACACTGTGAGTTGAACGCACACATCACAAAGTAGTTTCTGAGAATGATACTGTCTAGTTTTTATACGAAGATATTTCCTTTTGTACCATTGGCCTCATACTGCTAGAATTTTCCACTTGCAAATTCCACAAAAAGAGTGTTTCCAATCTGCTCTGTCTAAAGGAAGGTTCAACTCTGTGAGTTGAGTACACACACACACAAAGAAGCTACTGAGAATTCTTTTGTCAAGAATTATAAGAAGAAATCCCGTTTCCAACGAAGGCCTCAAAGAGTTCCAAATATCCACTTGCACACTGCACAAACTAAGTCTTTCCAAACTGCTCTATGCAAAGAAATGTTCAACTCTGTGAGTTTAATACACACATCACAAAGCAGTTTCTGAGAATGATACTGTCTAGTTTTTATACGAAGATATTTCCTTTTGTACCATTGGCCTCATACTGCTAGAATTTTCCACTTGCAAATTCCACAAAAAGAGTGTTTCCAATCCGCTCTGTCTAAAGGAAGGTTCAACTCTCTGATTTGAATACATACATCCCAAAAGAAGTTACTGAGAATTCTTCTGTCTAGCATTATGTGAAGAAATCCCGTTTCCAACGAAAGCCTCAAAGAGGTCCAAATATCCAGTTGCAGAATTTACAAACTGACTGTTTCCAAACTCATCTATGAAAAGAAAGGTTAAACTCTGTGAGTTGAATGCACATATCACAAAGTAGTTCCTGACAATGATTCTGTCTAGTTTTTATACGAAGATATTTCCTTTTCCACCAATGGCCTCAAAGTGCTTGAAATCTCCCCTTGCAAATTCCACAGACAAGTGTTTCAAATCTGCACTGTCTAAAGGAAGGTTCAACCCTGTGAGTTGAATACACACACACAGAAAAAAATTCACTGAGAATTCTATTGTCTATCATTACACGAAGAAATCCCGTTTACTACGACGGCCTCAAAGAGGTCCAAATATCCAGCTGCAGACATTACAAACTGAGTGTTTCCAAAGTGCTCTATGAAAAGAAGTGTTAAACACTGTGAGTTCAATGCACACATCCCAAAGCAGTTTCTGAGAATGATTCCGTCTATTTTTTCTACGAAGATATTTCCTTTTCTGCCGTTGGCCTCAAAGCGCTTGAAATCTCCACTTGCAAATTCCACAAAAAGAGAGTTTCAAATCTGCTCTGTCTAAAGGAAGGTTCAACTCTGTGAGTTGAATACACACCACAAAAAGAAGTTACTGAGAATTCTTCTGTCTAGCATTATATGAAAAATCCCGTTTCCAACGAAGGCCACAAAGAGGTCCAAATATCCACTTGCAGATTCTGCAAAAAGAGTGTTTCCAAACTGCTCTATGAAAAGAAACGTTAAACTCTGTGAGTTGAACGCAAACATCACAAAGTAGTTTCTGAGAATGACTCCGTCTAGTTTTTATACGAAGATATTTCCTTTCCTACCATTCACTTCAAAGCGCTTGAAGTCTCCCCCTGAAAATTCCACAAAAAGTGTTTCCAATCTGCTCCGCCTAAAGGAAGCTTCAAATCTGTGAGTTGAATACCCACAACCCAAAGAAGTTACTGAGAATTCTTCTGTCTAGCATTATAGGAAGAAATCCCGTTTCCAACGAAGGCCTCAAATACATCCAAATATCCAGTTGCTGACTTTACAAACTGAGTGTTTCCAAACTGCTCTATGAAAAGAAAGGTTAAACACTGTGAGTTGAACACACACGTACCAAAGTAGTTTCTGAGAATGATTCTGTCTAGTTTGCATACGAAGATATTTCCTTTTCTACCATTGGCCTCAAAGCTCTGAAATCTCCACTTGCAAATTCCACAAAAAGAGAGTTTCAAATCTGCTGTTTCTAAAGGAAAGTTCAACTCTGAGAGTTGAATACACACCAGAAAAAGCAGTTACTGAGAAGTCTTCTGTCTAGCATTATATGAAGAAATCCCATTTCCAACGAAGACTTCAAAGAGGTCCAAATATCCACTTGCAGATTCTGCAAAAAGAGTGTTTCGAAACAACTGTATGAAAAGAAAGGTTAAACACTGTGAGTTGAACGCACACATTGCAAAGCGGTTTCTGAGAATGATTCCGTCTAATTATTATACGAAGGTATTTCCTTTTCTATCATTGGCCTCAAAGCGCTTGATACCTCCACCTGAAAATTCCACAAAAAGAGTGTTTCCAATCTACTCTGTCTAAAGGAACGTTCAACTCTGTGAGTTGAATACACACACACAGAAAGAATTCACTGAGAATTCTTCTGTCTGGCATTACATGAAGAAATCCCGTTTCCAACGAAGGCCTCAAAGAGGTCCAAATATCCACTTGCAGATTCTGCAAAAAGAGTGTTTCAAAACCGCTCCATTAAAAGGAATGTTGAACTCTGTGAGTTGAATGCAAACATCACAACTCAGTTTCTGAGAATGCTTCTGACTAGATTTTATGGTAAGATATTTCCTTTTCTACCGTAGGCTTCAATGCCCTCTAAATACACCCTTGCAAATTCTACAAAGAGACTGTTTCATAACTGCTCTATAGGAGGAAAGGTTCAACTCTGTGAGTTGAATGCAGAGATCACAACGTGGTTTCTGCGAATGATTCTTTGTAGTTTTTACATGAAGATATTTCGTTGTCAACCGTAGGCTTCAAAGCACTCAAAGTATTCACTTGGAACTTTTACAAAAAGAGTGTTAGAAAACTGCTCTTTCCAAAGTAAGGTTCAACTCTGTGAGTTGAATGCACACATAACAATCAAGAAGTTTCTGAGAATTCTTCTGTCCTGGTTTATATGAACAAATCCCGTTTCCAACGAAGGCCTCAAAGACGTTTAAATATCCACTTGCAGACTTCACAAACAGAGTGTTTCCAAACTGCTCTATGAAAAGAAAGGTTAAACTCTGTGAGTTGAACGCACACATCACAAAGTAGTTTCTGAGAATGATACTGTCTAGTTTTTATACGAAGATATTTCCTTTCTACCATTGGCGTCAAAGCGCTAGAATTCTCCACTTGCAAATTCCACAAAAAGAGTGTTTCCAATCTGCTCTGTCTCAAGGAAGGTTCAACTCTGTGAGTTGAATACACACACACAAAGAAGCTACTGAGAATTCTTTTGTCAAGAATTATAAGAAGAAATCCCGTTTCCAACGAAGGCCTCAAAGAGTTCCAAATATCCACTTGCACACTGCACAAACTAAGTCTTTCCAAACTGCTCTATGCAAAGAAATGTTCAACTCTGTGAGTTTAATACACACATCACAAAGCAGTTTCTGAGAATGATACTGTCTAGTTTTTATACGAAGATATTTCCTTTTGTACCATTGGCCTCATACTGCTAGAATTTTCCACTTGCAAATTCCACAAAAAGAGTGTTTCCAATCCGCTCTGTCTAAAGGAAGGTTCAACTCTCTGATTTGAATACATACATCCCAAAAGAAGTTACTGAGAATTCTTCTGTCTAGCATTATGTGAAGAAATCCCGTTTCCAACGAAAGCCTCAAAGAGGTCCAAATATCCAGTTGCAGAATTTACAAACTGACTGTTTCCAAACTCATCTATGAAAAGAAAGGTTAAACTCTGTGAGTTGAATGCACATATCACAAAGTAGTTCCTGAGAATGATTCTGTCTAGTTTTTATACGAAGATATTTCCTTTTCCACCAATGGCCTCAAAGTGCTTGAAATCTCCCCTTGCAAATTCCACAGACAAGTGTTTCAAATCTGCACTGTCTAAAGGAAGGTTCAACCCTGTGAGTTGAATACACACACACAGAAACAAATTCACTGAGAATTCTATTGTCTATCATTACACGAAGAAATCCCGTTTACTAAGAAGGCCTCAAAGAGGTCCAAATATCCAGCTGCAGACATTACAAACTGAGTGTTTCCAAAGTGCTCTATGAAAAGAAGTGTTAAACACTGTGAGTTCAATGCACACATCCCAAAGCAGTTTCTGAGAATGATTCCGTCTATTTTTTCTACGAAGATATTTCCTTTTCTACCGTTGGCCTCAAAGCGCTTGAAATCTCCACTTGCAAATTCCACAAAAAGAGAGTTTCAAATCTGCTCTGTCTAAAGGAAGGTTCAACTCTGTGAGTTGAATACACACCACAAAAAGAAGTTACTGAGAATTCTTCTGTCTAGCATTATATGAAAAATCCCGTTTCCAACGAAGGCCACAAAGAGGTCCAAATATCCACTTGCAGATTCTGCAAAAAGAGTGTTTCCAAACTGCTCTATGAAAAGAAACGTTAAACTCTGTGAGTTGAACGCAAACATCACAAAGTAGTTTCTGAGAATGACTCCGTCTAGTTTTTATACGAAGATATTTCCTTTCCTACCATTCACTTCAAAGCGCTTGAAGTCTCCCCCTGAAAATTCCACAAAAAGTGTTTCCAATCTGCTCCGCCTAAAGGAAGCTTCAACTCTGTGAGTTGAATACCCACAACCCAAAGAAGTTACTGAGAATTCTTCTGTCTAGCATTATATGAAGAAATCCCGTTTCCAACGAAGGCCTCAAATACATCCAAATATCCAGTTGCTGACTTTACAAACTGAGTGTTTCCAAACTGCTCTATGAAAAGAAAGGTTAAACACTGTGAGTTGAACACACACGTACCAAAGTAGTTTCTGAGAATGATTCTGTCTAGTTTGCATACGAAGATATTTCCTTTTCTACCATTGGCCTCAAAGCTCTGAAATCTCCACTTGCAAATTCCACAAAAAGAGAGTTTCAAATCTGCTGTTTCTAAAGGAAAGTTCAACTCGGAGAGTTGAATACACACCAGAAAAAGCAGTTACTGAGAAGTCTTCTGTCTAGCATTATATGAAGAAATACCATTTCCAACGAAGACTTCAAAGAGGTCCAAATATCCACTTGCAGATTCTGCAAAAAGAGTGTTTCGAAACAACTGTATGAAAAGAAAGGTTAAACACTGTGAGTTGAACGCACACATTGCAAAGCAGTTTCTGAGAATGATTCCGTCTAATTATTATACGAAGGTATTTCCTTTTCTATCATTGGCCTCAAAGCGCTTGATACCTCCACCTGAAAATTCCACAAAAAGAGTGTTTCCAATCTACTCTGTCTAAAGGAACGTTCAACTCTGTGAGTTGAATACACACACACAGAAAGAATTCACTGAGAATTCTTCTGTCTGGCATTACATGAAGAAATCCCGTTTCCAACGAAGGCCTCAAAGAGGTCCAAATATCCACTTGCAGATTCTGCAAAAAGAGTGTTTCAAAACCGCTCCATTAAAAGGAATGTTGAACTCTGTGAGTTGAATGCAAACATCACAACTCAGTTTCTGAGAATGCTTCTGACTAGATTTTATGGTAAGATATTTCCTTTTCTACCGTAGGCTTCAATGCCCTCTAAATACACCCTTGCAAATTCTACAAAGAGACTGTTTCATAACTGCTCTATAGGAAGAAAGGTTGAACTCTGTGAGTTGAATGCAGAGATCACAACGTGGTTTCTGCGAATGATTCTTTGTAGTTTTTACATGAAGATATTTCGTTGTCAACCGTAGGCTTCAAAGCACTCAAAGTATTCACTTGGAACTTTTACAAAAAGAGTGTTAGAAAACTGCTCTTTCCAAAGTAAGGTTCAACTCTGTGAGTTGAATGCACACATAACAATCAAGAAGTTTCTGAGAATTCTTCTGTCCTGGTTTATATGAAAAAATCCCGTTTCCAACGAAGGCCTCAAAGACGTTTAAATATCCACTTGCAGACTTCACAAACAGAGGGTTTCCAAACTGCTCTATGAAAAGAAAGGTTAAACTCTGTGAGTTGAACGCACACATCACAAAGTAGCTTCTGAGAATGATACTGTCTAGTTTTTATACGAAGATATTTCCTTTCTACCATTGGCGTCAAAGCGCTAGAATTCTCCACTTGCAAATTCCACAAAAAGAGTGTTTCCAATCTGCTCTGTCTAAAGGAAGGTTCAACTCTGTGAGTTGAATACACACACACAAAGAAGCTACTGAGAATTCTTTTGTCAAGAATTATAAGAAGAAATCCCGTTTCCAACGAAGGCCTCAAAGAGTTCCAAATATCCACTTGCACACTGCACAAACTAAGTCTTTCCAAACTGCTCTATGTAAAGAAATGTTCAACTCTGTGAGTTTAATACACACATCACAAAGCAGTTTCTGAGAATGATACTGTCTAGTTTTTATACGAAGATATTTCCTTTTGTACCATTGGCCTCATACTGCTAGAATTTTCCACTTGCAAATTCCACAAAAAGAGTGTTTCCAATCCGCTCTGTCTAAAGGAAGGTTCAACTCTCTGATTTGAATACATACATCCCAAAAGAAGTTACTGAGAATTCTTCTGTCTAGCATTATGTGAAGAAATCCCGTTTCCAACGAAAGCCTCAAAGAGGTCCAAATATCCAGTTGCAGAATTTACAAACTGACTGTTTCCAAACTCATCTATGAAAAGAAAGGTTAAACTCTGTGAGTTGAATGCACATATCACAAAGTAGTTCCTGAGAATGATTCTGTCTAGTTTTCATACGAAGATATTTCCTTTTCCACCAATGGCCTCAAAGTGCTTGAAATCTCCCCTTGCAAATTCCACAGACAAGTGTTTCAAATCTGCACTGTCTAAAGGAAGGTTCAACCCTGTGAGTTGAATACACACACACAGAAAAAAATTCACTGAGAATTCTATTGTCTATCATTACACGAAGAAATCCCGTTTACCACGAAGGCCTCAAAGAGGTCCAAATATCCAGCTGCAGACATTACAAACTGAGTGTTTCCAAAGTGCTCTATGAAAAGAAGTGTTAAACACTGTGAGTTCAATGCACACATCCCAAAGCAGTTTCTGAGAATGATTCCGTCTATTTTTTCTACGAAGATATTTCCTTTTCTGCCGTTGGCCTCAAAGCGCTTGAAATCTCCACTTGCAAATTCCACAAAAAGAGAGTTTCAAATCTGCTCTGTCTAAAGGAAGGTTCAACTCTGTGAGTTGAATACACACCACAAAAAGAAGTTACTGAGAATTCTTCTGTCTAGCATTATATGAAAAATCCCGTTTCCAACGAAGGCCACAAAGAGGTCCAAATATCCACTTGCAGATTCTGCAAAAAGAGTGTTTCCAAACTGCTCTATGAAAAGAAACGTTAAACTCTGTGAGTTGAACGCAAACATCACAAAGTAGTTTCTGAGAATGACTCCGTCTAGTTTTTATACGAAGATATTTCCTTTCCTACCATTCACTTCAAAGCGCTTGAAGTCTCCCCCTGAAAATTCCACAAAAAGTGTTTCCAATCTGCTCCGCCTAAAGGAAGCTTCAACTCTGTGAGTTGAATACCCACAACCCAAAGAAGTTACTGAGAATTCTTTTGTCAAGAATTATAAGAAGAAATCCCGTTTCCAACGAAGGCCTCAAATACATCCAAATATCCAGTTGCTGACTTTACAAACTGAGTGTTTCCAAACTGCTCTATGAAAAGAAAGGTTAAACACTGTGAGTTGAACACACACGTACCAAAGTAGTTTCTGAGAATGATTCTGTCTAGTTTGCATACGAAGATATTTCCTTTTCTACCATTGGCCTCAAAGCTCTGAAATCTCCACTTGCAAATTCCACAAAAAGAGAGTTTCAAATCTGCTGTTTCTAAAGGAAAGTTCAACTCTGAGAGTTGAATACACACCAGAAAAAGCAGTTACTGAGAAGTCTTCTGTCTAGCATTATATGAAGAAATCCCATTTCCAACGAAGACTTCAAAGAGGTCCAAATATCCACTTGCAGATTCTGCAAAAAGAGTGTTTCGAAACAACTGTATGAAAAGAAAGGTTAAACACTGTGAGTTGAACGCACACATTGCAAAGTGGTTTCTGAGAATGATTCCGTCTAATTATTATACGAAGGTATTTCCTTTTCTATCATTGGCCTCAAAGCGCTTGATACCTCCACCTGAAAATTCCACAAAAAGAGTGTTTCCAATCTACTCTGTCTAAAGGAACGTTCAACTCTGTGAGTTGAATACACACACACAGAAAGAATTCACTGAGAATTCTTCTGTCTGGCATTACATGAAGAAATCCCGTTTCCAACGAAGGCCTCAAAGAGGTCCAAATATCCACTTGCAGATTCTGCAAAAAGAGTGTTTCAAAACCGCTCCATTAAAAGGAATGTTGAACTCTGTGAGTTGAATGCAAACATCACAACTCAGTTGCTGAGAATGCTTCTGACTAGATTTTATGGTAAGATATTTCCTTTTCTACCGTAGGCTTCAATGCCCTCTAAATACACCCTTGCAAATTCTACAAAGAGTCTGTTTCATAACTGCTCTATAGGAAGAAAGGTTCAACTCTGTGAGTTGAATGCAGAGATCACAACGTGGTTTCTGCGAATGATTCTTTGTAGTTTTTACATGAAGATATTTCGTTGTCAACCGTAGGCTTCAAAGCACTCAAAGTATTCACTTGGAACTTTTACAAAAAGAGTGTTAGAAAACTGCTCTTTCCAAAGTAAGGTTCAACTCTGTGAGTTGAATGCACACATAACAATCAAGAAGTTTCTGAGAATTCTTCTGTCCTGGTTTATATGAAAAAATCCCGTTTCCAACGAAGGCCTCAAAGACGTTTAAATATCCACTTGCAGACTTCACAAACAGAGTGTTTCCAAACTGCTCTATGAAAAGAAAGGTTAAACTCTGTGAGTTGAACGCACACATCACAAAGTAGTTTTTGAGAATGATACTGTCTAGTTTTTATACGAAGATATTTCCTTTCTACCATTGGCGTCAAAGCGCTAGAATTCTCCACTTGCAAATTCCACAAAAAGAGGGTTTCCAATCTGCTCTGTCTAAAGGAAGGTTCAACTCTGTGAGTTGAATACACACACACAAAGAAGCTACTGAGAATTCTTTTGTCAAGAATTATAAGAAGAAATCCCGTTTCCAACGAAGGCCTCAAAGAGTTCCAAATATCCACTTGCACACTGCACAAACTAAGTCTTTCCAAACTGCTCTATGCAAAGAAATGTTCAACTCTGTGAGTTTAATACACACATCACAAAGCAGTTTCTGAGAATGATACTGTCTAGTTTTTATACGAAGATATTTCCTTTTGTACCATTGGCCTCATACTGCTAGAATTTTCCACTTGCAAATTCCACAAAAAGAGAGTTTCCAATCCGCTCTGTCTAAAGGAAGGTTCAACTCTCTGATTTGAATACATACATCCCAAAAGAAGTTACTGAGAATTCTTCTGTCTAGCATTATGTGAAGAAATCCCGTTTCCAACGAAAGCCTCAAAGAGGTCCAAATATCCAGTTGCAGAATTTACAAACTGACTGTTTCCAAACTCATCTATGAAAAGAAAGGTTAAACTCTGTGAGTTGAATGCACATATCACAAAGTAGTTCCTGAGAATGATTCTGTCTAGTTTTTATACGAAGATATTTCCTTTTCCACCAATGGCCTCAAAGTGCTTGAAATCTCCCCTTGCAAATTCCACAGAAAAGTGTTTCAAATCTGCACTGTCTAAAGGAAGGTTCAACCCTGTGAGTTGAATACACACACACAGAAAAAAATTCACTGAGAATTCTATTGTCTATCATTACACGAAGAAATCCCGTTTACTACGAAGGCCTCAAAGAGGTCCAAATATCCAGCTGCAGACATTACAAACTGAGTGTTTCCAAAGTGCTCTATGAAAAGAAGTGTTAAACACTGTGAGTTCAATGCACACATCCCAAAGCAGTTTCTGAGAATGATTCCGTCTATTTTTTCTACGAAGATATTTCCTTTTCTACCGTTGGCCTCAAAGCGCTTGAAATCTCCACTTGCAAATTCCACGAAAAGAGAGTTTCAAATCTGCTCTGTCTAAAGGAAGGTTCCACTCTGTGAGTTGAATACACACCACAAAAAGAAGTTACTGAGAATTCTTCTGTCTAGCATTATATGAAAAATCCCGTTTCCAACGAAGGCCCCAAAGAGGTCCAAATATCCACTTGCAGATTCTGCAAAAAGAGTGTTTCCAAACTGCTCTATGAAAAGAAACGTTAAACTCTGTGAGTTGAACGCAAACATCACAAAGTAGTTTCTGAGAATGACTCCGTCTAGTTTTTATACGAAGATATTTCCTTTTCTACCGTTGGCCTCAAAGCGCTTGAAGTCTCCCCCTGAAAATTCCACAAAAAGTGTTTCCAATCTGCTCCGCCTAAAGGAAGCTTCAACTCTGTGAGTTGAATACCCACAACACAAAGAAGTTACTGAGAATTCTTCTGTCTCGCATTATAGGAAGAAATCCCGTTTCCAACGAAGGCCTCAAATACATCCACATATCCAGTTGCTGACTTTACAAACTGAGTGTTTCCAAACTGCTCTATGAAAAGAAAGGTTAAACACTGTGAGTTGAACACACACGTACCAAAGTAGTTTCTGAGAATGATTCTGTCTAGTTTGCATACAAAGATATTTCCTTTTCTACCACTGGCCTCAAAGCTTTGAAATCTCCACTTGCAAATTCCACAAAAAGAGAGTTTCAAATCTGCTGTTCCTAAAGGAAAGTTCAACTCTGAGAGTTGAATACACACCAGAAAAAGCAGTTACTGAGAAGTCTTCTGTCTAGCATTATATGAAGAAATCCCATTTCCAAAGAAGACTTCAAACAGGTCCAAATATCCACTTGCAGATTCTGCAAAAAGAGTGTTTCGAAACAACTGTATGAAAAGAAAGGTTAAACACTGTGAGTTGAACGCACCCATTGCAAAGCATTTTCTGACAATGATTCCGTCTAATTATTATACGAAGGTATTTCCTTTTCTATCATGGGCCTCAAAGCGCTTGATACCTCCACCTGAAAATTCCACAAAAAGAGTGTTTCCAATCTACTCTGTCTAAAGGAACGTTCAACTCTGTGAGTTGAATACACACACACAGAAAGAATTCACTGAGAATTCTTCTGTCTGGCATTACATGAAGAAATCCCGTTTCCAACGAAGGCCTCAAAGAGGTCCAAATATCCACTTGCAGATTCTGCAAAAAGAGTGTTTCAAAACCGCTCTATTAAAAGGAATGTTGAACTCTGTGAGTTGAATGCAAACATCACAACTCAGTTTCTGAGAATGCTTCTGACTAGATTTTATGGTAAGATATTTCCTTTTCTACCGTAGGCTTCAATGCCCTCTAAATACACCCTTGCAAATTCTACAAAGAGACTGTTTAATAACTGCTCTATAGGAAGAAAGGTTGAACTCTGTGAGTTGAATGCAGAGATCACAACGTGGTTTCTGCGAATGATTCTTTGTAGTTTTTACATGAAGATATTTCGTTGTCTACCGTAGGCTTCAAAGCACTCAAAGTATTCACTTGGAACTTTTACAAAAAGAGTGTTAGAAAACTGCTCTTTCCAAAGTAAGGTTCAACTCTGTGAGTTGAATGCACACATAACAAACAAGAAGTTTCTGAGAATTCTTCTGTCCTGGTTTATATGAAGAAATCCCGTTTCCAACGAAGGCCTCAAAGACGTTTAAATATCCACTTGCAGACTTCACAAACAGAGTGTTTCCAAACTGCTCTATGAAAAGAAAGGGTAAACACTGTGAGTTGAACGCACACCTCACAAAGTAGGTTCTGAGAATGATACTGTCTAGTTTTTATACGAAGATATTTCCTTTTGTACCATTGGCCTCATACTGCTAGAATTTTCCACTTGCAAATTCCACAAAAAGAGTGTTTCCAATCTGCTCTGTCTAAAGGAAGGTTCAACTCTGTGAGTTGAGTACACACACACAAAGAAGCTACTGAGAATTCTTTTGTCAAGAATTATAAGAAGAAATCCCGTTTCCAACGAAGGCCTCAAAGAGTTCCAAATATCCACTTGCACACTGTACAAACTAAGTCTTTCCAAACTGCTCTATGCAAAGAAATGTTCAACCCTGTGAGTTTAATGCACACATCACAAAGCAGTTTCTGAGAATGATTCCCTCTGGTTTTTATACGAAGATAGCCTTTTCTACCATTGGCCTCAAGGCTCTTGGAATCTCCACCTGAAAATTCCGCAAAAAGCGTGTTTCCAATGCGCTCTGTCTAAAGGAAGGTTCAACTCTCTGAGTTGAATACATACATCCCAAAAGAAGTTACTGAGAATTCTTCTGTCTAGCATTATGTGAAGAAATCCCGTTTCCAACGAAAGCCTCCAAGAGGTCCAAATATCCAGTTGCAGAATTTCCAAACTGACTGTTTCCAAACTCATCTATGAAAAGAAAGGTTAAACCCTGTGAGTTGAATGCACATATCACAAAGTAGTTCCTGAGAATGATTCTGTCTAGTTTTTATACGAAGATATTTCCTTTTCCACCAATGGCCTCAAAGTGCTTGAAATCTCCCCTTACAAATTCCACAGAAAAGTGTTTCAAATCTGCACTGTCTGAAGGAAGGTTCAACCCTGTGAGTTGAATACACACACACAGAAAAAAATTCACTGAGAATTCTATTGTCTATCATTACACGAAGAAATCCCGTTTACTACGAAGGCCTCAAAGAGGTCCAAATATCCAGCTGCAGACATTACAAACTCAGTGTTTCCAAAGTGCTCTATGAAAAGAAGTGTTAAACACTGTGAGTTCAATGCACACATCCCAAAGCAGTTTCCGAGAATGATTCCGTCTATTTTTTCTACGAAGATATTTCCTTTTCTACCATTGGCCTCAAAGCGCTTGAAATCTCCACTTGCAAATTCCACGAAAAGAGAGTTTCAAATCTGCTCTGTCTAAAGGAAGGTTCAACTCTGTGAGTTGAATACTCACCACAAAAAGAAGTTACTGAGAATTCTTCTGTCTAGCATTATATGAAAAATCCCGTTTCCAACTGAAGGCCACAAAGAGGTCCAAATATCCACTTGCAGATTCTGCAAAAAGAGTGTTTCCAAACTGCTCTATGAAAAGAAACGTTAAATTCTGTGAGTTGAACGCAAACATCACAAAGTAGTTTCTGAGAATGACTCCGTCTAGTTTTTATACGAAGATATTTCCTTTCCTACCATTCACTTCAAAGTGCTTGAAGTCTCCCCCTGAAAATTCCACAAAAAGTGTTTCCAATCTGCTCCGCTAAAGGAAGCTTCAACTCTGTGAGTTGAATACCCACAACCCAAAGAAGTTACTGAGAATTCTTCTGTCTAGCATTATATGAAGAAATCCCGTTTCCAACGAAGGCCTCAAATACATCCAAATATCCAGTTGCTGACTTTACAAACTGAGTGTTTCCAAACTGCTCTATGAAAAGAAAGGTTAAACACTGTGAGTTGAACACACACGTACCAAAGTAGTTTCTGAGAATGATTCTGTCTAGTTTGCATACGAAGATATTTCCTTTTCTACCATTGGCCTCAAAGCTCTGAAATCTCCACTTGCAAATTCCACAAAAAGAGAGTTTCAAATCTGCTGTTTCTAAAGGAAAGTTCAACTCTGAGAGTTGAATACACACCAGAAAAAGCAGTTACTGAGAAGTCTTCTGTCTAGCATTATATGAAGAAATCCCATTTCCAACGAAGACTTCAAAGAGGTCCAAATATCCACTTGCAGATTCTGCAAAAAGAGTGTTTCGAAACAACTGTATGAAAAGAAAGGTTAAACACTGTGAGTTGAACGCACACATTGCAAAGCAGTTTCTGAGAATGATCCGTCTATTATTATACGAAGGTATTTCCTTTTCTATCATTGGCCTCAAAGCGCTTGATACCTCCACCTGAAAATTCCACAAAAAGAGTGTTTCCAATCTACTCTGTCTAAAGGAACGTTCAACTCTGTGAGTTGAATACACACACACAGAAAGAATTCACTGAGAATTCTTCTGTCTGGCATTACATGAAGAAATCCCGTTTCCAACGAAGGCCTCAAAGAGGTCCAAATATCCACTTGCAGATTCTGCAAAAAGAGTGTTTCAAAACCGCTCCATTAAAAGGAATGTTGAACTCTGTGAGTTGAATGCAAACATCACAACTCAGTTTCTGAGAATGCTTCTGACTAGATTTTATGGTAAGATATTTCCTTTTCTACCGTAGGCTTCAATGCCCTGTAAATACACCCTTGCAAATTCTACAAAGAGACTGTTTCATAACTGCTCTATAGGAGGAAATGTTCAACTCTGTGAGTTGAATGCAGAGATCACAACGTGGTTTCTGCGAATGATTTCTTTGTAGTTTTTACATGAAGATATTTCGTTGTCAACCGTAGGCTTCAAAGCACTCAAAGTATTCACTTGGAACTTTTACAAAAAGAGTGTTAGAAAACTGCTCTTTCCAAAGTAAGGTTCAACTCTGTGAGTTGAATGCACACATAACAATCAAGAAGTTTCTGAGAATTCTTCTGTCCTGGTTTATATGAAAAAATCCCGTTTCCAACGAAGGCCTCAAAGACGTTTAAATATCCACTTGCAGACTTCACAAACAGAGGGTTTCCAAACTGCTCTATGAAAAGAAAGGTTAAACTCTGTGAGTTGAACGCACACATCACAAAGTAGCTTCTGAGAATGATACTGTCTAGTTTTTATACGAAGATATTTCCTTTCTACCATTGGCGTCAAAGCGCTAGAATTCTCCACTTGCAAATTCCACAAAAAGAGTGTTTCCAATCTGCTCTGTCTAAAGGAAGGTTCAACTCTGTGAGTTGAATACACACACACAAAGAAGCTACTGAGAATTCTTTTTTCAAGAAATTATAAGAAGAAATCCCGTTTCCAACGAAGGCCTCAAAGAGTTCCAAATATCCACTTGCACACTGCACAAACTAAGTCTTTCCAAACTGCTCTATGCAAAGAAATGTTCAACTCTGTGAGTTTAATCCACACATCACAAAGCAGTTTCTGAGAACTGATACTGTCTAGTTTTTATACGAAGATATTTCCTTTTGTACCATTGGCCTCATACTGCTAGAATTTTCCACTTGCAAATTCCACAAAAAGAGTATTTCCAATCCGCTCTGTCTAAAGGAAGGTTCAACTCTCTGATTTGAATACATACATCCCAAAAGAAGTTACTGAGAATTCTTCTGTCTAGCATTATGTGAAGAAATCCCGTTTCCAACGAAAGCCTCAAAGAGGTCCAAATATCCAGTTGCAGAATTTACAAACTGACTGTTTCCAAACTCATCTATGAAAAGAAAGGTTAAACTCTGGGAGTTGAATGCACATATCACAAAGTAGTTCCTGAGAATGATTCTGTCTAGTTTTCATACGAAGATATTTCCTTTTCCACCAATGGCCTCAAAGTGCTTGAAATCTCCCCTTGCAAATTCCACAGACAAGTGTCTCAAATCTGCACTGTCTAAAGGAAGGTTCAACCCTGTGAGTTGAATACACACACACAGAAAAAAATTCACTGAGAATTACATTGTCTATCATTACACGAAGAAATCCCGTTTACTACGAAGGCCTCAAAGAGGTCCAAATATCCAGCTGCAGACATTACAAACTGAGTGTTTCCAAAGTGCTCTATGAAAAGAAGTGTTAAACACTGTGAGTTCAATGCACACATCCCAAAGCAGTTTCTGAGAATGATTCCGTCTATTTTTTCTACGAAGATATTTCCTTTTCTGCCGTTGGCCTCAAAGCGCTTGAAATCTCCACTTGCAAATTCCACAAAAAGAGAGTTTCAAATCTGCTCTGTCTAAAGGAAGGTTCAACTCTGTGAGTTGAATACACATCACAAAAAGAAGTTACTGAGAATTCTTCTGTCTAGCATTATATGAAAAATCCCGTTTCCAACGAAGGCCACAAAGAGGTCCAAATATCCACTTGCAGATTCTGCAAAAAGAGTGTTTCCAAACTGCTCTATGAAAAGAAACGTTAAACTCTGTGAGTTGAACGCAAACATCACAAAGTAGTTTCTGAGAATGACTCCGTCTAGTTTTTATACGAAGATATTTCCTTTCCTACCATTCACTTCAAAGCGCTTGAAGTCTCCCCCTGAAAATTCCACAAAAAGTGTTTCCAATCTGCTCCGCCTAAAGGAAGCTTCAACTCTGTGACTTGAATACCCACAACCCAAAGAAAGAAGTTACTGAGAATTCTTCTGTCTAGCATTATATGAAGAAATCCCGTTTCCAACGAAGGCCTCAAATACATCCAAATATCCAGTTGCTGACTTTACAAACTGAGTGTTTCCAAACTGCTCTATGAAAAGAAAGGTTAAACACTGTGAGTTGAACACACACGTACCAAAGTAGTTTCTGAGAATGATTCTGTCTAGTTTGCATACGAAGATATTTCCTTTTCTACCATTGGCCTCAAAGCTCTGAAATCTCCACTTGCAAATTCCACAAAAAGAGAGTTTCAAATCTGCTGTTTCTAAAGGAAAGTTCAACTCTGAGAGTTGAATACACACCAGAAAAAGCAGTTACTGAGAAGTCTTCTGTCTAGCATTATATGAAGAAATCCCATTTCCAACGAAGACTTCAAAGAGGTCCAAATATCCACTTGCAGATTCTGCAAAAAGAGTGTTTCGAAACAACTGTATGAAAAGAAAGGTTAAACACTGTGAGTTGAACGCACACATTGCAAAGCGGTTTCTGAGAATGATTCCGTCTAATTATTATACGAAGGTATTTCCTTTTCTATCATTGGCCTCAAAGCGCTTGATACCTCCACCTGAAAATTCCACAAAAAGAGTGTTTCCAATCTACTCTGTCTAAAGGAACGTTCAACTCTGTGAGTTGAATACACACACACAGAAAGAATTCACTGAGAATTCTTCTGTCTGGCATTACATGAAGAAATCCCGTTTCCAACGAAGGCCTCAAAGAGGTCCAAATATCCACTTGCAGATTCTGCAAAAAGAGTGTTTCAAAACCGCTCCATTAAAAGGAATGTTGAACTCTGTGAGTTGAATGCAAACATCACAACTCAGTTTCTGAGAATGCTTCTGACTAGATTTTATGGTAAGATATTTCCTTTTCTACCGTAGGCTTCAATGCCCTGTAAATACACCCTTGCAAATTCTACAAAGAGACTGTTTCATAACTGCTCTATAGGAGGAAAGGTTCAACTCTGTGAGTTAAATGCAGAGATCACAACGTGGTTTCTGCGAATGATTCTTTGTAGTTTTTACATGAAGATATTTCGTTGTCTACCGTAGGCTTCAAAGCACTCAAAGTATTCACTTGGAACTTTTACAAAAAGAGTGTTAGAAAACTGCTCTTTCCAAAGTAAGGTTCAACTCTGTGAGTTGAATGCACACATAACAAACAAGAAGTTTCTGAGAATTCTTCTGTCCTGGTTTATATGAAGAAATCCCGTTTCCAACGAAGGCCTCAAAGACGTTTAAATATCCACTTGCAGACTTCACAAACAGAGTGTTTCCAAACTGCTCTATGAAAAGAAAGGGTAAACACTGTGAGTTGAACGCACACCTCACAAAGTAGTTTCTGAGAATGATACTGTCTAGTTTTTATACGAAGATATTTCCTTTTGTACCATTGGCCTCATACTGCTAGAATTTTCCACTTGCAAATTCCACAAAAAGAGTGTTTCCAATCTGCTCTGTCTAAAGGAAGGTTCAACTCTGTGAGTTGAGTACACACACACAAAGAAGCTACTGAGAATTCTTTTGTCAAGAATTATAAGAAGAAATCCCGTTTCCAACCAAGGCCTCAAAGAGTTCCAAATATCCACTTGCACACTGCACAAACTAAGTCTTTCCATACTGCTCTATGCAAAGAAATGTTCAAATCTGTGAGTTTAATACACACATCACAAAGCAGTTTCTGAGAATGATACTGTTTAGTTTTTATACGAAGATATTTCCTTTTGTACCATTGGCCTCATACTGCTAGAATTTTCCACTTGCAAATTCCACAAAAAGAGTGTTTCCAATCCGCTCTGTCTAAAGGAAGGTTCAACTCTCTGATTTGAATACATACATCCCAAAAGAAGTTACTGAGAATTCTTCTGTCTAGCATTATGTGAAGAAATCCCGTTTCCAACGAAAGCCTCAAAGAGGCCCAAATATCCAGTTGCAGCATTTACAAACTGACTGTTTCCAAACTCATCTATGAAAAGAAAGGTTAAACTCTGTGAGTTGAATGCACATATCACAAAGTAGTTCCTGAGAATGATTCTGTCTAGTTTTTATACGAAGATATTTCCTTTTCCACCAATGGCCTCAAAGTGCTTGAAATCTCCCCTTGCAAATTCCACAGACAAGTGTCTCAAATCTGCACTGTCTAAAGGAAGGTTCAACCCTGTGAGTTGAATACACACACACAGAAAAAAATTCACTGAGAATTCTATTGTCTATCATTACACGAAGAAATCCCGTTTACTACGAAGGCCTCAAAGAGGTCCAAATATCCAGCTGCAGACATTACAAACTGAGTGTTTCCAAAGTGCTCTATGAAAAGAAGTGTTAAACACTGTGAGTTCAATGCACACATCCCAAAGCAGTTTCTGAGAATGATTCCGTCTATTTTTTCTACGAAGATATTTCCTTTTCTGCCGTTGGCCTCAAAGCGCTTGAAATCTCCACTTGCAAATTCCACAAAAAGAGAGTTTCAAATCTGCTCTGTCTAAAGGAAGGTTCAACTCTGTGAGTTGAATACACACCACAAAAAGAAGTTACTGAGAATTCTTCTGTCTAGCATTATATGAAAAATCCCGTTTCCAACGAAGGCCACAAAGAGGTCCAAATATCCACTTGCAGATTCTGCAAAAAGAGTGTTTCCAAACTGCTCTATGAAAAGAAACGTTAAACTCTGTGAGTTGAACGCAAACATCACAAAGTAGTTTCTGAGAATGACTCCGTCTAGTTTTTATACGAAGATATTTCCTTTTCTACCATTCACTTCAAAGCGCTTGAAGTCTCCCCCTGAAAATTCCACAAAAAGTGTTTCCAATCTGCTCCGCCTAAAGGAAGCTTCAACTCTGTGAGTTGAATACCCACAACCCAAAGAAGTTACTGAGAAATTCTTCTGTCTAGCACTATATGAAGAAATCCCGTTTCCAACGAAGGCCTCAAATACATCCAAATATCCAGTTGCTGACTTTACAAACTGAGTGTTTCCAAACTGCTCTATGAAAAGAAAGGTTAAACACTGTGAGTTGAACACACACGTACCAAAGTAGTTTCTGAGAATGATTCTGTCTAGTTTGCATACGAAGATATTTCCTTTTCTACCATTGGCCTCAAAGCTTTGAAATCTCCACTTGCAAATTCCACAAAAAGAGAGTTTCAACTCTGCTGTTTCTAAAGGAAAGTTCAACTCTGAGAGTTGAATACACACCAGAAAAAGCAGTTACTGAGAAGTCTTCTGTCTAGCATTATATGAAGAAATCCCATTTCCAACGAAGACTTCAAAGAGGTCCAAATATCCACTTGCAGATTCTGCAAAAAGAGTGTTTCGAAACAACTGTATGAAAAGAAAGGTTAAACACTGTGAGTTGAACGCACACATTGCAAAGCAGTTTCTGAGAATGATTCCGTCTAATTATTATACGAAGGTATTTCCTTTTCTATCATTGGCCTCAAAGCGCTTGATACCTCCACCTGAAAATTCCACAAAAAGAGTGTTTCCAATCTACTCTGTCTAAAGGAACGTTCAACTCTGTGAGTTGAATACACACACACAGAAAGAATTCACTGAGAATTCTTCTGTCTGGCATTACATGAAGAAATCCCGTTTCCAACGAAGGCCTCAAAGAGGTCCAAATATCCACTTGCAGATTCTGCAAAAAGAGTGTTTCAAAACCGCTCCATTAAAAGGAATGTTGAACTCTGTGAGTTGAATGCAAACATCACAACTCAGTTGCTGAGAATGCTTCTGACTAGATTTTATGGTAAGATATTTCCTTTTCTACCGTAGGCTTCAATGCCCTCTAAATACACCCTTGCAAATTCTACAAAGAGACTGTTTCATAACTGCTCTATAGGAAGAAAGGTTGAACTCTGTGAGTTGAATGCAGAGATCACAACGTGGTTTCTGCGAATGATTCTTTGTAGTTTTTACATGAAGATATTTCGTTGTCAACCGTAGGCTTCAAAGCACTCAAAGTATTCACTTGGAACTTTTACAAAAAGAGTGTTAGAAAACTGCTCTTTCCAAAGTAAGGTTCAACTCTGTGAGTTGAATGCACACATAACAATCAAGAAGTTTCTGAGAATTCTTCTGTCCTGGTTTATATGAAAAAATCCCGTTTCCAACGAAGGCCTCAAAGACGTTTAAATATCCACTTGCAGACTTCACAAACAGAGGGTTTCCAAACTGCTCTATGAAAAGAAAGGTTAAACTCTGTGAGTTGAACGCACACATCACAAAGTAGCTTCTGAGAATGATACTGTCTAGTTTTTATACGAAGATATTTCCTTTCTACCATTGGCGTCAAAGCGCTAGAATTCTCCACTTGCAAATTCCACAAAAAGAGTGTTTCCAATCTGCTCTGTCTAAAGGAAGGTTCAACTCTGTGAGTTGAATACACACACACAAAGAAGCTACTGAGAATTCTTTTTTCAAGAAATTATAAGAAGAAATCCCGTTTCCAACGAAGGCCTCAAAGAGTTCCAAATATCCACTTGCACACTGCACAAACTAAGTCTTTCCAAACTGCTCTATGCAAAGAAATGTTCAACTCTGTGAGTTTAATACACACATCACAAAGCAGTTTCTGAGAATGATACTGTCTAGTTTTTATACGAAGATATTTCCTTTTGTACCATTGGCCTCATACTGCTAGAATTTTCCACTTGCAAATTCCACAAAAAGAGTGTTTCCAATCCGCTCTGTCTAAAGGAAGGTTCAACTCTCTGATTTGAATACATACATCCCAAAAGAAGTTACTGAGAATTCTTCTGTCTAGCATTATGTGAAGAAATCCCGTTTCCAACGAAAGCCTCAAAGAGGTCCAAATATCCAGTTGCAGAATTTACAAACTGACTGTTTCCAAACTCATCTATGAAAAGAAAGGTTAAACTCTGGGAGTTGAATGCACATATCACAAAGTAGTTCCTGAGAATGATTCTGTCTAGTTTTCATACGAAGATATTTCCTTTTCCACCAATGGCCTCAAAGTGCTTGAAATCTCCCCTTGCAAATTCCACAGACAAGTGTTTCAAATCTGCACTGTCTAAAGGAAGGTTCAACCCTGTGAGTTGAATACACACACACAGAAAAAAATTCACTGAGAATTCTATTGTCTATCATTACACGAAGAAATCCCGTTTACTACGAAGGCCTCAAAGAGGTCCAAATATCCAGCTGCAGACATTACAAACTGAGTGTTTCCAAAGTGCTCTATGAAAAGAAGTGTTAAACACTGTGAGTTCAATGCACACATCCCAAAGCAGTTTCTGAGAATGATTCCGTCTATTTTTTCTACGAAGATATTTCCTTTTCTGCCGTTGGCCTCAAAGCGCTTGAAATCTCCACTTGCAAATTCCACAAAAAGAGAGTTTCAAATCTGCTCTGTCTAAAGGAAGGTTCAACTCTGTGAGTTGAATACACACCACAAAAAGAAGTTACTGAGAATTCTTCTGTCTAGCATTATATGAAAAATCCCGTTTCCAACGAAGGCCACAAAGAGGTCCAAATATCCACTTGCAGATTCTGCAAAAAGAGTGTTTCCAAACTGCTCTATGAAAAGAAACGTTAAACTCTGTGAGTTGAACGCAAACATCACAAAGTAGTTTCTGAGAATGACTCCGTCTAGTTTTTATACGAAGATATTTCCTTTCCTACCATTCACTTCAAAGCGCTTGAAGTCTCCCCCTGAAAATTCCACAAAAAGTGTTTCCAATCTGCTCCGCCTAAAGGAAGCTTCAACTCTGTGAGTTGAATACCCACAACCCAAAGAAGTTACTGAGAATTCTTCTGTCTAGCATTATATGAAGAAATCCCGTTTCCAACGAAGGCCTCAAATACATCCAAATATCCAGTTGCTGACTTTACAAACTGAGTGTTTCCAAACTGCTCTATGAAAAGAAAGGTTAAACACTGTGAGTTGAACACACACGTACCAAAGTAGTTTCTGAGAATGATTCTGTCTAGTTTGCATACGAAGATATTTCCTTTTCTACCATTGGCCTCAAAGCTCTGAAATCTCCACTTGCAAATTCCACAAAAAGAGAGTTTCAAATCTGCTGTTTCTAAAGGAAAGTTCAACTCTGAGAGTTGAATACACACCAGAAAAAGCAGTTACTGAGAAGTCTTCTGTCTAGCATTATATGAAGAAATCCCATTTCCAACGAAGACTTCAAAGAGGTCCAAATATCCACTTGCAGATTCTGCAAAAAGAGTGTTTCGAAACAACTGTATGAAAAGAAAGGTTAAACACTGTGAGTTGAACGCACACATTGCAAAGCAGTTTCTGAGAATGATTCCGTCTAATTATTATACGAAGGTATTTCCTTTTCTATCATTGGCCTCAAAGCGCTTGATACCTCCACCTGAAAATTCCACAAAAAGAGTGTTTCCAATCTACTCTGTCTAAAGGAACGTTCAACTCTGTGAGTTGAATACACACACACAGAAAGAATTCACTGAGAATTCTTCTGTCTGGCATTACATGAAGAAATCCCGTTTCCAACGAAGGCCTCAAAGAGGTCCAAATATCCACTTGCAGATTCTGCAAAAAGAGTGTTTCAAAACCGCTCCATTAAAAGGAATGTTGAACTCTGTGAGTTGAATGCAAACATCACAACTCAGTTGCTGAGAATGCTTCTGACTAGATTTTATGGTAAGATATTTCCTTTTCTACCGTAGGCTTCAATGCCCTCTAAATACACCCTTGCAAATTCTACAAAGAGACTGTTTCATAACTGCTCTATAGGAAGAAAGGTTCAACTCTGTGAGTTGAATGCAGAGATCACAACGTGGTTTCTGCGAATGATTCTTTGTAGTTTTTACATGAAGATATTTCGTTGTCAACCGTAGGCTTCAAAGCACTCAAAGTATTCACTTGGAACTTTTACAAAAAGAGTATTAGAAAACTGCTCTTTCCAAAGTAAGGTTCAACTCTGTGAGTTGAATGCACACATAACAATCAAGAAGTTTCTGAGAATTCTTCTGTCCTGGTTTATATGAAAAAATCCCGTTTCCAACGAAGGCCTCAAAGACGTTTAAATATCCACTTGCAGACTTCACAAACAGAGGGTTTCCAAACTGCTCTATGAAAAGAAAGGTTAAACTCTGTGAGTTGAACGCACACATCACAAAGTAGCTTCTGAGAATGATACTGTCTAGTTTTTATACGAAGTATATTTCCTTTCTACCATTGGCGTCAAAGCGCTAGAATTCTCCACTTGCAAATTCCACAAAAAGAGTGTTTCCAATCTGCTCTGTCTAAAGGAAGGTTCAACTCTGTGAGTTGAATACACACACACAAAGAAGCTACTGAGAATTCTTTTTTCAAGAAATTATAAGAAGAAATCCCGTTTCCAACGAAGGCCTCAAAGAGTTCCAAATATCCACTTGCACACTGCACAAACTAAGTCTTTCCAAACTGCTCTATGCAAAGAAATGTTCAACTCTGTGAGTTTAATACACACATCACAAAGCAGTTTCTGAGAATGATACTGTCTAGTTTTTATACGAAGATATTTCCTTTCTACCATTGGCGTCAAAGCGCTAGAATTCTCCACTTGCAAATTCCACAAAAAGAGTGTTTCCAATCTGCTCTGTCTAAAGGAAGGTTCAACTCTGTGAGTTGAATACACACACACAAAGAAGCTACTGAGAATTCTTTTGTCAAGAAATTATAAGAAGAAATCCCGTTTCCAACGAAGGCCTCAAAGAGTTCCAAATATCCACTTGCACACTGCACAAACTAAGTCTTTCCAAACTGCTCTATGCAAAGAAATGTTCAACTCTGTGAGTTTAATACACACATCACAAAGCAGTTTCTGAGAATGATACTGTCTAGTTTTTATACGAAGATATTTCCTTTTGTACCATTGGCCTCATACTGCTAGAATTTTCCACTTGCAAATTCCACAAAAAGAGTGTTTCCAATCCGCTCTGTCTAAAGGAAGGTTCAACTCTCTGATTTGAATACATACATCCCAAAAGAAGTTACTGAGAATTCTTCTGTCTAGCATTATGTGAAGAAATCCCGTTTCCAACGAAAGCCTCAAAGAGGTCCAAATATCCAGTTGCAGAATTTACAAACTGACTGTTTCCAAACTCATCTATGAAAAGAAAGGTTAAACTCTGTGAGTTGAATGCACATATCACAAAGTAGTTCCTGAGAATGATTCTGTCTAGTTTTTATACGAAGATATTTCCTTTTCCACCAATGGCCTCAAAGTGCTTGAAATCTCCCCTTGCAAATTCCACAGACAAGTGTTTCAAATCTGCACTGTCTAAAGGAAGGTTCAACCCTGTGAGTTGAATACACACACACAGAAAAAAATTCACTGAGAATTCTATTGTCTATCATTACACGAAGAAATCCCGTTTACTACGAAGGCCTCAAAGAGGTCCAAATATCCAGCTGCAGACATTACAAACTGAGTGTTTCCAAAGTGCTCTATGAAAAGAAGTGTTAAACACTGTGAGTTCAATGCACACATCCCAAAGCAGTTTCTGAGAATGATTCCGTCTATTTTTTCTACGAAGATATTTCCTTTTCTACCGTTGGCCTCAAAGCGCTTGAAATCTCCACTTGCAAATTCCACAAAAAGAGAGTTTCAAATCTGCTCTGTCTAAAGGAAGGTTCAACTCTGTGAGTTGAATACACACCACAAAAAGAAGTTACTGAGAATTCTTCTGTCTAGCATTATATGAAAAATCCCGTTTCCAACGACAGGCCACAAAGAGGTCCAAATATCCACTTGCAGATTCTGCAAAAAGAGTGTTTCCAAACTGCTCTATGAAAAGAAACGTTAAACTCTGTGAGTTGAACGCAAACATCACAAAGTAGTTTCTGAGAATGACTCCGTCTAGTTTTTATACGAAGATATTTCCTTTCCTACCATTCACTTCAAAGCGCTTGAAGTCTCCCCCTGAAAATTCCACAAAAAGTGTTTCCAATCTGCTCCGCCTAAAGGAAGCTTCAACTCTGTGACTTGAATACCCACAACCCAAAGAAGTTACTGAGAATTCTTCTGTCTAGCATTATATGAAGAAATCCCGTTTCCAACGAAGGCCTCAAATACATCCAAATACCCAGTTGCTGACTTTACAAACTGAGTGTTTCCAAACTGCTCTATGAAAAGAAAGGTTAAACACTGTGAGTTGAACACACACGTACCAAAGTAGTTTCTGAGAATGATTCTGTCTAGTTTGCATACGAAGATATTTCCTTTTCTACCATTGGCCTCAAAGCTCTGAAATCTCCACTTGCAAATTCCACAAAAAGAGAGTTTCAAATCTGCTGTTTCTAAAGGAAAGTTCAACTCTGAGAGTTGAATACACACCAGAAAAAGCAGTTACTGAGAAGTCTTCTGTCTAGCATTATATGAAGAAATCCCATTTCCAACCGAAGACTTCAAAGAGGTCCAAATATCCACTTGCAGATTCTGCAAAAAGAGTGTTTCGAAACAACTCTATGAAAAGAAAGGTTAAACACTGTGAGTTGAACGCACACATTGCAAAGCGGTTTCTGAGAATGATTCCGTCTAATTATTATACGAAGGTATTTCCTTTTCTATCATTGGCCTCAAAGCGCTTGATACCTCCACCTGAAAATTCCACAAAAAGAGTGTTTCCAATCTACTCTGTCTAAAGGAACGTTCAACTCTGTGAGTTGAATACACACACACAGAAAGAATTCACTGAGAATTCTTCTGTCTGGCATTACATGAAGAAATCCCGTTTCCAACGAAGGCCTCAAAGAGGTCCAAATATCCACTTGCAGATTCTGCAAAAAGAGTGTTTCAAAACCGCTCCATTAAAAGGAATGTTGAACTCTGTGAGTTGAATGGAAACATCACAACTCAGTTGCTGAGAATGCTTCTGACTAGATTTTATGGTAAGATATTTCCTTTTCTACCGTAGGCTTCAATGCCCTCTAAATACACCCTTGCAAATTCTACAAAGAGACTGTTTCATAACTGCTCTATAGGAAGAAAGGTTGAACTCTGTGAGTTGAATGCAGAGATCACAACGTGGTTTCTGCGAATGATTCTTTGTAGTTTTTACAGGAAGATATTTCGTTGTCAACCGTAGGCTTCAAAGCACTCAAAGTATTCACTTGGAACTTTTACAAAAAGAGTGTTAGAAAACTGCTCTTTCCAAAGTAAGGTTCAACTCTGTGAGTTGAATGCACACATAACAATCAAGAAGTTTCTGAGAATTCTTCTGTCCTGGTTTATATGAAAAAATCCCGTTTCCAACGAAGGCCTCAAAGACGTTTAAATATCCACTTGCAGACTTCACAAACAGAGGGTTTCCAAACTGCTCTATGAAAAGAAAGGTTAAACTCTGTGAGTTGAACGCACACATCACAAAGTAGCTTCTGAGAATGATACTGTCTAGTTTTTATACGAAGATATTTCCTTTCTACCATTGGCGTCAAAGCGCTAGAATTCTCCACTTGCAAATTCCACAAAAAGAGTGTTTCCAATCTGCTCTGTCTAAAGGAAGGTTCAACTCTGTGAGTTGAATACACACACACAAAGAAGCTACTGAGAATTCTTTTTTCAAGAAATTATAAGAAGAAATCCCGTTTCCAACGAAGGCCTCAAAGAGTTCCAAATATCCACTTGCACACTGCAAAAACTAAGTCTTTCCAAACTGCTCTATGCAAAGAAATGTTCAACTCTGTGAGTTTAATACACACATCACAAAGCAGTTTCTGAGAATGATACTGTCTAGTTTTTATACGAAGATATTTCCTTTTGTACCATTGGCCTCATACTGCTAGAATTTTCCACTTGCAAATTCCACAAAAAGAGTGTTTCCAATCCGCTCTGTCTAAAGGAAGGTTCAACTCTCTGATTTGAATACATACATCCCAAAAGAAGTTACTGAGAATTCTTCTGTCTAGCATTATGTGAAGAAATCCCGTTTCCAACGAAAGCCTCAAAGAGGTCCAAATATCCAGTTGCAGAATTTACAAACTGACTGTTTCCAAACTCATCTATGAAAAGAAAGGTTAAACTCTGGGAGTTGAATGCACATATCACAAAGTAGTTCCTGAGAATGATTCTGTCTAGTTTTCATACGAAGATATTTCCTTTTCCACCAATGGCCTCAAAGTGCTTGAAATCTCCCCTTGCAAATTCCACAGACAAGTGTTTCAAATCTGCACTGTCTAAAGGAAGGTTCAACCCTGTGAGTTGAATACACACACACAGAAAAAAATTCACTGAGAATTCTATTGTCTATCATTACACGAAGAAATCCCGTTTACTACGAAGGCCTCAAAGAGGTCCAAATATCCAGCTGCAGACATTTCAAACTGAGTGTTTCCAAAGTGCTCTATGAAAAGAAGTGTTAAACACTGTGAGTTCAATGCACACATCCCAAAGCAGTTTCTGAGAATGATTCCGTCTATTTTTTCTACGAAGATATTTCCTTTTCTGCCGTTGGCCTCAAAGCGCTTGAAATCTCCACTTGCAAATTCCACAAAAAGAGAGTTTCAAATCTGCTCTGTCTAAAGGAAGGTTCAACTCTGTGAGTTGAATACACACCACAAAAAGAAGTTACTGAGAATTCTTCTGTCTAGCATTATATGAAAAATCCCGTTTCCAACGAAGGCCACAAAGAGGTCCAAATATCCACTTGCAGATTCTGCAAAGAGTGTTTCCAAACTGCTCTATGAAAAGAAACGTTAAACTCTGTGAGTTGAACGCAAACATCGCAAAGTAGTTTCTGAGAATGACTCCGTCTAGTTTTTATACGAAGATATTTCCTTTTCTACCATTCACTTCAAAGCGCTTGAAGTCTCCCCCTGAAAATTCCACAAAAAGTGTTTCCAATCTGCTCCGCCTAAAGGAAGCTTCAACTCTGTGAGTTGAATACCCACAACCCAAAGAAGTTACTGAGAATTCTTCTGTCTAGCACTATATGAAGAAATCCCGTTTCCAACGAAGGCCTCAAATACATCCAAATATCCAGTTGCTGACTTTACAAACTGAGTGTTTCCAAACTGCTCTATGAAAAGAAAGGTTAAACACTGTGAGTTGAACACACACGTACCAAAGTAGTTTCTGAGAATGATTCTGTCTAGTTTGCATACGAAGATATTTCCTTTTCTACCATTGGCCTCAAAGCTCTGAAATCTCCACTTGCAAATTCCACAAAAAGAGAGTTTCAACTCTGCTGTTTCTAAAGGAAAGTTCAACTCTGAGAGTTGAATACACACCAGAAAAAGCAGTTACTGAGAAGTCTTCTGTCTAGCATTGTATGAAGAAATCCCATTTCCAACGAAGACTTCAAAGAGGTCCAAATATCCACTTGCAGATTCTGCAAAAAGAGTGTTTCGAAACAACTGTATGAAAAGAAAGGTTAAACACTGTGAGTTGAACGCACACATTGCAAAGCAGTTTCTGAGAATGATTCCGTCTAATTATTATACGAAGGTATTTCCTTTTCTATCATTGGCCTCAAAGCGCTTGATACCTCCACCTGAAAATTCCACAAAAAGAGTGTTTCCAATCTACTCTGTCTAAAGGAACGTTCAACTCTGTGAGTTGAATACACACACACAGAAAGAATTCACTGAGAATTCTTCTGTCTGGCATTACATGAAGAAATCCCGTTTCCAACGAAGGCCTCAAAGAGGTCCAAATATCCACTTGCAGATTCTGCAAAAAGAGTGTTTCAAAACCGCTCCATTAAAAGGAATGTTGAACTCTGTGAGTTGAATGCAAACATCACAACTCAGTTTCTGAGAATGCTTCTGACTAGATTTTATGGTAAGATATTTCCTTTTCTACCGTAGGCTTCAATGCCCTCTAAATACACCCTTGCAAATTCTACAAAGAGACTGTTTCATAACTGCTCTATAGGAAGAAAGGTTGAACTCTGTGAGTTGAATGCAGAGATCACAACGTGGTTTCTGCGAATGATTCTTTGTAGTTTTTACATGAAGATATTTCGTTGTCAACCGTAGGCTTCAAAGCACTCAAAGTATTCACTTGGAACT
The DNA here is from genome assembly GCF_000001405.40 of Homo sapiens. NCBI lineage: Eukaryota > Metazoa > Chordata > Mammalia > Primates > Hominidae > Homo > Homo sapiens. The sequence goes on along the minus strand of NC_000003.12, from coordinate 92,138,963 downwards.
TTTACAAAAAGAGTGTTAGAAAACTGCTCTTTCCAAAGTAAGGTTCAACTCTGTGAGTTGAATGCACACATAACAATCAAGAAGTTTCTGAGAATTCTTCTGTCCTGGTTTATATGAAAAAATCCCGTTTCCAACGAAGGCCTCAAAGACGTTTAAATATCCACTTGCAGACTTCACAAACAGAGTGTTTCCAAACTGCTCTATGAAAAGAAAGGTTAAACTCTGTGAGTTGAACGCACACATCACAAAGTAGCTTCTGAGAATGATACTGTCTAGTTTTTATACGAAGATATTTCCTTTCTACCATTGGTGTCAAAGCGCTAGAATTCTCCACTTGCAAATTCCACAAAAAGAGTGTTTCCAATCTGCTCTGTCTAAAGGAAGGTTCAACTCTGTGAGTTGAATACACACACACAAAGAAGCTACTGAGAATTCTTTTGTCAAGAATTATAAGAAGAAATCCCGTTTCCAACGAAGGCCTCAAAGAGTTCCAAATATCCACTTGCACACTGCACAAACTAAGTCTTTCCAAACTGCTCTATGCAAAGAAATGTTCAACTCTGTGAGTTTAATACACACATCACAAAGCAGTTTCTGAGAATGATACTGTCTAGTTTTTGTACGAAGATATTTCCTTTTGTACCATTGGCCTCATACTGCTAGAATTTTCCACTTGCAAATTCCACAAAAAGAGTGTTTCCAATCCGCTCTGTCTAAAGGAAGGTTCAACTCTCTGATTTGAATACATACATCCCAAAAGAATTTACTGAGAATTCTTCTGTCTAGCATTATGTGAAGAAATCCCGTTTCCAACGAAAGCCTCAAAGAGGTCCAAATATCCAGTTGCAGAATTTACAAACTGACTGTTTCCAAACTCATCTATGAAAAGAAAGGTTAAACTCTGTGAGTTGAATGCACATATCACAAAGTAGTTCCTGAGAATGATTCTGTCTAGTTTTTATACGAAGATATTTCCTTTTCCACCAATGGCCTCAAAGTGCTTGAAATCTCCCCTTGCAAATTCCACAGACAAGTGTTTCAAATCTGCACTGTCTAAAGGAAGGTTCAACCCTGTGAGTTGAATACACACACACAGAAAAAAATTCACTGAGAATTCTATTGTCTATCATTACACGAAGAAATCCCGTTTACTACGAAGGCCTCAAAGAGGTCCAAATATCCAGCTGCAGACATTACAAACTGAGTGTTTCCAAAGTGCTCTATGAAAAGAAGTGTTAAACACTGTGAGTTCAATGCACACATCCCAAAGCAGTTTCTGAGAATGATTCCGTCTATTTTTTCTACTAAGATATTTCCTTTTCTACCGTTGGCCTCAAAGCGCTTGAAATCTCCACTTGCAAATTCCACAAAAAGAGAGTTTCAAATCTGCTCTGTCTAAAGGAAGGTTCAACTCTGTGAGTTGAATACACACCACAAAAAGAAGTTACTGAGAATTCTTCTGTCTAGCATTATATGAAAAATCCCGTTTCCAACGAAGGCCACAAAGAGGTCCAAATATCCACTTGCAGATTCTGCAAAAAGAGTGTTTCCAAACTGCTCTATGAAAAGAAACGTTAAACTCTGTGAGTTGAACGCAAACATCACAAAGTAGTTTCTGAGAATGACTCCGTCTAGTTTTTATACGAAGATATTTCCTTTCCTACCATTCACTTCAAAGCGCTTGAAGTCTCCCCCTGAAAATTCCACAAAAAGTGTTTCCAATCTGCTCCGCCTAAAGGAAGCTTCAACTCTGTGACTTGAATACCCACAACCCAAAGAAGTTACTGAGAATTCTTCTGTCTAGCATTATATGAAGAAATCCCGTTTCCAACGAAGGCCTCAAATACATCCAAATATCCAGTTGCTGACTTTACAAACTGAGTGTTTCCAAACTGCTCTATGAAAAGAAAGGTTAAACACTGTGAGTTGAACACACACGTACCAAAGTAGTTTCTGAGAATGATTCTGTCTAGTTTGCATACGAAGATATTTCCTTTTCTACCATTGGCCTCAAAGCTCTGAAATCTCCACTTGCAAATTCCACAAAAAGAGAGTTTCAAATCTGCTGTTTCTAAAGGAAAGTTCAACTCTGAGAGTTGAATACACACCAGAAAAAGCAGTTACTGAGAAGTCTTCTGTCTAGCATTATATGAAGAAATCCCATTTCCAACGAAGACTTCAAAGAGGTCCAAATATCCACTTGCAGATTCTGCAAAAAGAGTGTTTCGAAACAACTGTATGAAAAGAAAGGTTAAACACTGTGAGTTGAACGCACACATTGCAAAGCAGTTTCTGAGAATGATTCCGTCTAATTATTATACGAAGGTATTTCCTTTTCTATCATTGGCCTCAAAGCGCTTGATACCTCCACCTGAAAATTCCACAAAAAGAGTGTTTCCAATCTACTCTGTCTAAAGGAACGTTCAACTCTGTGAGTTGAATACACACACACAGAAAGAATTCACTGAGAATTCTTCTGTCTGGCATTACATGAAGAAATCCCGTTTCCAACGAAGGCCTCAAAGAGGTCCAAATATCCACTTGCAGATTCTGCAAAAAGAGTGTTTCAAAACCGCTCCATTAAAAGGAATGTTGAACTCTGTGAGTTGAGTGCAAACATCACAACTCAGTTGCTGAGAATGCTTCTGACTAGATTTTATGGTAAGATATTTCCTTTTCTACCGTAGGCTTCAATGCCCTCTAAATACACCCTTGCAAATTCTACAAAGAGACTGTTTCATAACTGCTCTATAGGAAGAAAGGTTGAACTCTGTGAGTTGAATGCAGAGATCACAACGTGGTTTCTGCGAATGATTCTTTGTAGTTTTTACATGAAGATATTTCGTTGTCAACCGTAGGCTTCAAAGCACTCAAAGTATTCACTTGGAACTTTTACAAAAAGAGTGTTAGAAAACTGCTCTTTCCAAAGTAAGGTTCAACTCTGTGAGTTGAATGCACACATAACAATCAAGACGTTTCTGAGAATTCTTCTGTCCTGGTTTATATGAAAAAATCCCGTTTCCAACGAAGGCCTCAAAGACGTTTAAATATCCACTTGCAGACTTCACAAACAGAGGGTTTCCAAACTGCTCTATGAAAAGAAAGGTTAAACTCTGTGAGTTGAACGCACACATCACAAAGTAGCTTCTGAGAATGATACTGTCTAGTTTTTATACGAAGATATTTCCTTTCTACCATTGGCGTCAAAGCGCTAGAATTCTCCACTTGCAAATTCCACAAAAAGAGTGTTTCCAATCTGCTCTGTCTAAAGGAAGGTTCAACTCTGTGAGTTGAATACACACACACACAAAGAAGCTACTGAGAATTCTTTTGTCAAGAATTATAAGAAGAAATCCCGTTTCCAACGAAGGCCTCAAAGAGTTCCAAATATCCACTTGCACACTGCACAAACTAAGTCTTTCCAAACTGCTCTATGCAAAGAAATGTTCAACTCTGTGAGTTTAATACACACATCACAAAGCAGTTTCTGAGAATGATACTGTCTAGTTTTTATACGAAGATATTTCCTTTTGTACCATTGGCCTCATACTGCTAGAATTTTCCACTTGCAAATTCCACAAAAAGAGTGTTTCCAATCCGCTCTGTCTAAAGGAAGGTTCAACTCTCTGATTTGAATACATACATCCCAAAAGAAGTTCCTGAGAATTCTTCTGTCTAGCATTATGTGAAGAAATCCCGTTTCCAACGAAAGCCTCAAAGAGGTCCAAATATCCAGTTGCAGAATTTACAAACTGACTGTTTCCAAACTCATCTATGAAAAGAAAGGTTAAACTCTGGGAGTTGAATGCACATATCACAAAGTAGTTCCTGAGAATGATTCTGTCTAGTTTTCATACGAAGATATTTCCTTTTCCACCAATGGCCTCAAAGTGCTTGAAATCTCCCCTTGCAAATTCCACAGACAAGTGTCTCAAATCTGCACTGTCTAAAGGAAGGTTCAACCCTGTGAGTTGAATACACACACACAGAAAAAAATTCACTGAGAATTCTATTGTCTATCATTACACGAAGAAATCCCGTTTACTACGAAGGCCTCAAAGAGGTCCAAATATCCAGCTGCAGACATTACAACCTGAGTGTTTCCAAAGTGCTCTATGAAAAGAAGTGTTAAACACTGTGAGTTCAATGCACACATCCCAAAGCAGTTTCTGAGAATGATTCCGTCTATTTTTTCTACGAAGATATTTCCTTTTCTGCCGTTGGCCTCAAAGCGCTTGAAATCTCCACTTGCAAATTCCACAAAAAGAGAGTTTCAAATCTGCTCTGTCTAAAGGAAGGTTCAACTCTGTGAGTTGAATACACACCACAAAAAGAAGTTACTGAGAATTCTTCTGTCTAGCATTATATGAAAAATCCCGTTTCCAACGAAGGCCACAAAGAGGTCCAAATATCCACTTGCAGATTCTGCAAAAAGAGTGTTTCCAAACTGCTCTATGAAAAGAAACGTTAAACTCTGTCAGTTGAACGCAAACATCACAAAGTAGTTTCTGAGAATGACTCTGTCTAGTTTATATACGAAGATATTTCCTTTTCTACCATTCACTTCAAAGCGCTTGAAGTCTCCCCCTGAAAATTCCACAAAAAGTGTTTCCAATCTGCTCCGCCTAAAGGAAGCTTCAACTCTGTGAGTTGAATACCCACAACCCTAAGAAGTTACTGAGAATTCTTCTGTCTAGCATTATATGAAGAAATCCCGTTTCCAACGAAGGCCTCAAATACATCCAAATATCCAGTTGCTGACTTTACAAACTGAGTGTTTCCAAACTGCTCTATGAAAAGAAAGGTTAAACACTGTGAGTTGAACACACACGTACCAAAGTAGTTTCTGAGAATGATTCTGTCTAGTTTGCATACGAAGATATTTCCTTTTCTACCATTGGCCTCAAAGCTCTGAAATCTCCACTTGCAAATTCCACAAAAAGAGAGTTTCAAATCTGCTGTTTCTAAAGGAAAGTTCAACTCTGAGAGTTGAATACACACCAGAAAAAGCAGTTACTGAGAAGTCTTCTGTCTAGCATTATATGAAGAAATCCCATTTCCAACGAAGACTTCAAAGAGGTCCAAATATCCACTTGCAGATTCTGCAAAAAGAGTGTTTCGAAACAACTGTATGAAAAGAAAGGTTAAACACTGTGAGTTGAACGCACACATTGCAAAGCGGTTTCTGAGAATGATTCCGTCTAATTATTATACGAAGGTATTTCCTTTTCTATCATTGGCCTCAAAGCGCTTGATACCTCCACCTGAAAATTCCACAAAAAGAGTGTTTCCAATCTACTCTGTCTAAAGGAACGTTCAACTCTGTGAGTTGAATACACACACACAGAAAGAATTCACTGAGAATTCTTCTGTCTGGCATTACATGAAGAAATCCCGTTTCCAACGAAGGCCTCAAAGAGGTCCAAATATCCACTTGCAGATTCTGCAAAAAGAGTGTTTCAAAACCGCTCCATTAAAAGGAATGTTGAACTCTGTGAGTTGAATGCAAACATCACAACTCAGTTTCTGAGAATGCTTCTGACTAGATTTTATGGTCAGATATTTCCTTTTCTACCATAGGCTTCAATGCCATCAAAATACACCCTTGCAAATTCTACAAAGAGACTGCTTAATAACTGCTCTATAGGAAGAAAGGTTGAACTCTGTGAGTTGAATGCAGAGATCACAACGTGGTTTCTGCGAATGATTCTTTGTAGTTTTTACATGAAGATATTTCGTTGTCTACCGTAGGCTTCAAAGCACTCAAAGTATTCACTTGGAACTTTTACAAAAAGAGTGTTAGAAAACTGCTCTTTCCAAAGTAAGGTTCAACTCTGTGAGTTGAATGCACACATAACAAACAAGAAGTTTCTGAGAATTCTTCTGTCCTGGTTTATATGAAGAAATCCCGTTTCCAACGAAGGCCTCAAAGACGTTTAAATATCCACTTGCAGACTTCACAAACAGAGTGTTTCCAAACTGCTCTATGAAAAGAAAGGGTAAACACTGTGAGTTGAACGCACACATCACAAAGTAGTTTCTGAGAATGATACTGTCTAGTTTTTATACGAAGATATTTCCTTTTGTACCATTGGCCTCATACTGCTAGAATTTTCCACTTGCAAATTCCACAAAAAGAGTGTTTCCAATCCGCTCTGTCTAAAGGAAGGTTCAACTCTCTGATTTGAATACATACATCCCAAAAGAAGTTACTGAGAATTCTTCTGTCTAGCATTATGTGAAGAAATCCCGTTTCCAACGAAAGCCTCAAAGAGGCCCAAATATCCAGTTGCAGCATTTACAAACTGACTGTTTCCAAACTCATCTATGAAAAGAAAGGTTAAACTCTGTGAGTTGAATGCACATATCACAAAGTAGTTCCTGAGAATGATTCTGTCTAGTTTTTATACGAAGATATTTCCTTTTCCACCAATGGCCTCAAAGTGCTTGAAATCTCCCCTTGCAAATTCCACAGACAAGTGTCTCAAATCTGCACTGTCTAAAGGAAGGTTCAACTCTGTGAGTTGAATACACACACACAGAAAAAAATTCACTGAGAATTCTATTGTCTATCATTACACGAAGAAATCCCGTTTACTACGAAGGCCTCAAAGAGGTCCAAATATCCAGCTGCAGACATTACAAACTGAGTGTTTCCAAAGTGCTCTATGAAAAGAAGTGTTAAACACTGTGAGTTCAATGCACACATCCCAAAGCAGTTTCTGAGAATGATTCCGTCTATTTTTTCTACGAAGATATTTCCTTTTCTGCCGTTGGCCTCAAAGCGCTTGAAATCTCCACTTGCAAATTCCACAAAAAGAGAGTTTCAAATCTGCTCTGTCTAAAGGAAGGTTCAACTCTGTGAGTTGAATACACACCACAAAAAGAAGTTACTGAGAATTCTTCTGTCTAGCATTATATGAAAAATCCCGTTTCCAACGAAGGCCACAAAGAGGTCCAAATATCCACTTGCAGATTCTGCAAAAAGAGTGTTTCCAAACTGCTCTATGAAAAGAAACGTTAAACTCTGTGAGTTGAACGCAAACATCACAAAGTAGTTTCTGAGAATGACTCCGTCTAGTTTTTATACGAAGATATTTCCTTTCCTACCATTCACTTCAAAGCGCTTGAAGTCTCCCCCTGAAAATTCCACAAAAAGTGTTTCCAATCTGCTCCGCCTAAAGGAAGCTTCAACTCTGTGACTTGAATACCCACAACCCAAAGAAGTTACTGAGAATTCTTCTGTCTAGCATTATATGAAGAAATCCCGTTTCCAACGAAGGCCTCAAATACATCCAAATATCCAGTTGCTGACTTTACAAACTGAGTGTTTCCAAACTGCTCTATGAAAAGAAAGGTTAAACACTGTGAGTTGAACACACACGTACCAAAGTAGTTTCTGAGAACGATTCTGTCTAGTTTGCATACGAAGATATTTCCTTTTCTACCATTGGCCTCAAAGCTTTGAAATCTCCACTTGCAAATTCCACAAAAAGAGAGTTTCAAATCTGCTGTTTCTAAAGGAAAGTTCAACTCTGAGAGTTGAATACACACCAGAAAAAGCAGTTACTGAGAAGTCTTCTGTCTAGCATTATATGAAGAAATCCCATTTCCAACGAAGACTTCAAAGAGGTCCAAATATCCACTTGCAGATTCTGCAAAAAGAGTGTTTCGAAACAACTGTATGAAAAGAAAGGTTAAACACTGTGAGGTTGAACGCACACATTGCAAAGCAGTTTCTGAGAATGATTCCGTCTAATTATTATACGAAGGTATTTCCTTTTCTATCATGGGCCTCAAAGCGCTTGATACCTCCACCTGAAAATTCCACAAAAAGAGTGTTTCCAATCTACTCTGTCTAAAGGAACGTTCAACTCTGTGAGTTGAATACACACACACAGAAAGAATTCACTGAGAGTCTTCTGTCTGGCATTACATGAAGAAATCCCGTTTCCAACGAAGGCCTCAAAGAGGTCCAAATATCCACTTGCAGATTCTGCAAAAAGAGTGTTTCAAAACCGCTCCATTAAAAGGAATGTTGAACTCTGTGAGTTGAATGCAAACATCACAACTCAGTTTCTGAGAATCCTTCTGACTAGATTTTATGGTAAGATATTTCCTTTTCTACCGTAGGCTTCAATGCCCTCTAAATACACCCTTGCAAATTCTACAAAGAGACTGTTTCATAACTGCTCTATAGGAAGAAAGGTTCAACACTGTGAGTTGAATGCAGAGATCACAACGTGGTTTCTGCGAATGATTCTTTGTAGTTTTTACATGAAGATATTTCGTTGTCAACCGTAGGCTTCAAAGCACTCAAAGTATTCACTTGGAACTTTTACAAAAAGAGTGTTAGAAAACTGCTCTTTCCAAAGTAAGGTTCAACTCTGTGAGTTGAATGCACACATAACAATCAAGAAGTTTCTGAGAATTCTTCTGTCCTGGTTTATATGAAAAAATCCCGTTTCCAACAAAGGCCTCAAAGACGTTTAAATATCCACTTGCAGACTTCACAAACAGAGTGTTTCCAAACTGCTCTATGAAAAGAAAGGTTAAACTCTGTGAATTGAACGCACACATCACAAAGTAGTTTCTGAGAATGATACTGTCTAGTTTTTATACGAAGATATTTCCTTTCTACCATTGGCGTCAAAGTGCTAGAATTCTCCACTTGCAAATTCCACAAAAAGAGTGTATCCAATCTGCTCTGTCTAAAGGAAGGTTCAACTCTGTGAGTTGAATACACACACACAAAGAAGCTACTGAGAATTCTTTTGTCAAGAATTATAAGAAGAAATCCCGTTTCCAACGAAGGCCTCAAAGAGTTCCAAATATCCACTTGCACACTGCACAAACTAAGTCTTTCCAAACTGCTCTATGCAAAGAAATGTTCAACTCTGTGAGTTTAATACACACATCACAAAGCAGTTTCTGAGAATGATACTGTCTAGTTTTTATACGAAGATATTTCCTTTTGTACCATTGGCCTCATACTGCTAGAATTTTCCACTTGCAAATTCCACAAAAAGAGTGTTTCCAATCCGCTCTGTCTAAAGGAAGGTTCAACTCTCTGATTTGAATACATACATCCCAAAAGAAGTTACTGAGAATTCTTCTGTCTAGCATTATGTGAAGAAATCCCGTTTCCAACAAAAGCCTCAAAGAGGCCCAAATATCCAGTTGCAGCATTTACAAACTGACTGTTTCCAACTCATCTATGAAAAGAAATGTTAAACTCTGTGAGTTGAATGCGCATATCACAAAGTAGTTCCTGAGAATGATTCTGTCTAGTTTTTATACGAAGATATTTCCTTTTCCACCAATGGCCTCAAAGTGCTTGAAATCTCCCCTTGCAAATTCCACAGACAAGTGTCTCAAATCTGCACTGTCTAAAGGAAGGTTCAACCCTGTGAGTTGAATACACACACACAGAAAAAAATTCACTGAGAATTCTATTGTCTATCATTACACGAAGAAATCCCGTTTACTACGAAGGCCTCAAAGAGGTCCAAATATCCAGCTGCAGACATTACAAACTGAGTGTTTCCAAAGTGCTCTATGAAAAGAAGTGTTAAACACTGTGAGTTCAATGCACACATCCCAAAGCAGTTTCTGAGAATGATTCCGTCTATTTTTTCTACGAAGATATTTCCTTTTCTGCCGTTGGCCTCAAAGTGCTTGAAATCTCCACTTGCAAATTCCACAAAAAGAGAGTTTCAAATCTGCTCTGTCTAAAGGAAGGTTCAACTCTGTGAGTTGAATACACACCACAAAAAGAAGTTACTGAGAATTCTTCTGTCTAGCATTATATGAAAAATCCCGTTTCCAACGAAGGCCACAAAGAGGTCCAAATATCCACTTGCAGATTCTGCAAAAAGAGTGTTTCCAAACTGCTCTATGAAAAGAAACGTTAAACTCTGTGAGTTGAACGCAAACATCACAAAGTAGTTTCTGAGAATGACTCCGTCTAGTTTTTATACGAAGATATTTCCTTTCCTACCATTCACTTCAAAGCGCTTGAAGTCTCCCCCTGAAAATTCCACAAAAAGTGTTTCCAATCTGCTCCGCCTAAAGGAAGCTTCAACTCTGTGACTTGAATACCCACAACCCAAAGAAGTTACTGAGAATTCTTCTGTCTAGCATTATATGAAGAAATCCCGTTTCCAACGAAGGCCTCAAATACATCCAAATATCCAGTTGCTGACTTTACAAACTGAGTGTTTCCAAACTGCTCTATGAAAAGAAAGGTTAAACACTGTGAGTTGAACACACACGTACCAAAGTAGTTTCTGAGAATGATTCTGTCTAGTTTGCATACGAAGATATTTCCTTTTCTACCATTGGCCTCAAAGCTCTGAAATCTCCACTTGCAAATTCCACAAAAAGAGAGTTTCAAATCTGCTGTTTCTAAAGGAAAGTTCAACTCTGAGAGTTGAATACACACCAGAAAAAGCAGTTACTGAGAAGTCTTCTGTCTAGCATTATATGAAGAAATCCCATTTCCAACGAAGACTTCAAAGAGGTCCAAATATCCACTTGCAGATTCTGCAAAAAGAGTGTTTCGAAACAACTGTATGAAAAGAAAGGTTAAACACTGTGAGTTGAACGCACACATTGCAAAGCAGTTTCTGAGAATGATTCCGTCTAATTATTATACGAAGGGTATTTCCTTTTCTATCATTGGCCTCAAAGCGCTTGATACCTCCACCTGAAAATTCCACAAAAAGAGTGTTTCCAATCTACTCTGTCTAAAGGAACGTTCAACTCCGTGAGTTGAATACACACACACAGAAAGAATTCACTGAGAATTCTTCTGTCTGGCATTACATGAAGAAATCCCGTTTCCAACGAAGGCCTCAAAGAGGTCCAAATATCCACTTGCAGATTCTGCAAAAAGAGTGTTTCAAAACCGCTCCATTAAAAGGAATGTTGAACTCTGTGAGTTGAATGGAAACATCACAACTCAGTTGCTGAGAATGCTTCTGACTAGATTTTATGGTAAGATATTTCCTTTTCTACCGTAGGCTTCAATGCCCTCTAAATACACCCTTGCAAATTCTACAAAGAGACTGTTTCATAACTGCTCTATAGGAAGAAAGGTTGAACTCTGTGAGTTGAATGCAGAGATCACAACGTGGTTTCTGCGAATGATTCTTTGTAGTTTTTACAGGAAGATATTTCGTTGTCAACCGTAGGCTTCAAAGCACTCAAAGTATTCACTTGGAACTTTTACAAAAAGAGTGTTAGAAAACTGCTCTTTCCAAAGTAAGGTTCAACTCTGTGAGTTGAATGCACACATAACAATCAAGAAGTTTCTGAGAATTCTTCTGTCCTGGTTTATATGAAAAAATCCCGTTTCCAACGAAGGCCTCAAAGACGTTTAAATATCCACTTGCAGACTTCACAAACAGAGTGTTTCCAAACTGCTCTATGAAAAGAAAGGTTAAACTCTGTGAGTTGAACGCACACATCACAAAGTAGCTTCTGAGAATGATTACTGTCTAGTTTTTATACGAAGCATATTTCCTTTCTACCATTGGCGTCAAAGCGCTAGAATTCTCCACTTGCAAATTCCACAAAAAGAGTGTTTCCAATCTGCTCTGTCTAAAGGAAGGTTCAACTCTGTGAGTTGAATACACACACACAAAGAAGCTACTGAGAATTCTTTTGTCAAGAATTATAAGAAGAAATCCCGTTTCCAACGAAGGCCTCAAAGAGTTCCAAATATCCACTTGCACACTGCACAAACTAAGTCTTTCCAAACTGCTTTAAGCAAAGAAATGTTCAACTCTGTGAGTTTAATACACACATCACAAAGCAGTTTCTGAGAATGATACTGTCTAGTTTTTATACGAAGATATTTCCTTTTGTACCATTGGCCTCATACTGCTAGAATTTTCCACTTGCAAATTCCACAAAAAGAGTGTTTCCAATCCGCTCTGTCTAAAGGAAGGTTCAACTCTCTGATTTGAATACATACATCCCAAAAGAAGTTACTGAGAATTCTTCTGTCTAGCATTATGTGAAGAAATCCCGTTTCCAACGAAAGCCTCAAAGAGGTCCAAATATCCAGTTGCAGAATTTACAAACTGACTGTTTCCAAACTCATCTATGAAAAGAAAGGTTAAACTCTGTGAGTTGAATGCACATATCACAAAGTAGTTCCTGAGAATGATTCTGTCTAGTTTTCATACGAAGATATTTCCTTTTCCACCAATGGCCTCAAAGTGCTTGAAATCTCCCCTTGCAAATTCCACAGACAAGTGTTTCAAATCTGCACTGTCTAAAGGAAGGTTCAACCCTGTGAGTTGAATACACACACACAGAAAAAAATTCACTGAGAATTCTATTGTCTATCATTACACGAAGAAATCCCGTTTACTACGAAGGCCTCAAAGAGGTCCAAATATCCAGCTGCAGACATTACAAACTGAGTGTTTCCAAAGTGCTCTATGAAAAGAAGTGTTAAACACTGTGAGTTCAATGCACACATCCCAAAGCAGTTTCTGAGAATGATTCCGTCTATTTTCTCTACGAAGATATTTCCTTTTCTACCGTTGGCCTCAAAGCGCTTGAAATCTCCACTTGCAAATTCCACAAAAAGAGAGTTTCAAATCTGCTCTGTCTAAAGGAAGGTTCAACTCTGTGAGTTGAATACACACCACAAAAAGAAGTTACTGAGAATTCTTCTGTCTAGCATTATATGAAAAATCCCGTTTCCAACGAAGGCCACAAAGAGGTCCAAATATCCACTTGCAGATTCTGCAAAAAGAGTGTTTCCAAACTGCTCTATGAAAAGAAACGTTAAACTCTGTGAGTTGAACGCAAACATCACAAAGTAGTTTCTGAGAATGACTCCGTCTAGTTTTTATACGAAGATATTTCCTTTCCTACCATTCACTTCAAAGCGCTTGAAGTCTCCCCCTGAAAATTCCACAAAAAGTGTTTCCAATCTGCTCCGCCTAAAGGAAGCTTCAACTCTGTGACTTGAATACCCACAACCCAAAGAAGTTACTGAGAATTCTTCTGTCTAGCATTATATGAAGAAATCCCGTTTCCAACGAAGGCCTCAAATACATCCAAATATCCAGTTGCTGACTTTACAAACTGAGTGTTTCCAAACTGCTCTATGAAAAGAAAGGTTAAACACTGTGAGTTGAACACACACGTACCAAAGTAGTTTCTGAGAATGATTCTGTCTAGTTTGCATACGAAGATATTTCCTTTTCTACCATTGGCCTCAAAGCTCTGAAATCTCCACTTGCAAATTCCACAAAAAGAGAGTTTCAAATCTGCTGTTTCTAAAGGAAAGTTCAACTCTGAGAGTTGAATACACACCAGAAAAAGCAGTTACTGAGAAGTCTTCTGTCTAGCATTATATGAAGAAATCCCATTTCCAACGAAGACTTCAAAGAGGTCCAAATATCCACTTGCAGATTCTGCAAAAAGAGTGTTTCGAAACAACTGTATGAAAAGAAAGGTTAAACACTGTGAGTTGAACGCACACATTGCAAAGCGGTTTCTGAGAATGATTCCCGTCTAATTATTATACGAAGGTATTTCCTTTTCTATCATTGGCCTCAAAGCGCTTGATACCTCCACCTGAAAATTCCACAAAAAGAGTGTTTCCAATCTACTCTGTCTAAAGGAACGTTCAACTCTGTGAGTTGAATACACACACACAGAAAGAATTCACTGAGAATTCTTCTGTCTGGCATTACATGAAGAAATCCCGTTTCCAACGAAGGCCTCAAAGAGGTCCAAATATCCACTTGCAGATTCTGCAAAAAGAGTGTTTCAAAACCGCTCCATTAAAAGGAATGTTGAACTCTGTGAGTTGAATGGAAACATCACAACTCAGTTGCTGAGAATGCTTCTGACTAGATTTTATGGTAAGATATTTCCTTTTCTACCGTAGGCTTCAATGCCCTCTAAATACACCCTTGCAAATTCTACAAAGAGACTGTTTCATAACTGCTCTATAGGAAGAAAGGTTCAACTCTGTGAGTTGAATGCAGAGATCACAACGTGGTTTCTGCGAATGATTCTTTGTAGTTTTTACAGGAAGATATTTCGTTGTCAACCGTAGGCTTCAAAGCACTCAAAGTATTCACTTGGAACTTTTACAAAAAGAGTGTTAGAAAACTGCTCTTTCCAAAGTAAGGTTCAACTCTGTGAGTTGAATGCACACATAACAATCAAGAAGTTTCTGAGAATTCTTCTGTCCTGGTTTATATGAAAAAATCCCGTTTCCAACGAAGGCCTCAAAGACGTTTAAATATCCACTTGCAGACTTCACAAACAGAGTGTTTCCAAACTGCTCTATGAAAAGAAAGGTTAAACTCTGTGAGTTGAACGCACACATCACAAAGTAGCTTCTGAGAATGATACTGTCTAGTTTTTATACGAAGATATTTCCTTTCTACCATTGGCGTCAAAGCGCTAGAATTCTCCACTTGCAAATTCCACAAAAAGAGTGTTTCCAATCTGCTCTGTCTAAAGGAAGGTTCAACTCTGTGAGTTGAATACACACACACAAAGAAGCTACTGAGAATTCTTTTGTCAAGAATTATAAGAAGAAATCCCGTTTCCAACGAAGGCCTCAAAGAGTTCCAAATATCCACTTGCACACTGCACAAACTAAGTCTTTCCAAACTGCTCTATGCAAAGAAATGTTCAACTCTGTGAGTTTAATACACACATCACAAAGCAGTTTCTGAGAATGATACTGTCTAGTTTTTATACGAAGATATTTCCTTTTGTACCATTGGCCTCATACTGCTAGAATTTTCCACTTGCAAATTCCACAAAAAGAGTGTTTCCAATCCGCTCTGTCTAAAGGAAGGTTCAACTCTCTGATTTGAATACATACATCCCAAAAGAAGTTACTGAGAATTCTTCTGTCTAGCATTATGTGAAGAAATCCCGTTTCCAACGAAAGCCTCAAAGAGGTCCAAATATCCAGTTGCAGAATTTACAAACTGACTGTTTCCAAACTCATCTATGAAAAGAAAGGTTAAACTCTGGGAGTTGAATGCACATATCACAAAATAGTTCCTGAGAATGATTCTGTCTAGTTTTCATACGAAGATATTTCCTTTTCCACCAATGGCCTCAAAGTGCTTGAAATCTCCCCTTGCAAATTCCACAGACAAGTGTTTCAAATCTGCACTGTCTAAAGGAAGGTTCAACCCTGTGAGTTGAATACACACACACAGAAAAAAATTCACTGAGAATTCTATTGTCTATCATTACACGAAGAAATCCCGTTTACTACGAAGGCCTCAAAGAGGTCCAAATATCCAGCTGCAGACATTACAAACTGAGTGTTTCCAAAGTGCTCTATGAAAAGAAGTGTTAAACACTGTGAGTTCAATGCACACATCCCAAAGCAGTTTCTGAGAATGATTCCGTCTATTTTTTCTACGAAGATATTTCCTTTTCTGCCGTTGGCCTCAAAGCGCTTGAAATCTCCACTTGCAAATTCCACAAAAAGAGAGTTTCAAATCTGCTCTGTCTAAAGGAAGGTTCAACTCTGTGAGTTGAATACACACCACAAAAAGAAGTTACTGAGAATTCTTCTGTCTAGCATTATATGAAAAATCCCGTTTCCAACGAAGGCCACAAAGAGGTCCAAATATCCACTTGCAGATTCTGCAAAAAGAGTGTTTCCAAACTGCTCTATGAAAAGAAACGTTAAACTCTGTGAGTTGAACGCAAACATCACAAAGTAGTTTCTGAGAATGACTCCGTCTAGTTTTTATACGAAGATATTTCCTTTCCTACCATTCACTTCAAAGCGCTTGAAGTCTCCCCCTGAAAATTCCACAAAAAGTGTTTCCAATCTGCTCCGCCTAAAGGAAGCTTCAACTCTGTGACTTGAATACCCACAACCCAAAGAAGTTACTGAGAATTCTTCTGTCTAGCATTATATGAAGAAATCCCGTTTCCAACGAAGGCCTCAAATACATCCAAATACCCAGTTGCTGACTTTACAAACTGAGTGTTTCCAAACTGCTCTATGAAAAGAAAGGTTAAACACTGTGAGTTGAACACACACGTACCAAAGTAGTTTCTGAGAATGATTCTGTCTAGTTTGCATACGAAGATATTTCCTTTTCTACCAGTGGCCTCAAAGCTCTGAAATCTCCACTTGCAAATTCCACAAAAAGAGAGTTTCAAATCTGCTGTTTCTAAAGGAAAGTTCAACTCTGAGAGTTGAATACACACCAGAAAAAGCAGTTACTGAGAAGTCTTCTGTCTAGCATTATATGAAGAAATCCCATTTCCAACGAAGACTTCAAAGAGGTCCAAATATCCACTTGCAGATTCTGCAAAAAGAGTGTTTCGAAACAACTGTATGAAAAGAAAGGTTAAACACTGTGAGTTGAACGCACACATTGCAAAGCGGTTTCTGAGAATGATTCCGTCTAATTATTATACGAAGGTATTTCCTTTTCTATCATTGGCCTCAAAGCGCTTGATACCTCCACCTGAAAATTCCACAAAAAGAGTGTTTCCAATCTACTCTGTCTAAAGGAACGTTCAACTCTGTGAGTTGAATACACACACACAGAAAGAATTCACTGAGAATTCTTCTGTCTGGCATTACATGAAGAAATCCCGTTTCCAACGAAGGCCTCAAAGAGGTCCAAATATCCACTTGCAGATTCTGCAAAAAGAGTGTTTCAAAACCGCTCCATTAAAAGGAATGTTGAACTCTGTGAGTGGAATGGAAACATCACAACTCAGTTGCTGAGAATGCTTCTGACTAGATTTTATGGTAAGATATTTCCTTTTCTACCGTAGGCTTCAATGCCCTCTAAATACACCCTTGCAAATTCTACAAAGAGACTGTTTCATAACTGCTCTATAGGAAGAAAGGTTGAACTCTGTGAGTTGAATGCAGAGATCACAACGTGGTTTCTGCGAATGATTCTTTGTAGTTTTTACAGGAAGATATTTCGTTGTCAACCGTAGGCTTCAAAGCACTCAAAGTATTCACTTGGAACTTTTACAAAAAGAGTGTTAGAAAACTGCTCTTTCCAAAGTAAGGTTCAACTCTGAGTTGAATGCACACATAACAATCAAGAAGTTTCTGAGAATTCTTCTGTCC
Organism: Homo sapiens; assembly: GCF_000001405.40. NCBI lineage: Eukaryota > Metazoa > Chordata > Mammalia > Primates > Hominidae > Homo > Homo sapiens. The sequence continues at coordinate 92,121,847 of NC_000003.12, read as the reverse complement.
TGGTTTATATGAAAAAATCCCGTTTCCAACGAAGGCCTCAAAGACGTTTAAATATCCACTTGCAGACTTCACAAACAGAGGGTTTCCAAACCGCTCTATGAAAAGAAAGGTTAAACTCTGTGAGTTGAACGCACACATCACAAAGTAGCTTCTGAGAATGATACTGTCTAGTTTTTATACGAAGATATTTCCTTTCTACCATTGGCGTCAAAGCGCTAGAATTCTCCACTTGCAAATTCCACAAAAAGAGTGTTTCCAATCTGCTCTGTCTAAAGGAAGGTTCAACTCTGTGAGTTGAATACACACACACAAAGAAGCTACTGAGAATTCTTTTTTCAAGAAATTATAAGAAGAAATCCCGTTTCCAACGAAGGCCTCAAAGAGTTCCAAATATCCACTTGCACACTGCACAAACTAAGTCTTTCCAAACTGCTCTATGCAAAGAAATGTTCAACTCTGTGAGTTTAATACACACATCACAAAGCAGTTTCTGAGAATGATTACTGTCTAGTTTTTATACGAAAGATATTTCCTTTTGTACCATTGGCCTCATACTGCTAGAATTTTCCACTTGCAAATTCCACAAAAAGAGTGTTTCCAATCCGCTCTGTCTAAAGGAAGGTTCAACTCTCTGATTTGAATACATACATCCCAAAAGAAGTTCCTGAGAATTCTTCTGTCTAGCATTATGTGAAGAAATCCCGTTTCCAACGAAAGCCTCAAAGAGGTCCAAATATCCAGTTGCAGAATTTACAAACTGACTGTTTCCAAACTCATCTATGAAAAGAAAAGTTAAACTCTGTGAGTTGAATGCACATATCACAAAGTAGTTCCTGAGAATGATTCTGTCTAGTTTTTATACGAAGATATTTCCTTTTCCACCAATGGCCTCAAAGTGCTTGAAATCTCCCCTTGCAAATTCCACAGAAAAGTGTTTCAAATCTGCACTGTCTAAAGGAAGGTTCAACCCTGTGAGTTGAATACACACACACAGAAACAAATTCACTGAGAATTCTATTGTCTATCATTACACGAAGAAATCCCGTTTACTACGAAGGCCTCAAAGAGGTCCAAATATCCAGCTGCAGACATTACAAACTGAGTGTTTCCAAAGTGCTCTATGAAAAGAAGTGTTAAACACTGTGAGTTCAATGCACACATCCCAAAGCAGTTTCTGAGAATGATTCCGTCTATTTTTTCTACGAAGATATTTCCTTTTCTACCGTTGGCCTCAAAGCGCTTGAAATCTCCACTTGCAAATTCCACAAAAAGAGAGTTTCAAATCTGCTCTGTCTAAAGGAAGGTTCAACTCTGTGAGTTGAATACACACCACAAAAAGAAGTTACTGAGAATTCTTCTGTCTAGCATTATATGAAAAATCCCGTTTCCAACGAAGGCCACAAAGAGGTCCAAATATCCACTTGCAGATTCTGCAAAAAGAGTGTTTCCAAACTGCTCTATGAAAAGAAACGTTAAACTCTGTGAGTTGAACGCAAACATCACAAAGTAGTTTCTGAGAATGACTCCGTCTAGTTTTTATACGAAGATATTTCCTTTCCTACCATTCACTTCAAAGCGCTTGAAGTCTCCCCATGAAAATTCCACAAAAAGTGTTTCCAATCTGCTCCGCCTAAAGGAAGCTTCAACTCTGTGAGTTGAATACCCACAACCCAAAGAAGTTACTGAGAATTCTTCTGTCTAGCATTATATGAAGAAATCCCGTTTCCAACGAAGGCCTCAAATACATCCAAATATCCAGTTGCTGACTTTACAAACTGAGTGATTCCAAACTGCTCTATGAAAAGAAAGGTTAAACACTGTGAGTTGAACACACACGTACCAAAGTAGTTTCTGAGAATGATTCTGTCTAGTTTGCATACGAAGATATTTCCTTTTCTACCATTGGCCTCAAAGCTCTGAAATCTCCACTTGCAAATTCCACAAAAAGAGAGTTTCAAATCTGCTGTTTCTAAAGGAAAGTTCAACTCTGAGAGTTGAATACACACCAGAAAAAGCAGTTACTGAGAAGTCTTCTGTCTAGCATTATATGAAGAAATCCCATTTCCAACGAAGACTTCAAAGAGGTCCAAATATCCACTTGCAGATTCTGCAAAAAGAGTGTTTCGAAACAACTGTATGAAAAGAAAGGTTAAACACTGTGAGTTGAACGCACACATTGCAAAGCAGTTTCTGAGAATGATTCCGTCTAATTATTATACGAAGGTATTTCCTTTTCTATCATTGGCCTCAAAGCGCTTGATACCTCCACCTGAAAATTCCACAAAAAGAGTGTTTCCAATCTACTCTGTCTAAAGGAACGTTCAACTCTGTGAGTTGAATACACACACACAGTAAAGAATTCACTGAGAATTCTTCTGTCTAGCATTATGTGAAGAAATCCCGTTTCCAACGAAAGCCTCAAAGAGGTCCAAATATCCAGTTGCAGAATTTACAAACTGACTGTTTCCAAACTCATCTATGAAAAGAAAGGTTAAACTCTGTGAGTTGAATGCACATATCACAAAGTAGTTCCTGAGAATGATTCTGTATAGTTTTCATACGAAGATATTTCCTTTTCCACCAATGGCCTCAAAGTGCTTGAAATCTCCCCTTGCAAATTCCACAGACAAGTGTTTCAAATCTGCACTGTCTAAAGGATGGTTCAACCCTGTGAGTTGAATACACACACACAGAAAAAAATTCACTGAGAATTCTATTGTCTATCATTACACGAAGAAATCCCGTTTACTACGAAGGCCTCAAAGAGGTCCAAATATCCAGCTGCAGACATTTCAAACTGAGTGTTTCCAAAGTGCTCTATGAAAAGAAGTGTTAAACACTGTGAGTTCAATGCACACATCCCAAAGCAGTTTCTGAGAATGATTCCGTCTATTTTTTCTACGAAGATATTTCCTTTTCTGCCGTTGGCCTCAAAGCGCTTGAAATCTCCACTTGCAAATTCCACAAAAAGAGAGTTTCAAATCTGCTCTGTCTAAAGGAAGGTTCAACTCTGTGAGTTGAATACACACCACAAAAAGAAGTTACTGAGAATTCTTCTGTCTAGCATTATATGAAAAATCCCGTTTCCAACGAAGGCCACAAAGAGGTCCAAATATCCACTTGCAGATTCTGCAAAAAGAGTGTTTCCAAACTGCTCTATGAAAAGAAACGTTAAACTCTGTGAGTTGAACGCAAACATCACAAAGTAGTTTCTGAGAATGACTCCGTCTAGTTTTTATACGAAGATATTTCCTTTCCTACCATTCACTTCAAAGCGCTTGAAGTCTCCCCCTGAAAATTCCACAAAAAGTGTTTCCAATCTGCTCCGCCTAAAGGAAGCTTCAACTCTGTGACTTGAATACCCACAACCCAAAGAAGTTACTGAGAATTCTTCTGTCTAGCATTATATGAAGAAATCCCGTTTCCAACGAAGGCCTCAAATACATCCAAATATCCAGTTGCTGACTTTACAAACTGAGTGTTTCCAAACTGCTCTATGAAAAGAAAGGTTAAACACTGTGAGTTGAACACACACGTACCAAAGTAGTTTCTGAGAATGATTCTGTCTCGTTTGCATACGAAGATATTTCCTTTTCTACCATTGGCCTCAAAGCTCTGAAATCTCCACTTGCAAATTCCACAAAAAGAGAGTTTCAACTCTGCTGTTTCTAAAGGAAAGTTCAACTCTGAGAGTTGAATACACACCAGAAAAAGCAGTTACTGAGAAGTCTTCTGTCTAGCATTATATGAAGAAATCCCATTTCCAACGAAGACTTCAAAGAGGTCCAAATATCCACTTGCAGATTCTGCAAAAAGAGTGTTTCGAAACAACTGTATGAAAAGAAAGGTTAAACACTGTGAGTTGAACGCACACATTGCAAAGCAGTTTCTGAGAATGATTCCGTCTAATTATTATACGAAGGTATTTCCTTTTCTATCATTGGCCTCAAAGCGCTTGATACCTCCACCTGAAAATTCCACAAAAAGAGTGTTTCCAATCTACTCTGTCTAAAGGAACGTTCAACTCTGTGAGTTGAATACACACACACAGAAAGAATTCACTGAGAATTCTTCTGTCTGGCATTACATGAAGAAATCCCGTTTCCAACGAAGGCCTCAAAGAGGTCCAAATATCCACTTGCAGATTCTGCAAAAAGAGTGTTTCAAAACCGCTCCATTAAAAGGAATGTTGAACTCTGTGAGTTGAATGCAAACATCACAACTCAGTTTCTGAGAATGCTTCTGTCTAGTTTTTATGGTAAGATATTTCTTTTTCTACCGTAGGCTTCAACGCCCTCTAAATACACCCTTGCAAATTCTACAAAGAGAGTGTTTCATAACTGCTCTATAGAAATAAAGGTTGAACACTGTGAGTTGAATGCACAGATCACAACGTGGTTTCTGCGAATGATTCTTTGTAGTTTTTACATGAAGATATTTCGTTGTCAACCGTAGGCTTCAAAGCACTCAAAGTATTCACTTGGAACTTTTACAAAAAGAGTGTTAGAAAACTGCTCTTTCCAAAGTAAGGTTCAACTCTGTGAGTTGAATGCACACATAACAATCAAGAAGTTTCTGAGAATTCTTCTGTCCTGGTTTATATGAAAAAATCCCGTTTCCAACGAAGGCCTCAGAGACGTTTAAATATCCACTTGCAGACTTCACAAACAGAGTGTTTCCAAACTGCTCTATGAAAAGAAAGGTTAAACTCTGTGAGTTGAACGCACACATCACAAAGTTGTTTCTGAGAAAGATACTGTCTAGTTTTTATACGAAGATATTTCCTTTCTACCATTGGCGTCAAAGCGTTAGAATTCTCCACTTGCAAATTCCACAAAAAGAGTGTTTCCAATCTGCTCTGTCTAAAGGAAGGTTCAACTCTGTGAGTTGAATACACACACACAAAGAAGCTACTGAGAATTCTTTTGTCAAGAATTATAAGAAGAAATCCCGTTTCCAACGAAGGCCTCAAAGAGTTCCAAATATCCACTTGCACACTGCACAAACTAAGTCTTTCCAAACTGCTCTATGCAAAGAAATGTTCAACTCTGTGAGTTTAATACACACATCACAAAGCAGTTTCTGAGAATGATACTGTCTAGTTTTTATACGAAGATATTTCCTTTTGTACCATTGGCCTCATACTGCTAGAATTTTCCACTTGCAAATTCCACAAAAAGAGTGTTTCCAATCCGCTCTGTCTAAAGGAAGGTTCAACTCTCTGATTTGAATACATACATCCCAAAAGAAGTTACTGAGAATTCTTCTGTCTAGCATTATGTGAAGAAATCCCGTTTCCAACGAAAGCCTCAAAGAGGTCCAAATATCCAGTTGCAGAATTTACAAACTGACTGTTTCCAAACTCATCTATGAAAAGAAAGGTTAAACTCTGGGAGTTGAATGCACATATCACAAAGTAGTTCCTGAGAATGATTCTGTCTAGTTTTCATACGAAGATATTTCCTTTTCCACCAATGGCCTCAAAGTGCTTGAAATCTCCCCTTGCAAATTCCACAGACAAGTGTTTCAAATCTGCACTGTCTAAAGGGAAGGTTCAACCCTGTGAGTTGAATACACACACACAGAAAAAAATTCACTGAGAATTCTATTGTCTATCATTACACGAAGAAATCCCGTTTACTACGAAGGCCTCAAAGAGGTCCAAATATCCAGCTGCAGACATTACAAACTGAGTGTTTCCAAAGTGCTCTATGAAAAGAAGTGTTAAACACTGTGAGTTCAATGCACACATCCCAAAGCAGTTTCTGAGAATGATTCCGTCTATTTTTTCTACGAAGATATTTCCTTTTCTGCCGTTGGCCTCAAAGCGCTTGAAATCTCCACTTGCAAATTCCACAAAAAGAGAGTTTCAAATCTGCTCTGTCTAAAGGAAGGTTCAACTCTGTGAGTTGAATACACACCACAAAAAGAAGTTACTGAGAATTCTTCTGTCTAGCATTATATGAAAAATCCCGTTTCCAACGAAGGCCACAAAGAGGTCCAAATATCCACTTGCAGATTCTGCAAAAAGAGTGTTTCCAAACTGCTCTATGAAAAGAAACGTTAAACTCTGTGAGTTGAACGCAAACATCACAAAGTAGTTTCTGAGAATGACTCCGTCTAGTTTTTATACGAAGATATTTCCTTTTCTACCGTTGGCCTCAAAGCGCTTGAAGTCTCCCCCTGAAAATTCCACAAAAAGTGTTTCCAATCTGCTCCGCCTAAAGGAAGCTTCAACTCTGTGAGTTGAATACCCACAACACAAAGAAGTTACTGAGAATTCTTCTGTCTAGCATTATATGAAGAAATCCCGTTTCCAACGAAGGCCTCAAATACATCCAAATATCCAGTTGCTGACTTTACAAACTGAGTGTTTCCAAACTGCTCTATGAAAAGAAAAGTTAAACACTGTGAGTTGAACACACACGTACCAAAGTAGTTTCTGAGAATGATTCTGTCTAGTTTGCATACGAAGATATTTCCTTTTCTACCATTGGCCTCAAAGCTCTGAAATCTCCACTTGCAAATTCCACAAAAAGAGAGTTTCAAATCTGCTGTTTCTAAAGGAAAGTTCAACTCTGAGAGTTGAATACACACCAGAAAAAGCAGTTACTGAGAAGTCTTCTGTCTAGCATTATATGAAGAAATCCCATTTCCAACGAAGACTTCAAAGAGGTCCAAATATCCACTTGCAGATTCTGCAAAAAGAGTGTTTCGAAACAACTGTATGAAAAGAAAGGTTAAACACTGTGAGTTGAACGCACACATTGCAAAGCAGTTTCTGAGAATGATTCCGTCTAATTATTATACGAAGGTATTTCCTTTTCTATCATTGGCCTCAAAGCGCTTGATACCTCCACCTGAAAATTCCACAAAAAGAGTGTTTCCAATCTACTCTGTCTAAAGGAACGTTCAACTCTGTGAGTTGAATACACACACACAGAAAGAATTCACTGAGAATTCTTCTGTCTGGCATTACATGAAGAAATCCCGTTTCCAACGAAGGCCTCAAAGAGGTCCAAATATCCACTTGCAGATTCTGCAAAAAGAGTGTTTCAAAACCGCTCCATTAAAAGGAATGTTGAACTCTGTGAGTTGAATGCAAACATCACAACTCAGTTTCTGAGAATGCTTCTGACTAGATTTTATGGTAAGATATTTCCTTTTCTACCGTAGGCTTCAATGCCCTCTAAATACACCCTTGCAAATTCTACAAAGAGACTGTTTCATAACTGCTCTATAGGAAGAAAGGTTGAACTCTGTGAGTTGAATGCAGAGATCACAACGTGGTTTCTGCGAATGATTCTTTGTAGTTTTTACATGAAGATATTTCGTTGTCAACCGTAGGCTTCAAAGCACTCAAAGTATTCACTTGGAACTTTTACAAAAAGAGTGTTAGAAAACTGCTCTTTCCAAAGTAAGGTTCAACTCTGTGAGTTGAATGCACACATAACAATCAAGAAGTTTCTGAGAATTCTTCTGTCCTGGTTTATATGAAAAAATCCCGTTTCCAACGAAGGCCTCAAAGACGTTTAAATATCCACTTGCAGACTTCACAAACAGAGGGTTTCCAAACTGCTCTATGAAAAGAAAGGTTAAACTCTGTGAGTTGAACGCACACATCACAAAGTAGCTTCTGAGAATGATACTGTCTAGTTTTTATACGAAGATATTTCCTTTCTACCATTGGCGTCAAAGCGCTAGAATTCTCCACTTGCAAATTCCACAAAAAGAGTGTTTCCAATCTGCTCTGTCTAAAGGAAGGTTCAACTCTGTGAGTTGAATACACACACACACAAAGAAGCTACTGAGAATTCTTTTGTCAAGAATTATAAGAAGAAATCCCGTTTCCAACGAAGGCCTCAAAGAGTTCCAAATATCCACTTGCACACTGCACAAACTAAGTCTTTCCAAACTGCTCTATGCAAAGAAATGTTCAACTCTGTGAGTTTAATACACACATCACAAAGCAGTTTCTGAGAATGATACTGTCTAGTTTTTATACGAAGATATTTCCTTTTGTACCATTGGCCTCATACTGCTAGAATTTTCCACTTGCAAATTCCACAAAAAGAGTGTTTCCAATCCGCTCTGTCTAAAGGAAGGTTCAACTCTCTGATTTGAATACATACATCCCAAAAGAAGTTCCTGAGAATTCTTCTGTCTAGCATTATGTGAAGAAATCCCGTTTCCAACGAAAGCCTCAAAGAGGTCCAAATATCCAGTTGCAGAATTTACAAACTGACTGTTTCCAAACTCATCTATGAAAAGAAAGGTTAAACTCTGGGAGTTGAATGCACATATCACAAAGTAGTTCCTGAGAATGATTCTGTCTAGTTTTTATACGAAGATATTTCCTTTTCCACCAATGGCCTCAAAGTGCTTGAAATCTCCCCTTGCAAATTCCACAGACAAGTGTTTCAAATCTGCACTGTCTAAAGGAAGGTTCAACCCTGTGAGTTGAATACACACACACAGAAAAAAATTCACTGAGAATTCTATTGTCTATCATTACACGAAGAAATCCCGTTTACTACGAAGGCCTCAAAGAGGTCCAAATATCCAGCTGCAGACATTACAAACTGAGTGTTTCCAAAGTGCTCTATGAAAAGAAGTGTTAAACACTGTGAGTTCAATGCACACATCCCAAAGCAGTTTCTGAGAATGATTCCGTCTATTTTTTCTACGAAGATATTTCCTTTTCTGCCGTTGGCCTCAAAGCGCTTGAAATCTCCACTTGCAAATTCCACAAAAAGAGAGTTTCAAATCTGCTCTGTCTAAAGGAAGGTTCAACTCTGTGAGTTGAATACACACCACAAAAAGAAGTTACTGAGAATTCTTCTGTCTAGCATTATATGAAAAATCCCGTTTCCAACGAAGGCCACAAAGAGGTCCAAATATCCACTTGCAGATTCTGCAAAAAGAGTGTTTCCAAACTGCTCTATGAAAAGAAACGTTAAACTCTGTGAGTTGAACGCAAACATCACAAAGTAGTTTCTGAGAATGACTCCGTCTAGTTTTTATACGAAGATATTTCCTTTCCTACCATTCACTTCAAAGCGCTTGAAGTCTCCCCCTGAAAATTCCACAAAAAGTGTTTCCAATCTGCTCCGCCTAAAGGAAGCTTCAACTCTGTGACTTGAATACCCACAACCCAAAGAAGTTACTGAGAATTCTTCTGTCTAGCATTATATGAAGAAATCCCGTTTCCAACGAAGGCCTCAAATACATCCAAATATCCAGTTGCTGACTTTACAAACTGAGTGTTTCCAAACTGCTCTATGAAAAGAAAGGTTAAACACTGTGAGTTGAACACACACGTACCAAAGTAGTTTCTGAGAATGATTCTGTCTAGTTTGCATACGAAGATATTTCCTTTTCTACCATTGGCCTCAAAGCTCTGAAATCTCCACTTGCAAATTCCACAAAAAGAGAGTTTCAAATCTGCTGTTTCTAAAGGAAAGTTCAACTCTGAGAGTTGAATACACACCAGAAAAAGCAGTTACTGAGAAGTCTTCTGTCTAGCATTATATGAAGAAATCCCATTTCCAACGAAGACTTCAAACAGGTCCAAATATCCACTTGCAGATTCTGCAAAAAGAGTGTTTCGAAACAACTGTATGAAAAGAAAGGTTAAACACTGTGAGTTGAACGCACACATTGCAAAGCAGTTTCTGAGAATGATTCCGTCTAATTATTATACGAAGGTATTTCCTTTTCTATCATTGGCCTCAAAGCGCTTGATACCTCCACCTGAAAATTCCACAAAAAGAGTGTTTCCAATCTACTCTGTCTAAAGGAACGTTCAACTCTGTGAGTTGAATACACACACACAGAAAGAATTCACTGAGAATTCTTCTGTCTGGCATTACATGAAGAAATCCCGTTTCCAACGAAGACCTCAAAGAGGTCCAAATATCCACTTGCAGATTCTGCAAAAAGAGTGTTTCAAAACCGCTCCATTAAAAGGAATGTTGAACTCTGTGAGTTGAATGCAAACATCACAACTCAGTTTCTGAGAATGCTTCTGACTAGATTTTATGGTAAGATATTTCCTTTTCTACCGTAGGCTTCAATGCCCTCTAAATACACCCTTGCAAATTCTACAAAGAGACTGTTTCATAACTGCTCTATAGGAAGAAAGGTTGAACTCTGTGAGTTGAATGCAGAGATCACAACGTGGTTTCTGCGAATGATTCTTTGTAGTTTTTACATGAAGATATTTCGTTGTCAACCGTAGGCTTCAAAGCACTCAAAGTATTCACTTGGAACTTTTACAAAAAGAGTGTTAGAAAACTGCTCTTTCCAAAGTAAGGTTCAACTCTGTGAGTTGAATGCACACATAACAATCAAGAAGTTTCTGAGAATTCTTCTGTCCTGGTTTATATGAAAAAATCCCGTTTCCAACGAAGGCCTCAAAGACGTTTAAATATCCACTTGCAGACTTCACAAACAGAGGGTTTCCAAACTGCTCTATGAAAAGAAAGGTTAAACTCTGTGAGTTGAACGCACACTTCACAAAGTAGCTTCTGAGAATGATACTGTCTAGTTTGCATACGAAGATATTTCCTTTCTACCATTGGCGTCAAAGCGCTAGAATTCTCCACTTGCAAATTCCACAAAAAGAGTGTTTCCAATCTGCTCTGTCTAAAGGAAGGTTCAACTCTGTGAGTTGAATACACACACACAAAGAAGCTACTGAGAATTCTTTTGTCAAGAATTATAAGAAGAAATCCCGTTTCCAACGAAGGCCTCAAAGAGTTCCAAATATCCACTTGCACACTGCACAAACTAAGTCTTTCCAAACTGCTCTATGCAAAGAAATGTTCAACTCTGTGAGTTTAATACACACATCACAAAGCAGTTTCTGAGAATGATACTGTCTAGTTTTTATACGAAGATATTTCCTTTTGTACCATTGGCCTCATACTGCTAGAATTTTCCACTTGCAAATTCCACAAAAAGAGTGTTTCCAATCCGCTCTGTCTAAAGGAAGGTTCAACTCTCTGATTTGAATACATACATCCCAAAAGAAGTTACTGAGAATTCTTCTGTCTAGCATTATGTGAAGAAATCCCGTTTCCAACGAAAGCCTCAAAGAGGTCCAAATATCCAGTTGCAGAATTTACAAACTGACTGTTTCCAAACTCATCTATGAAAAGAAAGGTTAAACTCTGTGAGTTGAATGCACATATCACAAAGTAGTTCCTGAGAATGATTCTGTCTAGTTTTCATACGAAGATATTTCCTTTTCCACCAATGGCCTCAAAGTGCTTGAAATCTCCCCTTGCAAATTCCACAGACAAGTGTTTCAAATCTGCACTGTCTAAAGGAAGGTTCAACCCTGTGAGTTGAATACACACACACAGAAAAAAATTCACTGAGAATTCTATTGTCTATCATTACACGAAGAAATCCCGTTTACCACGAAGGCCTCAAAGAGGTCCAAATATCCAGCTGCAGACATTACAAACTGAGTGTTTCCAAAGTGCTCTATGAAAAGAAGTGTTAAACACTGTGAGTTCAATGCACACATCCCAAAGCAGTTTCTGAGAATGATTCCGTCTATTTTTTCTACGAAGATATTTCCTTTTCTGCCGTTGGCCTCAAAGCGCTTGAAATCTCCACTTGCAAATTCCACAAAAAGAGAGTTTCAAATCTGCTCTGTCTAAAGGAAGGTTCAACTCTGTGAGTTGAATACACACCACAAAAAGAAGTTACTGAGAATTCTTCTGTCTAGCATTATATGAAAAATCCCGTTTCCAACGAAGGCCACAAAGAGGTCCAAATATCCACTTGCAGATTCTGCAAAAAGAGTGTTTCCAAACTGCTCTATGAAAAGAAACGTTAAACTCTGTGAGTTGAACGCAAACATCACAAAGTAGTTTCTGAGAATGACTCCGTCTAGTTTTTATACGAAGATATTTCCTTTCCTACCATTCACTTCAAAGCGCTTGAAGTCTCCCCCTGAAAATTCCACAAAAAGTGTTTCCAATCTGCTCCGCCTAAAGGAAGCTTCAACTCTGTGACTTGAATACCCACAACCCAAAGAAGTTACTGAGAATTCTTCTGTCTAGCATTATATGAAGAAATCCCGTTTCCAACGAAGGCCTCAAATACATCCAAATATCCAGTTGCTGACTTTACAAACTGAGTGTTTCCAAACTGCTCTATGAAAAGAAAGGTTAAACACTGTGAGTTGAACACACACGTACCAAAGTAGTTTCTGAGAATGATTCTGTCTAGTTTGCATACGAAGATATTTCCTTTTCTACCATTGGCCTCAAAGCTCTGAAATCTCCACTTGCAAATTCCACAAAAAGAGAGTTTCAAATCTGCTGTTTCTAAAGGAAAGTTCAACTCTGAGAGTTGAATACACACCAGAAAAAGCAGTTACTGAGAAGTCTTCTGTCTAGCATTATATGAAGAAATCCCATTTCCAACGAAGACTTCAAAGAGGTCCAAATATCCACTTGCAGATTCTGCAAAAAGAGTGTTTCGAAACAACTGTATGAAAAGAAAGGTTAAACACTGTGAGTTGAACGCACACATTGCAAAGCAGTTTCTGAGAATGATTCCGTCTAATTATTATACGAAGGTATTTCCTTTTCTATCATTGGCCTCAAAGCGCTTGATACCTCCACCTGAAAATTCCACAAAAAGAGTGTTTCCAATCTACTCTGTCTAAAGGAACGTTCAACTCTGTGAGTTGAATACACACACACAGAAAGAATTCACTGAGAATTCTTCTGTCTGGCATTACATGAAGAAATCCCGTTTCCAACGAAGGCCTCAAAGAGGTCCAAATATCCACTTGCAGATTCTGCAAAAAGAGTGTTTCAAAACCGCTCCATTAAAAGGAATGTTGAACTCTGTGAGTTGAATGCAAACATCACAACTCAGTTGCTGAGAATGCTTCTGACTAGATTTTATGGTAAGATATTTCCTTTTCTACCGTAGGCTTCAATGCCCTCTAAATACACCCTTGCAAATTCTACAAAGAGACTGTTTCATAACTGCTCTACAGGAAGAAAGGTTCAACTCTGTGAGTTGAATGCAGAGATCACAACGTGGTTTCTGCGAATGATTCTTTGTAGTTTTTACATGAAGATATTTCGTTGTCAACCGTAGGCTTCAAAGCACTCAAAGTATTCACTTGGAACTTTTACAAAAAGAGTGTTAGAAAACTGCACTTTCCAAAGTAAGGTTCAACTCTGTGAGTTGAATGCACACATAACAATCAAGAAGTTTCTGAGAATTCTTCTGTCCTGGTTTATATGAAGAAATCCCGTTTCCAACGAAGGCCTCAAAGACGTTTAAATATCCACTTGCAGACTTCACAAACAGAGTGTTTCCAAACTGCTCTATGAAAAGAAAGGTTAAACTCTGTGAGTTGAACGCACACATCACAAAGTAGTTTCTGAGAATGATACTGTCTAGTTTTTATACGAAGATATTTCCTTTCTACCATTGGCGTCAAAGCGCTAGAATTCTCCACTTGCAAATTCCACAAAAAGAGTGTTTCCAATCTGCTCTGTCTAAAGGAAGGTTCAACTCTGTGAGTTGAATACACACACACAAAGAAGCTACTGAGAATTCTTTTGTCAAGAATTATAAGAAGAAATCCCGTTTCCAACGAAGGCCTCAAAGAGTTCCAAATATCCACTTGCACACTGCACAAACTCTTTCCACACTGCTCTATGCAAAGAAATGTTCAACTCTGTGAGTTTAATACACACATCACAAAGCAGTTTCTGAGAATGATACTGTCTAGTTTTTATACGAAGATATTTCCTTTTGTACCATTGGCCTCATACTGCTAGAATTTTCCACTTGCAAATTCCACAAAAAGAGTGTTTCCAATCCGCTCTGTCTAAAGGAAGGTTCAACTCTCTGATTTGAATACATACATCCCAAAAGAAGTTACTGAGAATTCTTCTGTCTAGCATTATGTGAAGAAATCCCGTTTCCAACGAAAGCCTCAAAGAGGCCCAAATATCCAGTTGCAGCATTTACAAACTGACTGTTTCCAAACTCATCTATGAAAAGAAAGGTTAAACTCTGTGAGTTGAATGCACATATCACAAAGTAGTTCCTGAGAATGATTCTGTCTAGTTTTTATACGAAGATATTTCCTTTTCCACCAATGGCCTCAAAGTGCTTGAAATCTCCCCTTGCAAATTCCACAGACAAGTGTCTCAAATCTGCACTGTCTAAAGGAAGGTTCAACCCTGTGAGTTGAATACACACACACAGAAAAAAATTCACTGAGAATTCTATTGTCTATCATTACACGAAGAAATCCCGTTTACTAAGAAGGCCTCAAAGAGGTCCAAATATCCAGCTGCAGACATTACAAACTGAGTGTTTCCAAAGTGCTCTATGAAAAGAAGTGTTAAACACTGTGAGTTCAATGCACACATCCCAAAGCAGTTTCTGAGAATGATTCCGTCTATTTTTTCTACGAAGATATTTCCTTTTCTACCGTTGGCCTCAAAGCGCTTGAAATCTCCACTTGCAAATTCCACAAAAAGAGAGTTTCAAATCTGCTCTGTCTAAAGGAATGTTCAACTCTGTGAGTTGAATACACACCACAAAAAGAAGTTACTGAGAATTCTTCTGTCTAGCATTATATGAAAAATCCCGTTTCCAACGAAGGCCACAAAGAGGTCCAAATATCCACTTGCAGATTCTGCAAAAAGAGTGTTTCCAAACTGCTCTATGAAAAGAAACGTTAAACTCTGTGAGTTGAACGCAAACATCACAAAGTAGTTTCTGAGAATGACTCCGTCTAGTTTTTATACGAAGATATTTCCTTTTCTACCATTCACTTCAAAGCGCTTGAAGTCTCCCCCTGAAAATTCCACAAAAAGTGTTTCCAATCTGCTCCGCCTAAAGGAAGCTTCAACTCTGTGAGTTGAATACCCACAACCCAAAGAAGTTACTGAGAATTCTTCTGTCTAGCACTATATGAAGAAATCCCGTTTCCAACGAAGGCCTCAAATACATCCAAATATCCAGTTGCTGACTTTACAAACTGAGTGTTTCCAAACTGCTCTATGAAAAGAAAGGTTAAACACTGTGAGTTGAACACACACGTACCAAAGTAGTTTCTGAGAATGATTCTGTCTAGTTTGCATACGAAGATATTTCCTTTTCTACCATTGGCCTCAAAGCTTTGAAATCTCCACTTGCAAATTCCACAAAAAGAGAGTTTCAACTCTGCTGTTTCTAAAGGAAAGTTCAACTCTGAGAGTTGAATACACACCAGAAAAAGCAGTTACTGAGAAGTCTTCTGTCTAGCATTATATGAAGAAATCCCATTTCCAACGAAGACTTCAAAGAGGTCCAAATATCCACTTGCAGATTCTGCAAAAAGAGTGTTTCGAAACAACTGTATGAAAAGAAAGGTTAAACACTGTGAGTTGAACGCACACATTGCAAAGCAGTTTCTGAGAATGATTCCGTCTAATTATTATACGAAGGTATTTCCTTTTCTATCATTGGCCTCAAAGCGCTTGATACCTCCACCTGAAAATTCCACAAAAAGAGTGTTTCCAATCTACTCTGTCTAAAGGAACGTTCAACTCTGTGAGTTGAATACACACACACAGAAAGAATTCACTGAGAATTCTTCTGTCTGGCATTACATGAAGAAATCCCGTTTCCAACGAAGGCCTCAAAGAGGTCCAAATATCCACTTGCAGATTCTGCAAAAAGAGTGTTTCAAAACCGCTCCATTAAAAGGAATGTTGAACTCTGTGAGTTGAATGCAAACATCACAACTCAGTTGCTGAGAATGCTTCTGACTAGATTTTATGGTAAGATATTTCCTTTTCTACCGTAGGCTTCAATGCCCTCTAAATACACCCTTGCAAATTCTACAAAGAGACTGTTTCATAACTGCTCTATAGGAAGAAAGGTTGAACTCTGTGAGTTGAATGCAGGGATCACAACGTGGTTTCTGCGAATGATTCTTTGTAGTTTTTACATGAAGATATTTCGTTGTCAACCGTAGGCTTCAAAGCACTCAAAGTATTCACTTGGAACTTTTACAAAAAGAGTGTTAGAAAACTGCTCTTTCCAAAGTAAGGTTCAACTCTGTGAGTTGAATGCACACATAACAATCAAGAAGTTTCTGAGAATTCTTCTGTCCTGGTTTATATGAAAAAATCCCGTTTCCAACGAAGGCCTCAAAGACGTTTAAATATCCACTTGCAGACTTCACAAACAGAGGGTTTCCAAACTGCTCTATGAAAAGAAAGGTTAAACTCTGTGAGTTGAACGCACACATCACAAAGTAGCTTCTGAGAATGATACTGTCTAGTTTTTATACGAAGATATTTCCTTTCTACCATTGGCGTCAAAGCGCTAGAATTCTCCACTTGCAAATTCCACAAAAAGAGTGTTTCCAATCTGCTCTGTCTAAAGGAAGGTTCAACTCTGTGAGTTGAATACACACACACAAAGAAGCTACTGAGAATTCTTTTGTCAAGAATTATAAGAAGAAATCCCGTTTCCAACGAAGGCCTCAAAGAGTTCCAAATATCCACTTGCACACTGCACAAACTAAGTCTTTCCAAACTGCTCTATGCAAAGAAATGTTCAACTCTGTGAGTTTAATACACACATCACAAAGCAGTTTCTGAGAATGATACTGTCTAGTTTTTATACGAAGATATTTCCTTTTGTACCATTGGCCTCATACTGCTAGAATTTTCCACTTGCAAATTCCACAAAAAGAGTGTTTCCAATCCGCTCTGTCTAAAGGAAGGTTCAACTCTCTGATTTGAATACATACATCCCAAAAGAAGTTCCTCAGAATTCTTCTGTCTAGCATTATGTGAAGAAATCCCGTTTCCAACGAAAGCCTCAAAGAGGTCCAAATATCCAGTTGCAGAATTTACAAACTGACTGTTTCCAAACTCATCTATGAAAAGAAAGGTTAAACTCTGGGAGTTGAATGCACATATCACAAAGTAGTTCCTGAGAATGATTCTGTCTAGTTTTCATACGAAGATATTTCCTTTTCCACCAATGGCCTCAAAGTGCTTGAAATCTCCCCTTGCAAATTCCACAGACAAGTGTCTCAAATCTGCACTGTCTAAAGGAAGGTTCAACCCTGTGAGTTGAATACACACACACAGAAAAAAATTCACTGAGAATTCTATTGTCTATCATTACACGAAGAAATCCCGTTTACTACGAAGGCCTCAAAGAGGTCCAAATATCCAGCTGCAGACATTGCAAACTGAGTGTTTCCAAAGTGCTCTATGAAAAGAAGTGTTAAACACTGTGAGTTCAATGCACACATCCCAAAGCAGTTTCTGAGAATGATTCCGTCTATTTTTTCTACGAAGATATTTCCTTTTCTGCCGTTGGCCTCAAAGCGCTTGAAATCTCCACTTGCAAATTCCACAAAAAGAGAGTTTCAAATCTGCTCTGTCTAAAGGAAGGTTCAACTCTGTGAGTTGAATACACACCACAAAAAGAAGTTACTGAGAATTCTTCTGTCTAGCATTATATGAAAAATCCCGTTTCCAACGAAGGCCACAAAGAGGTCCAAATATCCACTTGCAGATTCTGCAAAAAGAGTGTTTCCAAACTGCTCTATGAAAAGAAACGTTAAACTCTGTGAGTTGAACGCAAACATCACAAAGTAGTTTCTGAGAATGACTCCGTCTAGTTTTTATACGAAGATATTTCCTTTCCTACCATTCACTTCAAAGCGCTTGAAGTCTCCCCCTGAAAATTCCACAAAAAGTGTTTCCAATCTGCTCCGCCTAAAGGAAGCTTCAACTCTGTGAGTTGAATACCCACAACCCAAAGAAGTTACTGAGAATTCTTCTGTCTAGCATTATATGAAGAAATCCCGTTTCCAACGAAGGCCTCAAATACATCCAAATATCCAGTTGCTGACTTTACAAACTGAGTGTTTCCAAACTGCTCTATGAAAAGAAAGGTTAAACACTGTGAGTTGAACACACACGTACCAAAGTAGTTTCTCAGAATGATTCTGTCTAGTTTGCATACGAAGATATTTCCTTTTCTACCATTGGCCTCAAAGCTCTGAAATCTCCACTTGCAAATTCCACAAAAAGAGAGTTTCAAATCTGCTGTTTCTAAAGGAAAGTTCAACTCTGAGAGTTGAATACACACCAGAAAAAGCAGTTACTGAGAAGTCTTCTGTCTAGCATTATATGAAGAAATCCCATTTCCAACGAAGACTTCAAAGAGGTCCAAATATCCACTTGCAGATTCTGCAAAAAGAGTGTTTCGAAACAACGGTATGAAAAGAAAGGTTAAACACTGTGAGTTGAACGCACACATTGCAAAGCAGTTTCTGAGAATGATTCCGTCTAATTATTATACGAAGGTATTTCCTTTTCTATCATTGGCCTCAAAGCGCTTGATACCTCCACCTGAAAATTCCACAAAAAGAGTGTTTCCAATCTACTCTGTCTAAAGGAACGTTCAACTCTGTGAGTTGAATACACACACACAGAAAGAATTCACTGAGAATTCTTCTGTCTGGCATTACATGAAGAAATCCCGTTTCCAACGAAGGCCTCAAAGAGGTCCAAATATCCACTTGCAGATTCTGCAAAAAGAGTGTTTCAAAACCGCTCCATTAAAAGGAATGTTGAACTCTGTGAGTTGAATGCAAACATCACAACTCAGTTTCTGAGAATGCTTCTGACTAGATTTTATGGTAAGATATTTCCTTTTCTACCGTAGGCTTCAATGCCCTCTAAATACACCCTTGCAAATTCTACAAAGAGACTGTTTCATAACTGCTCTATAGGAAGAAAGGTTCAACACTGTGAGTTGAATGCAGAGATCACAACGTGGTTTCTGCGAATGATTCTTTGTAGTTTTTACATGAAGATATTTCGTTGTCAACCGTAGGCTTCAAAGCACTCAAAGTATTCACTTGGAACTTTTACAAAAAGAGTGTTAGAAAACTGCTCTTTCCAAAGTAAGGTTCAACTCTGTGAGTTGAATGCACACATAACAATCAAGAAGTTTCTGAGAATTCTTCTGTCCTGGTTTATATGAAAAAATCCCGTTTCCAACGAAGGCCTCAAAGACGTTTAAATATCCACTTGCAGACTTCACAAACAGAGGGTTTCCAAACTGCTCTATGAAAAGAAAGGTTAAACTACTGTGAGTTGAACGCACACATCACAAAGTAGCTTCTGAGAATGATACTGTCTAGTTTTTATACGAAGATATTTCCTTTCTACCATTGGCGTCAAAGCGCTAGAATTCTCCACTTGCAAATTCCACAAAAAGAGTGTTTCCAATCCGCTCTGTCTAAAGGAAAGTTCAACTCTCTGATTTGAATACATACATCCCAAAAGAAGTTACTGAGAATTCTTCTGTCTAGCATTATGTGAAGAAATCCCGTTTCCAACGAAAGCCTCAAAGAGGTCCAAATATCCAGTTGCAGAATTTACAAACTGACTGTTTCCAAACTCATCTATGAAAAGAAAGGTTAAACTCTGTGAGTTGAATGCACATATCACAAAGTAGTTCCTGAGAATGATTCTGTCTAGTTTTTATACGAAGATATTTCCTTTTCCACCAATGGCCTCAAAGTGCTTGAAATCTCCCCTTGCAAATTCCACAGACAAGTGTTTCAAATCTGCACTGTCTAAAGGAAGGTTCAACCCTGTGAGTTGAATACACACACACAGAAAAAAATTCACTGAGAATTCTATTGTCTATCATTACACGAAGAAATCCCGTTTACTACGAAGGCCTCAAAGAGGTCCAAATATCCAGCTGCAGACATTACAAACTGAGTGTTTCCAAAGTGCTCTATGAAAAGAAGTGTTAAACACTGTGAGTTCAATGCACACATCCCAAAGCAGTTTCTGAGAATGATTCCGTCTATTTTTTCTACGAAGATATTTCCTTTTATGCCGTTGGCCTCAAAGCGCTTGAAATCTCCACTTGCAAATTCCACAAAAAGAGAGTTTCAAATCTGCTCTGTCTAAAGGAAGGTTCAACTCTGTGAGTTGAATACACACCACAAAAAGAAGTTACTGAGAATTCTTCTGTCTAGCATTATATGAAAAATCCCGTTTCCAACGAAGGCCACAAAGAGGTCCAAATATCCACTTGCAGATTCTGCAAAAAGAGTGTTTCCAAACTGCTCTATGAAAAGAAACGTTAAACTCTGTGAGTTGAACGCAAACATCACAAAGTAGTTTCTGAGAATGACTCCGTCTAGTTTTTATACGAAGATATTTCCTTTCCTACCATTCACTTCAAAGCGCTTGAAGTCTCCCCCTGAAAATTCCACAAAAAGTGTTTCCAATCTGCTCCGCCTAAAGGAAGCTTCAACTCTGTGACTTGAATACCCACAACCCAAAGAAGTTACTGAGAATTCTTCTGTCTAGCATTATATGAAGAAATCCCGTTTCCAACGAAGGCCTCAAATACATCCAAATATCCAGTTGCTGACTTTACAAACTGAGTGTTTCCAAACTGCTCTATGAAAAGAAAGGTTAAACACTGTGAGTTGAACACACACGTACCAAAGTAGTTTCTGAGAATGATTCTGTCTAGTTTGCATACGAAGATATTTCCTTTTCTACCATTGGCCTCAAAGCTCTGAAATCTCCACTTGCAAATTCCACAAAAAGAGAGTTTCAAATCTGCTGTTTCTAAAGGAAAGTTCAACTCTGAGAGTTGAATACACACCAGAAAAAGCAGTTACTGAGAAGTCTTCTGTCTAGCATTATATGAAGAAATCCCATTTCCAACGAAGACTTCAAAGAGGTCCAAATATCCACTTGCAGATTCTGCAAAAAGAGTGTTTCGAAACAACTGTATGAAAAGAAAGGTTAAACACTGTGAGTTGAACGCACACATTGCAAAGCAGTTTCTGAGAATGATTCCGTCTAATTATTATACGAAGGTATTTCCTTTTCTATCATTGGCCTCAAAGCGCTTGATACCTCCACCTGAAAATTCCACAAAAAGAGTGTTTCCAATCTACTCTGTCTAAAGGAACGTTCAACTCTGTGAGTTGAATACACACACACAGAAAGAATTCACTGAGAATTCTTCTGTCTGGCATTACATGAAGAAATCCCGTTTCCAACGAAGGCCTCAAAGCAGGTCCAAATATCCACTTGCAGATTCTGCAAAAAGAGTGTTTCAAAACCGCTCCATTAAAAGGAATGTTGAACTCTGTGAGTTGAATGGAAACATCACAACTCAGTTGCTGAGAATGCTTCTGACTAGATTTTATGGTAAGATATTTCCTTTTCTACCGTAGGCTTCAATGCCCTCTAAATACACCCTTGCAAATTCTACAAAGAGACTGTTTCATAACTGCTCTATAGGAAGAAAGGTTGAACTCTGTGAGTTGAATGCAGAGATCACAACGTGGTTTCTGCGAATGATTCTTTGTAGTTTTTACATGAAGATATTTCGTTGTCAACCGTAGGCTTCAAAGCACTCAAAGTATTCACTTGGAACTTTTACAAAAAGAGTGTTAGAAAACTGCTCTTTCCAAAGTAAGGTTCAACTCTGTGAGTTGAATGCACACATAACAATCAAGAAGTTTCTGAGAATTCTTCTGTCCTGGTTTATATGAAAAAATCCCGTTTCCAACGAAGGCCTCAAAGACGTTTAAATATCCACTTGCAGACTTCACAAACAGAGGGTTTCCAAACCGCTCTATGAAAAGAAAGGTTAAACTCTGTGAGTTGAACGCACACATCACAAAGTAGCTTCTGAGAATGATACTGTCTAGTTTTTATACGAAGATATTTCCTTTCTACCATTGGCGTCAAAGCGCTAGAATTCTCCACTTGCAAATTCCACAAAAAGAGTGTTTCCAATCTGCTCTGTCTAAAGGAAGGTTCAACTCTGTGAGTTGAATACACACACACAAAGAAGCTACTGAGAATTCTTTTTTCAAGAAATTATAAGAAGAAATCCCGTTTCCAACGAAGGCCTCAAAGAGTTCCAAATATCCACTTGCACACTGCACAAACTAAGTCTTTCCAAACTGCTCTATGCAAAGAAATGTTCAACTCTGTGAGTTTAATACACACATCACAAAGCAGTTTCTGAGAATGATACTGTCTAGTTTTTATACGAAGATATTTCCTTTTGTACCATTGGCCTCATACTGCTAGAATTTTCCACTTGCAAATTCCACAAAAAGAGTGTTTCCAATCCGCTCTGTCTAAAGGAAGGTTCAACTCTCTGATTTGAATACATACATCCCAAAAGAAGTTACTGAGAATTCTTCTGTCTAGCATTATGTGAAGAAATCCCGTTTCCAACGAAAGCCTCAAAGAGGTCCAAATATCCAGTTGCAGAATTTACAAACTGACTGTTTCCAAACTCATCTATGAAAAGAAAGGTTAAACTCTGGGAGTTGAATGCACATATCACAAAGTAGTTCCTGAGAATGATTCTGTCTAGTTTTTATACGAAGATATTTCCTTTTCCACCAATGGCCTCAAAGTGCTTGAAATCTCCCCTTGCAAATTCCACAGACAAGTGTTTCAAATCTGCACTGTCTAAAGGAAGGTTCAACCCTGTGAGTTGAATACACACACACAGAAAAAAATTCACTGAGAATTCTATTGTCTATCATTACACGAAGAAATCCCGTTTACTACGAAGGCCTCAAAGAGGTCCAAATATCCAGCTGCAGACATTACAAACTGAGTGTTTCCAAAGTGCTCTATGAAAAGAAGTGTTAAACACTGTGAGTTCAATGCACACATCCCAAAGCAGTTTCTGAGAATGATTCCGTCTATTTTTTCTACGAAGATATTTCCTTTTCTACCGTTGGCCTCAAAGCGCTTGAAATCTCCACTTGCAAATTCCACAAAAAGAGAGTTTCAAATCTGCTCTGTCTAAAGGAAGGTTCAACTCTGTGAGTTGAATACACACCACAAAAAGAAGTTACTGAGAATTCTTCTGTCTAGCATTATATGAAAAATCCCGTTTCCAACGAAGGCCACAAAGAGGTCCAAATATCCACTTGCAGATTCTGCAAAAAGAGTGTTTCCAAACTGCTCTATGAAAAGAAACGTTAAACTCTGTGAGTTGAACGCAAACATCACAAAGTAGTTTCTGAGAATGACTCCGTCTAGTTTTTATACGAAGATATTTCCTTTTCTACCATTCACTTCAAAGCGCTTGAAGTCTCCCCCTGAAAATTCCACAAAAAGTGTTTCCAATCTGCTCCGCCTAAAGGAAGCTTCAACTCTGTGAGTTGAATACCCACAACCCAAAGAAGTTACTGAGAATTCTTCTGTCTAGCACTATATGAAGAAATCCCGTTTCCAACGAAGGCCTCAAATACATCCAAATATCCAGTTGCTGACTTTACAAACTGAGTGTTTCCAAACTGCTCTATGAAAAGAAAGGTTAAACACTGTGAGTTGAACACACACGTACCAAAGTAGTTTCTGAGAATGATTCTGTCTAGTTTGCATACGAAGATATTTCCTTTTCTACCATTGGCCTCAAAGCTTTGAAATCTCCACTTGCAAATTCCACAAAAAGAGAGTTTCAACTCTGCTGTTTCTAAAGGAAAGTTCAACTCTGAGAGTTGAATACACACCAGAAAAAGCAGTTACTGAGAAGTCTTCTGTCTAGCATTATATGAAGAAATCCCATTTCCAACGAAGACTTCAAAGAGGTCCAAATATCCACTTGCAGATTCTGCAAAAAGAGTGTTTCGAAACAACTGTATGAAAAGAAAGGTTAAACACTGTTAGTTGAACGCACACATTGCAAAGCAGTTTCTGAGAATGATTCCGTCTAATTATTATACGAAGGTATTTCCTTTTCTATCATTGGCCTCAAAGCGCTTGATACCTCCACCTGAAAATTCCACCAAAAGAGTGTTTCCAATCTACTCTGTCTAAAGGAACGTTCAACTCTGTGAGTTGAATACACACACACAGAAAGAATTCACTGAGAATTCTTCTGTCTGGCATTACATGAAGAAATCCCGTTTCCAACGAAGGCCTCAAAGAGGTCCAAATATCCACTTGCAGATTCTGCAAAAAGAGTGTTTCAAAACCGCTCCATTAAAAGGAATGTTGAACTCTGTGAGTTGAATGCAAACATCACAACTCAGTTTCTGAGAATGCTTCTGACTAGATTTTATGGTAAGATATTTCCTTTTATACCGTAGGCTTCAATGCCCTCTAAATACACCCTTGCAAATTCTACAAAGAGACTGTTTCATAACTGCTCTATAGGAAGAAAGGTTCAACTCTGTGAGTTGAATGCAGAGATCACAACGTGGTTTCTGCGAATGATTCTTTGTAGTTTTTACATGAAGATATTTCGTTGTCAACCGTAGGCTTCAAAGCACTCAAAGTATTCACTTGGAACTTTTACAAAAAGAGTGTTAGAAAACTGCTCTTTCCAAAGTAAGGTTCAACTCTGTGAGTTGAATGCACACATAACAATCAAGAAGTTTCTGAGAATTCTTCTGTCCTGGTTTATATGAACAAATCCCGTTTCCAACGAAGGCCTCAAAGACGTTTAAATATCCACTTGCAGACTTCACAAACAGAGTGTTTCCAAACTGCTCTATGAAAAGAAAGGTTAAACTCTGTGAGTTGAACGCACACATCACAAAGTAGCTTCTGAGAATGATACTGTCTAGTTTTTATACGAAGATATTTCCTTTCTACCATTGGCGTCAAAGCGCTAGAATTCTCCACTTGCAAATTCCACAAAAAGAGTGTTTCCAATCTGCTCTGTCTAAAGGAAGGTTCAACTCTGTGAGTTGAATACACACACACAAAGAAGATACTGAGAATTCCTTTGTCAAGAATTATAAGAAGAAATCCCGTTTCCAACGAAGGCCTCAAAGAGTTCCAAATATCCACTTGCACACTGCACAAACTAAGTCTTTCCAAACTGCTCTATGCAAAGAAATGTTCAACTCTGTGAGTTTAATACACACATCACAAAGCAGTTTCTGAGAATGATACTGTCTAGTTTTTATACGAAGATATTTCCTTTTGTACCATTGGTCTCATACTGCTAGAATTTTCCACATGCAAATTCCACAAAAAGAGTGTTTCCAATCCGCTCTGTCTAAAGGAAGGTTCAACTCTCTGATTTGAATACATACATCCCAAAAGAAGTTACTGAGAATTCTTCTGTCTAGCATTATGTGAAGAAATCCCGTTTCCAACGAAAGCCTCAAAGAGGTCCAAATATCCAGTTGCAGAATTTACAAACTGACTGTTTCCAAACTCATCTATGAAAAGAAAGGTTAAACTCTGGGAGTTGAATGCACATATCACAAAGTAGTTCCTGAGAATGATTCTGTCTAGTTTTCATACGAAGATATTTCCTTTTCCACCAATGGCCTCAAAGTGCTTGAAATCTCCCCTTGCAAATTCCACAGACAAGTGTTTCAAATCTGCACTGTCTAAAGGAAGGTTCAACCCTGTGAGTTGAATACACACACACAGAAAAAAATTCACTGAGAATTCTATTGTCTATCATTACACGAAGAAATCCCGTTTACTACGAAGGCCTCAAAGAGGTCCAAATATCCAGCTGCAGACATTACAAACTGAGTGTTTCCAAAGTGCTCTATGAAAAGAAGTGTTAAACACTGTGAGTTCAACGCACACATCCCAAAGCAGTTTCTGAGAATGATTCCGTCTATTTTTTCTACGAAGATATTTCCTTTTCTGCCGTTGGCCTCAAAGCGCTTGAAATCTCCACTTGCAAATTCCACAAAAAGAGAGTTTCAAATCTGCTCTGTCTAAAGGAAGGTTCAACTCTGTGAGTTGAATACACACCACAAAAAGAAGTTACTGAGAATTCTTCTGTCTAGCATTATATGAAAAATCCCGTTTCCAACGAAGGCCACAAAGAGGTCCAAATATCCACTTGCAGATTCTGCAAAAAGAGTGTTTCCAAACTGCTCTATGAAAAGAAACGTTAAACTCTGTGAGTTGAACGCAAACATCACAAAGTAGTTTCTGAGAATGACTCCGTCTAGTTTTTATACGAAGATATTTCCTTTCCTACCATTCACTTCAAAGCGCTTGAAGTCTCCCCCTGAAAATTCCACAAAAAGTGTTTCCAATCTGCTCCGCCTAAAGGAAGCTTCAACTCTGTGACTTGAATACCCACAACCCAAAGAAGTTACTGAGAATTCTTCTGTCTAGCATTATATGAAGAAATCCCGTTTCCAACGAAGGCCTCAAATACATCCAAATATCCAGTTGCTGACTTTACAAACTGAGTGTTTCCAAACTGCTCTATGAAAAGAAAGGTTAAACACTGTGAGTTGAACACACACGTACCAAAGTAGTTTCTGAGAATGATTCTGTCTAGTTTGCATACGAAGATATTTCCTTTTCTACCATTGGCCTCAAAGCTCTGAAATCTCCACTTGCAAATTCCACAAAAAGAGAGTTTCAACTCTGCTGTTTCTAAAGGAAAGTTCAACTCTGAGAGTTGAATACACACCAGAAAAAGCAGTTACTGAGAAGTCTTCTGTCTAGCATTATATGAAGAAATCCCATTTCCAACGAAGACTTCAAAGAGGTCCAAATATCCACTTGCAGATTCTGCAAAAAGAGTGTTTCGAAACAACTGTATGAAAAGAAAGGTTAAACACTGTGAGTTGAACGCACACATTGCAAAGCAGTTTCTGAGAATGATTCCGTCTAATTATTATACGAAGGTATTTCCTTTTCTATCATTGGCCTCAAAGCGCTTGATACCTCCACCTGAAAATTCCACAAAAAGAGTGTTTCCAATCTACTCTGTCTAAAGGAACGTTCAACTCTGTGAGTTGAATACACACACACAGAAAGAATTCACTGAGAATTCTTCTGTCTGGCATTACATGAAGAAATCCCGTTTCCAACGAAGGCCTCAAAGAGGTCCAAATATCCACTTGCAGATTCTGCAAAAAGAGTGTTTCAAAACCGCTCCATTAAAAGGAATGTTGAACTCTGTGAGTTGAATGCAAACATCACGACTCAGTTGCTGAGAATGCTTCTGACTAGATTTTATGGTAAGATATTTCCTTTTCTACCGTAGGCTTCAATGCCCTCTAAATACACCCTTGCAAATTCTACAAAGAGACTGTTTCATAACTGCTCTATAGGAAGAAAGGTTCAACTCTGTGAGTTGAATGCAGAGATCACAACGTGGTTTCTGCGAATGATTCTTTGTAGTTTTTACATGAAGATATTTCGTTGTCAACCGTAGGCTTCAAAGCACTCAAAGTATTCACTTGGAACTTTTACAAAAAGAGTGTTAGAAAACTGCTCTTTCCAAAGTAAGGTTCAACTCTGTGAGTTGAATGCACACATAACAATCAAGAAGTTTCTGAGAATTCTTCTGTCCTGGTTTATATGAAAAAATCCCGTTTCCAACGAAGGCCTCAAAGACGTTTAAATATCCACTTGCAGACTTCACAAACAGAGGGTTTCCAAACTGCTCTATGAAAAGAAAGGTTAAACTCTGTGAGTTGAACGCACACATCACAAAGTAGCTTCTGAGAATGATACTGTCTAGTTTTTATACGAAGATATTTCCTTTCTACCATTGGCGTCAAAGCGCTAGAATTCTCCACTTGCAAATTCCACAAAAAGAGTGTTTCCAATCTGCTCTGTCTAAAGGAAGGTTCAACTCTGTGAGTTGAATACACACACACAAAGAAGCTACTGAGAATTCTTTTGTCAAGAATTATAAGAAGAAATCCCGTTTCCAACGAAGGCCTCAAAGAGTTCCAAATATCCACTTGCACACTGCACAAACTAAGTCTTTCCAAACTGCTCTATGCAAAGAAATGTTCAACTCTGTGAGTTTAATACACACATCACAAAGCAGTTTCTGAGAATGATACTGTCTAGTTTTTATACGAAGATATTTCCTTTTGTACCATTGGCCTCATACTGCTAGAATTTTCCACTTGCAAATTCCACAAAAAGAGTGTTTCCAATCCGCTCTGTCTAAAGGAAGGTTCAACTCTCTGATTTGAATACATACATCCCAAAAGAAGTTACTGAGAATTCTTCTGTCTAGCATTATGTGAAGAAATCCCGTTTCCAACGAAAGCCTCAAAGAGGTCCAAATATCCAGTTGCAGAATTTACAAACTGACTGTTTCCAAACTCATCTATGAAAAGAAAGGTTAAACTCTGGGAGTTGAATGCACATATCACAAAGTAGTTCCTGAGAATGATTCTGTCTAGTTTTTATACGAAGATATTTCCTTTTCCACCAATGGCCTCAAAGTGCTTGAAATCTCCCCTTGCAAATTCCACAGACAAGTGTTTCAAATCTGCACTGTCTAAAGGAAGGTTCAACCCTGTGAGTTGAATACACACACACAGAAACAAATTCACTGAGAATTCTATTGTCTATCATTACACGAAGAAATCCCGTTTACTACGAAGGCCTCAAAGAGGTCCAAATATCCAGCTGCAGACATTACAAACTGAGTGTTTCCAAAGTGCTCTATGAAAAGAAGTGTTAAACACTGTGAGTTCAATGCACACATCCCAAAGCAGTTTCTGAGAATGATTCCGTCTATTTTTTCTACGAAGATATTTCCTTTTCTGCCGTTGGCCTCAAAGCGCTTGAAATCTCCACTTGCAAATTCCACAAAAAGAGAGTTTCAAATCTGCTCTGTCTAAAGGAAGGTTCAACTCTGTGAGTTGAATACACACCACAAAAAGAAGTTACTGAGAATTCTTCTGTCTGGCATTACATGAAGAAATCCCGTTTCCAACGAAGGCCTCAAAGAGGTCCAAATATCCACTTGCAGATTCTGCAAAAAGAGTGTTTCAAAACCGCTCCATTAAAAGGAATGTTGAACTCTGTGAGTTGAATGCAAACATCACAACTCAGTTGCTGAGAATGCTTCTGACTAGATTTTATGGTAAGATATTTCCTTTTCTACCGTAGGCTTCAATGCCCTCTAAATACACCCTTGCAAATTCTACAAAGAGACTGTTTCATAACTGCTCTCTAGGAAGAAAGGTTCAACTCTGTGAGTTGAATGCAGAGATCACAACGTGGTTTCTGCGAATGATTCTTTGTAGTTTTTACATGAAGATATTTCGTTGTCAACCGTAGGCTTCAAAGCACTCAAAGTATTCACTTGGAACTTTTACAAAAAGAGTGTTAGAAAACTGCTCTTTCCAAAGTAAGGTTCAACTCTGTGAGTTGAATGCACACATAACAATCAAGAAGTTTCTGAGAATTCTTCTGTCCTGGTTTATATGAAAAAATCCCGTTTCGAACGAAGGCCTCAAAGACGTTTAAATATCCACATGCAGACTTCACAAACAGAGGGTTTCCAAACTGCTCTATGAAAAGAAAGGTTAAACTCTGTGAGTTGAACGCACACATCACAAAGTAGCTTCTGAGAATGATACTGTCTAGTTTTTATACGAAGATATTTCCTTTCTACCATTGGCGTCAAAGCGCTAGAATTCTCCACTTGCAAATTCCACAAAAAGAGTGTTTCCAATCTGCTCTGTCTAAAGGAAGGTTCAACTCTGTGAGTTGAATACACACACACAAAGAAGCTACTGAGAATTCTTTTGTCAAGAATTATAAGAAGAAATCCCGTTTCCAACGAAGGCCTCAAAGAGTTCCAAATATCCACTTGCACACTGCACAAACTAAGTCTTTCCAAACTGCTCTATGCAAAGAAATGTTCAACTCTGTGAGTTTAATACGCACATCACAAAGCAGTTTCTGAGAATGATACTGTCTAGTTTTTATACGAAGATATTTCCTTTTGTACCATTGGCCTCATACTGCTAGAATTTTCCACTTGCAAATTCCACAAAAAGAGTGTTTCCAATCCGCTCTGTCTAAAGGAAGGTTCAACTCTCTGATTTGAATACATACATCCCAAAAGAATTTACTGAGAATTCTTCTGTCTAGCATTATGTGAAGAAATCCCGTTTCCAACGAAAGCCTCAAAGAGGTCCAAATATCCAGTTGCAGAATTTACAAACTGACTGTTTCCAAACTCATCTATGAAAAGAAAGGTTAAACTCTGTGAGTTGAATGCACATATCACAAAGTAGTTCCTGAGAATGATTCTGTCTAGTTTTTATACGAAGATATTTCCTTTTCCACCAATGGCCTCAAAGTGCTTGAAATCTCCCCTTGCAAATTCCACAGACAAGTGTTTCAAATCTGCACTGTCTAAAGGAAGGTTCAACCCTGTGAGTTGAATACACACACACAGAAAAAAATTCACTGAGAATTCTATTGTCTATCATTACACGAAGAAATCCCGTTTACCACGAAGGCCTCAAAGAGGTCCAAATATCCAGCTGCAGACATTACAAACTGAGTGTTTCCAAAGTGCTCTATGAAAAGAAGTGTTAAACACTGTGAGTTCAATGCACACATCCCAAAGCAGTTTCTGAGAATGATTCCGTCTATTTTTTCTACGAAGATATTTCCTTTTCTGCCGTTGGCCTCAAAGCGCTTGAAATCTCCACTTGCAAATTCCACAAAAAGAGAGTTTCAAATCTGCTCTGTCTAAAGGAAGGTTCAACTCTGTGAGTTGAATACACACCACAAAAAGAAGTTACTGAGAATTCTTCTGTCTAGCATTATATGAAAAATCCCGTTTCCAACGAAGGCCACAAAGAGGTCCAAATATCCACTTGCAGATTCTGCAAAAAGAGTGTTTCCAAACTGCTCTATGAAAAGAAACGTTAAACTCTGTGAGTTGAACGCAAACATCACAAAGTAGTTTCTGAGAATGACTCCGTCTAGTTTTTATACGAAGATATTTCCTTTCCTCCCATTCACTTCAAAGCGCTTGAAGTCTCCCCCTGAAAATTCCACAAAAAGTGTTTCCAATCTGCTCCGCCTAAAGGAAGCTTCAACTCTGTGAGTTGAATACCCACAACCCAAAGAAGTTACTGAGAATTCTTCTGTCTAGCATTATATGAAGAAATCCCGTTTCCAACGAAGGCCTCAAATACATCCAAATATCCAGTTGCTGACTTTACAAACTGAGTGTTTCCAAACTGCTCTATGAAAAGAAAGGTTAAACACTGTGAGTTGAACACACACGTACCAAAGTAGTTTCTGAGAATGATTCTGTCTAGTTTGCATACGAAGATATTTCCTTTTCTACCATTGGCCTCAAAGCTCTGAAATCTCCACTTGCAAATTCCACAAAAAGAGAGTTTCAAATCTGCTGTTTCTAAAGGAAAGTTCAACTCTGAGAGTTGAATACACACCAGAAAAAGCAGTTACTGAGAAGTCTCTGTCTAGCATTATATGAAGAAATCCCATTTCCAACCGAAGACTTCAAAGAGGTCCAAATATCCACTTGCAGATTCTGCAAAAAGAGTGTTTCGAAACAACTCTATGAAAAGAAAGGTTAAACACTGTGAGTTGAACGCACACATTGCAAAGCGGTTTCTGAGAATGATTCCGTCTAATTATTATACGAAGGTATTTCCTTTTCTATCATTGGCCTCAAAGCGCTTGATACCTCCACCTGAAAATTCCACAAAAAGAGTGTTTCCAATCTACTCTGTCTAAAGGAACGTTCAACTCTGTGAGTTGAATACACACACACAGAAAGAATTCACTGAGAATTCTTCTGTCTGGCATTACATGAAGAAATCCCGTTTCCAACGAAGGCCTCAAAGAGGTCCAAATATCCACTTGCAGATTCTGCAAAAAGAGTGTTTCAAAACCGCTCCATTAAAAGGAATGTTGAACTCTGTGAGTTGAATGCAAACATCACAACTCAGTTTCTGAGAATGCTTCTGACTAGATTTTATGGTAAGATATTTCCTTTTCTACCGTAGGCTTCAATGCCCTCTAAATACACCCTTGCAAATTCTACAAAGAGACTGTTTCATAACTGCTCTATAGGAAGAAAGGTTGAACGCTGTGAGTTGAATGCAGAGATCACAACGTGGTTTCTGCGAATGATTCTTTGTAGTTTTTACATGAAGATATTTCGTTGTCAACCGTAGGCTTCAAAGCACTCAAAGTATTCACTTGGAACTTTTACAAAACGAGTGTTAGGAAACTGCTCTTTCCAAAGTAAGGTTCAACTCTGTGAGTTGAATGCACACATAACAATCAAGAAGTTTCTGAGAATTCTTCTGTCCTGGTTTATATGAAAAAATCCCGTTTCCAACGAAGGCCTCAAAGACGTTTAAATATCCACTTGCAGACTTCACAAACAGAGGGTTTCCAAACTGCTCTATGAAAAGAAAGGTTAAACTCTGTGAGTTGAACGCACACATCACAAAGTAGCTTCTGAGAATGATACTGTCTAGTGTTTATACGAAGATATTTCCTTTCTACCATTGGCGTCAAAGCGCTAGAATTCTCCACTTGCAAATTCCACAAAAAGAGTGTTTCCAATCTGCTCTGTCTAAAGGAAGGTTCAACTCTGTGAGTTGAATACACACACACAAAGAAGCTACTGAGAATTCTTTTGTCAAGAATTATAAGAAGAAATCCCGTTTCCAACGAAGGCCTCAAAGAGTTCCAAATATCCACTTGCACACTGTACAAACTAAGTCTTTCCAAACTGCTCTATGCAAAGAAATGTTCAACTCTGTGAGTTTAATGCACACATCACAAAGCCGTTTCTGAGAATGATTCCCTCTAGTTTTTATACGAAGATAACCTTTTCTACCTTTGGCCTCAAGGCTCTTGAAATCTCCACCTGAAAATTCCGCAAAAAGCGTGTTTCCAATCCGCTCTGTCTAAAGGAAGGTTCAACTCTCTGAGTTGAATACATACATCCCAAAAGAAGTTACTGAGAATTCTTCTGTCTAGCATTATGTGAAGAAATCCCGTTTCCAACGAAAGCCTCAAAGCGGTCCAAATATCCAGTTGCAGAATTTACAAACTGACTGTTTCCAAACTCATCTATGAAAAGAAAGGTTAAACTCTGTGAGTTGAATGCACATATCACAAAGTAGTTCCTGAGAATGATTCTGTCTAGTTTTCATACGAAGATATTTCCTTTTCCACCAATGGCCTCAAAGTGCTTGAAATCTCCCCTTGCAAATTCCACAGACAAGTGTCTCAAATCTGCACTGTCTAAAGGAAGGTTCAACCCTGTGAGTTGAATACACACACACAGAAAAAAATTCACTGAGAATTCTATTGTCTATCATTACACGAAGAAATCCCGTTTACTACGAAGGCCTCAAAGAGGTCCAAATATCCAGCTGCAGACATTACAACCTGAGTGTTTCCAAAGTGCTCTATGAAAAGAAGTGTTAAACACTGTGAGTTCAATGCACACATCCCAAAGCAGTTTCTGAGAATGATTCCGTCTATTTTTTCTACGAAGATATTTCCTTTTCTGCCGTTGGCCTCAAAGCGCTTGAAATCTCCACTTGCAAATTCCACAAAAAGAGAGTTTCAAATCTGCTCTGTCTAAAGGAAGGTTCAACTCTGTGAGTTGAATACACACCACAAAAAGAAGTTACTGAGAATTCTTCTGTCTAGCATTATATGAAAAATCCCGTTTCCAACGAAGGCCACAAAGAGGTCCAAATATCCACTTGCAGATTCTGCAAAAAGAGTGTTTCCAAACTGCTCTATGAAAAGAAACGTTAAACTCTGTGAGTTGAACGCAAACATCACAAAGTAGTTTCTGAGAATGACTCCGTCTAGTTTTTATACGAAGATATTTCCTTTCCTACCATTCACTTCAAAGCGCTTGAAGTCTCCCCCTGAAAATTCCACAAAAAGTGTTTCCAATCTGCTCCGCCTAAAGGAAGCTTCAACTCTGTGACTTGAATACCCACAACCCAAAGAAGTTACTGAGAATTCTTCTGTCTAGCATTATATGAAGAAATCCCGTTTCCAACGAAGGCCTCAAATACATCCAAATATCCAGTTGCTGACTTTACAAACTGAGTGTTTCCAAACTGCTCTATGAAAAGAAAGGTTAAACACTGTGAGTTGAACACACACGTACCAAAGTAGTTTCTGAGAATGATTCTGTCTAGTTTGCATACGAAGATATTTCCTTTTCTACCATTGGCCTCAAAGCTCTGAAATCTCCACTTGCAAATTCCACAAAAAGAGAGTTTCAAATCTGCTGTTTCTAAAGGAAAGTTCAACTCTGAGAGTTGAATACACACCAGAAAAAGCAGTTACTGAGAAGTCTTCTGTCTAGCATTATATGAAGAAATCCCATTTCCAACGAAGACTTCAAAGAGGTCCAAATATCCACTTGCAGATTCTGCAAAAAGAGTGTTTCGAAACAACTGTATGAAAAGAAAGGTTAAACACTGTGAGTTGAACGCACACATTGCAAAGCGGTTTCTGAGAATGATTCCGTCTAATTATTATACGAAGGTATTTCCTTTTCTATCATTGGCCTCAAAGCGCTTGATACCTCCACCTGAAAATTCCACAAAAAGAGTGTTTCCAATCTACTCTGTCTAAAGGAACGTTCAACTCTGTGAGTTGAATACACACACACAGAAAGAATTCACTGAGAATTCTTCTGTCTGGCATTACATGAAGAAATCCCGTTTCCAACGAAGGCCTCAAAGAGGTCCAAATATCCACTTGCAGATTCTGCAAAAAGAGTGTTTCAAAACCGCTCCATTAAAAGGAATGTTGAACTTCTGTGAGTTGAATGCAAACATCACAACTCAGTTTCTGAGAATGCTTCTGACTAGATTTTATGGTAAGATATTTCCTTTTCTACCGTAGGCTTCAATGCCCTCTAAATACACCCTTGCAAATTCTACAAAGAGACTGTTTCATAACTGCTCTATAGGAAGAAAGGTTCAACTCTGTGAGTTGAATGCAGAGATCACAACGTGGTTTCTGCGAATGATTCTTTGTAGTTTTTACAGGAAGATATTTCGTTGTCAACCGTAGGCTTCAAAGCACTCAAAGTATTCACTTGGAACTTTTACAAAAAGAGTGTTAGAAAACTGCTCTTTCCAAAGTAAGGTTCAACTCTGTGAGTTGAATGCACACATAACAATCAAGAAGTTTCTGAGAATTCTTCTGTCCTGGTTTATATGAAAAAATCCCGTTTCCAACGAAGGCCTCAAAGACGTTTAAATATCCACTTGCAGACTTCACAAACAGAGTGTTTCCAAACTGCTCTATGAAAAGAAAGGTTAAACTCTGTGAGTTGAACGCACACATCACAAAGTAGCTTCTGAGAATGATACTGTCTAGTTTTTATACGAAGATATTTCCTTTCTACCATTGGTGTCAAAGCGCTAGAATTCTCCACTTGCAAATTCCACAAAAAGAGTGTTTCCAATCTGCTCTGTCTAAAGGAAGGTTCAACTCTGTGAGTTGAATACACACACACAAAGAAGCTACTGAGAATTCTTTTGTCAAGAATTATAAGAAGAAATCCCGTTTCCAACGAAGGCCTCAAAGAGTTCCAAATATCCACTTGCACACTGCACAAACTAAGTCTTTCCAAACTGCTCTATGCAAAGAAATGTTCAACTCTGTGAGTTTAATACACACATCACAAAGCAGTTTCTGAGAATGATACTGTCTAGTTTTTATACGAAGATATTTCCTTTTGTACCATTGGCCTCATACTGCTAGAATTTTCCACTTGCAAATTCCACAAAAAGAGTGTTTCCAATCCGCTCTGTCTAAAGGAAGGTTCAACTCTCTGATTTGAATACATACATCCCAAAAGAAGTTACTGAGAATTCTTCTGTCTAGCATTATGTGAAGAAATCCCGTTTCCAACGAAAGCCTCAAAGAGGTCCAAATATCCAGTTGTAGAATTTACAAACTGACTGTTTCCAAACTCATCTATGAAAAGAAAGGTTAAACTCTGGGAGTTGAATGCCCATATCACAAAGTAGTTCCTGAGAATGATTCTGTCTAGTTTTCATACGAAGATATTTCCTTTTCCACCAATGGCCTCAAAGTGCTTGAAATCTCCCCTTGCAAATTCCACAGACAAGTGTTTCAAATCTGCACTGTCTAAAGGATGGTTCAACCCTGTGAGTTGAATACACACACACAGAAAAAAATTCACTGAGAATTCTATTGTCTATCATTACACGAAGAAATCCCGTTTACTACGAAGGCCTCAAAGAGGTCCAAATATCCAGCTGCAGACATTATAAACTGAGTGTTTCCAAAGTGCTCTATGAAAAGAAGTGTTAAACACTGTGAGTTCAATGCACACATCCCAAAGCAGTTTCTGAGAATGATTCCGTCTATTTTTTCTACGAAGATATTTCCTTTTCTGCCGTTGGCCTCAAAGCGCTTGAAATCTCCACTTGCAAATTCCACAAAAAGAGAGTTTCAAATCTGCTCTGTCTAAAGGAAGGTTCAACTCTGTGAGTTGAATACACACCACAAAAAGAAGTTACTGAGAATTCTTCTGTCTAGCATTATATGAAAAATCCCGTTTCCAACGAAGGCCACAAAGAGGTCCAAATATCCACTTGCAGATTCTGCAAAAAGAGTGTTTCCAAACTGCTCTATGAAAAGAAACGTTAAACTCTGTGAGTTGAACGCAAACATCACAAAGTAGTTTCTGAGAATGACTCCGTCTAGTTTTTATACGAAGATATTTCCTTTCCTACCATTCACTTCAAAGCGCTTGAAGTCTCCCCCTGAAAATTCCACAAAAAGTGTTTCCAATCTGCTCCGCCTAAAGGAAGCTTCAACTCTGTGACTTGAATACCCACAACCCAAAGAAGTTACTGAGAATTCTTCTGTCTAGCATTATATGAAGAAATCCCGTTTCCAACGAAGGCCTCAAATACATCCAAATATCCAGTTGCTGACTTTACAAACTGAGTGTTTCCAAACTGCTCTATGAAAAGAAAGGTTAAACACTGTGAGTTGAACACACACGTACCAAAGTAGTTTCTGAGAATGATTCTGTCTAGTTTGCATACGAAGATATTTCCTTTTCTACCATTGGCCTCAAAGCTCTGAAATCTCCACTTGCAAATTCCACAAAAAGAGAGTTTCAAATCTGCTGTTTCTAAAGGAAAGTTCAACTCTGAGAGTTGAATACACACCAGAAAAAGCAGTTACTGAGAAGTCTTCTGTCTAGCATTATATGAAGAAATCCCATTTCCAACGAAGACTTCAAAGAGGTCCAAATATCCACTTGCAGATTCTGCAAAAAGAGTGTTTCGAAACAACTGTATGAAAAGAAAGGTTAAACACTGTGAGTTGAACGCACACATTGCAAAGCGGTTTCTGAGAATGATTCCGTCTAATTATTATACGAAGGTATTTCCTTTTCTATCATTGGCCTCAAAGCGCTTGATACCTCCACCTGAAAATTCCACAAAAAGAGTGTTTCCAATCTACTCTGTCTAAAGGAACGTTCAACTCTGTGAGTTGAATACACACACACAGAAAGAATTCACTGAGAATTCTTCTGTCTGGCATTACATGAAGAAATCCCGTTTCCAACGAAGGCCTCAAAGAGGTCCAAATATCCACTTGCAGATTCTGCAAAAAGAGTGTTTCAAAACCGCTCCATTAAAAGGAATGTTGAACTCTGTGAGTTGAATGCAAACATCACAACTCAGTTGCTGAGAATGCTTCTGACTAGATTTTATGGTAAGATATTTCCTTTTCTACCGTAGGCTTCAATGCCCTCTAAATACACCCTTGCAAATTCTACAAAGAGACTGTTTCATAACTGCTCTCTAGGAAGAAAGGTTCAACTCTGTGAGTTGAATGCAGAGATCACAACGTGGTTTCTGCGAATGATTCTTTGTAGTTTTTACATGAAGATATTTCGTTGTCAACCGTAGGCTTCAAAGCACTCAAAGTATTCACTTGGAACTTTTACAAAAAGAGTGTTAGAAAACTGCTCTTTCCAAAGTAAGGTTCAACTCTGTGAGTTGAATGCACACATAACAATCAAGAAGTTTCTGAGAATTCTTCTGTCCTGGTTTATATGAAAAAATCCCGTTTCCAACGAAGGCCTCAAAGACGTTTAAATATCCACTTGCAGACTTCACAAACAGAGGGTTTCCAAACTGCTCTATGAAAAGAAAGGTTAAACTCTGTGAGTTGAACGCACACATCACAAAGTAGCTTCTGAGAATGATACTGTCTAGTTTTTATACGAAGATATTTCCTTTCTACCATTGGCGTCAAAGCGCTAGAATTCTCCACTTGCAAATTCCACAAAAAGAGTGTTTCCAATCTGCTCTGTCTAAAGGAAGGTTCAACTCTGTGAGTTGAATACACACACACAAAGAAGCTACTGAGAATTCTTTTGTCAAGAATTATAAGAAGAAATCCCGTTTCCAACGAAGGCCTCAAAGAGTTCCAAATATCCACTTGCACACTGCACAAACTAAGTCTTTCCAAACTGCTCTATGCAAAGAAATGTTCAACTCTGTGAGTTTAATACACACATCACAAAGCAGTTTCTGAGAATGATTACTGTCTAGTTTTTATACGAAGAATATTTCCTTTTGTACCATTGGCCTCATACTGCTAGAATTTTCCACTTGCAAATTCCACAAAAAGAGTGTTTCCAATCCGCTCTGTCTAAAGGAAGGTTCAACTCTCTGATTTGAATACATACATCCCAAAAGAAGTTACTGAGAATTCTTCTGTCTAGCATTATGTGAAGAAATCCCGTTTCCAACGAAAGCCTCAAAGAGGTCCAAATATCCAGTTGCAGAATTTACAAACTGACTGTTTCCAAACTCATCTATGAAAAGAAAGGTTAAACTCTGTGAGTTGAATGCACATATCACAAAGTAGTTCCTGAGAATGATTCTGTCTAGTTTTCATACGAAGATATTTCCTTTTCCACCAATGGCCTCAAAGTGCTTGAAATCTCCCCTTGCAAATTCCACAGACAAGTGTTTCAAATCTGCACTGTCTAAAGGAAGGTTCAACCCTGTGAGTTGAATACACACACACAGAAAAAAATTCACTGAGAATTCTATTGTCTATCATTACACGAAGAAATCCCGTTTACTACGAAGGCCTCAAAGAGGTCCAAATATCCAGCTGCAGACATTACAAACTGAGTGTTTCCAAAGTGCTCTATGAAAAGAAGTGTTAAACACTGTGAGTTCAATGCACACATCCCAAAGCAGTTTCTGAGAATGATTCCGTCTATTTTTTCTACGAAGATATTTCCTTTTCTGCCGTTGGCCTCAAAGCGCTTGAAATCTCCACTTGCAAATTCCACAAAAAGAGAGTTTCAAATCTGCTCTGTCTAAAGGAAGGTTCAACTCTGTGAGTTGAATACACACCACAAAAAGAAGTTACTGAGAATTCTTCTGTCTAGCATTATATGAAAAATCCCGTTTCCAACGAAGGCCACAAAGAGGTCCAAATATCCACTTGCAGATTCTGCAAAAAGAGTGTTTCCAAACTGCTCTATGAAAAGAAACGTTAAACTCTGTGAGTTGAACGCAAACATCACAAAGTAGTTTCTGAGAATGACTCCGTCTAGTTTTTATACGAAGATATTTCCTTTCCTACCATTCACTTCAAAGCGCTTGAAGTCTCCCCCTGAAAATTCCACAAAAAGTGTTTCCAATCTGCTCCGCCTAAAGGAAGCTTCAACTCTGTGACTTGAATACCCACAACCCAAAGAAGTTACTGAGAATTCTTCTGTCTAGCATTATATGAAGAAATCCCGTTTCCAACGAAGGCCTCAAATACATCCAAATATCCAGTTGCTGACTTTACAAACTGAGGGTTTCCAAACTGCTCTATGAAAAGAAAGGTTAAACACTGTGAGTTGAACACACACGTACCAAAGTAGTTTCTGAGAATGATTCTGTCTAGTTTGCATACGAAGATATTTCCTTTTCTACCATTGGCCTCAAAGCTCTGAAATCTCCACTTGCAAATTCCACAAAAAGAGAGTTTCAACTCTGCTGTTTCTAAAGGAAAGTTCAACTCTGAGAGTTGAATACACACCAGAAAAAGCAGTTACTGAGAAGTCTTCTGTCTAGCATTATATGAAGAAATCCCATTTCCAACGAAGACTTCAAAGAGGTCCAAATATCCACTTGCAGATTCTGCAAAAAGAGTGTTTCGAAACAACTGTATGAAAAGAAAGGTTAAACACTGTGAGTTGAACGCACACATTGCAAAGCAGTTTCTGAGAATGATTCCGTCTAATTATTATACGAAGGTATTTCCTTTTCTATCATTGGCCTCAAAGCGCTTGATACCTCCACCTGAAAATTCCACAAAAAGAGTGTTTCCAATCTACTCTGTCTAAAGGAACGTTCAACTCTGTGAGTTGAATACACACACACAGAAAGAATTCACTGAGAATTCTTCTGTCTGGCATTACATGAAGAAATCCCGTTTCCAACGAAGGCCTCAAAGAGGTCCAAATATCCACTTGCAGATTCTGCAAAAAGAGTGTTTCAAAACCGCTCCATTAAAAGGAATGTTGAACTCTGTGAGTTGAATGCAAACATCACAACTCAGTTTCTGAGAATGCTTCTGACTAGATTTTATGGTAAGATATTTCCTTTTCTACCGTAGGCTTCAATGCCCTCTAAATACACCCTTGCAAATTCTACAAAGAGACTGTTTCATAACTGCTCTATAGGAAGAAAGGTTGAACTCTGTGAGTTGACTGCAGAGATCACAACGTGGTTTCTGCGAATGATTCTTTGTAGTTTTTACATGAAGATATTTCGTTGTCAACCGTAGGCTTCAAAGCACTCAAAGTATTCACTTGGAACTTTTACAAAAAGAGTGTTAGAAAACTGCTCTTTCCAAAGTAAGGTTCAACTCTGTGAGTTGAATGCACACATAACAATCAAGAAGTTTCTGAGAATTCTTCTGTCCTGGTTTATATGAAAAAATCCCGTTTCCAACGAAGGCCTCAAAGACGTTTAAATATCCACTTGCAGACTTCACAAACAGAGGGTTTCCAAACTGCTCTATGAAAAGAAAGGTTAAACTCTGTGAGTTGAACGCACACATCACAAAGTAGCTTCTGAGAATGATACTGTCTAGTTTTTATACGAAGATATTTCCTTTCTACCATTGGCGTCAAAGCGCTAGAATTCTCCACTTGCAAATTCCACAAAAAGAGTGTTTCCAATCTGCTCTGTCTCAAGGCAGGTTTCAACTCTGTGAGTTGAATACACACACACAAAGAAGCTACTGAGAATTCTTTTGTCAAGAATTATAAGAAGAAATCCCGTTTCCAACGAAGGCCTCAAAGAGTTCCAAATATCCACTTGCACACTGTACAAACTAAGTCTTTCCAAACTGCTCTATGCAAAGAAATGTTCAACTCTGTGAGTTTAATACACACATCACAAAGCAGTTTCTGAGAATGATTACTGTCTAGTTTTTATACGAAGAATATTTCCTTTTGTACCATTGGCCTCATACTGCTAGAATTTTCCACTTGCAAATTCCACAAAAAGAGTGTTTCCAATCCGCTCTGTCTAAAGGAAGGTTCAACTCTCTGATTTGAATACATACATCCCAAAAGAAGTTACTGAGAATTCTTCTGTCTAGCATTATGTGAAGAAATCCCGTTTCCAACTGAAAGCCTCAAAGAGGTCCAAATATCCAGTTGCAGAATTTACAAACTGACTGTTTCCAAACTCATCTATGAAAAGAAAGGTTAAACTCTGTGAGTTGAATGCACATATCACAAAGTAGTTCCTGAGAATGATTCTGTCTAGTTTTTATACGAAGATATTTCCTTTTCCACCAATGGCCTCAAAGTGCTTGAAATCTCCCCTTGCAAATTCCACAGACAAGTGTCTCAAATCTGCACTGTCTAAAGGAAGGTTCAACCCTGTGAGTTGAATACACACACACAGAAAAAAATTCACTGAGAATTACTTATTGTCTATCATTACACGAAGAAATCCCGTTTACTACGAAGGCCTCAAAGAGGTCCAAATATCCAGCTGCAGACATTACAAACTGAGTGTTTCCAAAGTGCTCTATGAAAAGAAGTGTTAAACACTGTGAGTTCAATGCACACATCCCAAAGCAGTTTCTGAGAATGATTCCGTCTATTTTTTCTACGAAGATATTTCCTTTTCTGCCGTTGGCCTCAAAGCGCTTGAAATCTCCACTTGCAAATTCCACAAAAAGAGAGTTTCAAATCTGCTCTGTCTAAAGGAAGGTTCAACTCTGTGAGTTGAATACACACCACAAAAAGAAGTTACTGAGAATTCTTCTGTCTAGCATTATATGAAAAATCCCGTTTCCAACGAAGGCCACAAAGAGGTCCAAATATCCACTTGCAGATTCTGCAAAAAGAGTGTTTCCAAACTGCTCTATGAAAAGAAACGTTAAACTCTGTGAGTTGAACGCAAACATCACAAAGTAGTTTCTGAGAATGACTCCGTCTAGTTTTTATACGAAGATATTTCCTTTCCTACCATTCACTTCAAAGCGCTTGAAGTCTCCCCCTGAAAATTCCACAAAAAGTGTTTCCAATCTGCTCCGCCTAAAGGAAGCTTCAACTCTGTGACTTGAATACCCACAACCCAAAGAAGTTACTGAGAATTCTTCTGTCTAGCATTATATGAAGAAATCCCGTTTCCAACGAAGGCCTCAAATACATCCAAATATCCAGTTGCTGACTTTACAAACTGAGTGTTTCCAAACTGCTCTATGAAAAGAAAGGTTAAACACTGTGAGTTGAACACACACGTACCAAAGTAGTTTCTGAGAATGATTCTGTCTCGTTTGCATACGAAGATATTTCCTTTTCTACCATTGGCCTCAAAGCTCTGAAATCTCCACTTGCAAATTCCACAAAAAGAGAGTTTCAACTCTGCTGTTTCTAAAGGAAAGTTCAACTCTGAGAGTTGAATACACACCAGAAAAAGCAGTTACTGAGAAGTCTTCTGTCTAGCATTATATGAAGAAATCCCATTTCCAACGAAGACTTCAAAGAGGTCCAAATATCCACTTGCAGATTCTGCAAAAAGAGTGTTTCGAAACAACTGTATGAAAAGAAAGGTTAAACACTGTGAGTTGAACGCACACATTGCAAAGCGGTTTCTGAGAATGATTCCGTCTAATTATTATACGAAGGTATTTCCTTTTCTATCATTGGCCTCAAAGCGCTTGATACCTCCACCTGAAAATTCCACAAAAAGAGTGTTTCCAATCTACTCTGTCTAAAGGAACGTTCAACTCTGTGAGTTGAATACACACACACAGAAAGAATTCACTGAGAATTCTTTTGTCTGGCATTACATGAAGAAATCCCGTTTCCAACGAAGGCCTCAAAGAGGTCCAAATATCCACTTGCAGATTCTGCAAAAAGAGTGTTTCAAAACCGCTCCATTAAAAGGAATGTTGAACTCTGTGAGTTGAATGCAAACATCACAACTCAGTTTCTGAGAATGCTTCTGACTAGATTTTATGTTAAGATATTTCCTTTTCTACCGTAGGCTTCAATGCCCTGTAAATACACCCTTGCAAATTCTACAAAGAGACTGTTTCATAACTGCTCTATAGGAGGAAAGGTTCAACTCTGTGAGTTGAATGCAGAGATCACAACGTGGTTTCTGCGAATGATTCTTTGTAGTTTTTACATGAAGATATTTCGTTGTCTACCGTAGGCTTCAAAGCACTCAAAGTATTCACTTGGAACTTTCACAAAAAGAGTGTTAGAAAACTGCTCTTTCCAAAGTAAGGTTCAACTCTGTGAGTTGAATGCACACATAACAAACAAGAAGTTTCTGAGAATTCTTCTGTCCTGGTTTATATGAAGAAATCCCGTTTCCAACGAAGGCCTCAAAGACGTTTAAATATCCACTTGCAGACTTCACAAACAGAGTGTTTCCAAACTGCTCTATGAAAAGAAAGGGTAAACACTGTGAGTTGAACGCACACATCACAAAGTAGTTTCTGAGAATGATACTGTCTAGTTTTTATACGAAGATATTTCCTTTTGTACCATTGGCCTCATACTGCTAGAATTTTCCACTTGCAAATTCCACAAAAAGAGTGTTTCCAATCTGCTCTGTCTAAAGGAAGGTTCAACTCTGTGAGTTGAGTACACACACACAAAGAAGCTACTGAGAATTCTTTTGTCAAGAATTATAAGAAGAAATCCCGTTTCCAACCAAGGCCTCAAAGAGTTCCAAATATCCACTTGCACACTGCACAAACTAAGTCTTTCCATACTGCTCTATGCAAAGAAATGTTCAACTCTGTGAGTTTAATACACACATCACAAAGCAGTTTCTGAGAATGATACTGTCTAGTTTTTATACGAAGATATTTCCTTTTGTACCATTGGCCTCATACTGCTAGAATTTTCCACTTGCAAATTCCACAAAAAGAGTGTTTCCAATCCGCTCTGTCTAAAGGAAGGTTCAACTCTCTGATTTGAATACATACATCCCAAAAGAAGTTACTGAGAATTCTTCTGTCTAGCATTATGTGAAGAAATCCCGTTTCCAACGAAAGCCTCAAAGAGGCCCAAATATCCAGTTGCAGCATTTACAAACTGACTGTTTCCAAACTCATCTATGAAAAGAAAGGTTAAACTCTGTGAGTTGAATGCACATATCACAAAGTAGTTCCTGAGAATGATTCTGTCTAGTTTTTATACGAAGATATTTCCTTTTCCACCAATGGCCTCAAAGTGCTTGAAATCTCCCCTTGCAAATTCCACAGACAAGTGTCTCAAATCTGCACTGTCT
Source organism: Homo sapiens (assembly GCF_000001405.40). Taxonomy (NCBI): domain Eukaryota; kingdom Metazoa; phylum Chordata; class Mammalia; order Primates; family Hominidae; genus Homo; species Homo sapiens. Next base: position 92,077,176 of record NC_000003.12, on the reverse strand, counting down.
AAAGGAAGGTTCAACCCTGTGAGTTGAATACACACACACAGAAAAAAATTCACTGAGAATTCTATTGTCTATCATTACACGAAGAAATCCCGTTTACCACGAATGCCTCAAAGAGGTCCAAATATCCAGTTGCAGACAATACAAACTGAGTGTTTCCAAAGTGCTCTATGAAAAGAAGTGTTAAACACTGTGAGTTCAATGCACACATCACAAAGCAGTTTCTGAGAATGATTCCGTCTATTTTTTCTACGAAGATATTTCCTTTTCTACCGTTGGCCTCAAAGCACTTGAATTCTCCACTTGCAAATACCACAAAAAGAGAGTTTCAAATCTGCTGTTTCTAAAGGAAGGTTCAAATCTGAGAGTTGAATACACACCAGAAAAAGCAGTTACTGAGAAGTCTTCTGTCTAGCATTATATGAAGAAATCCCATTTCCAACCGAAGACTTCAAAGAGGTCCAAATATCCACTTGCAGATTCTGCAAAAAGAGTGTTTCGAAACAACTCTATGAAAAGAAAGGTTAAACACTGTGAGTTGAACGCACACATTGCAAAGCGGTTTCTGAGAATGATTCCGTCTAATTATTATACGAAGGTATTTCCTTTTCTATCATTGGCCTCAAAGCGCTTGATACCTCCACCTGAAAATTCCACAAAAAGAGTGTTTCCAATCTACTCTGTCTAAAGGAACGTTCAACTCTGTGAGTTGAATACACACACACAGAAAGAATTCACTGAGAATTCTTCTGTCTGGCATTACATGAAGAAATCCCGTTTCCAACGAAGGCCTCAAAGAGGTCCAAATATCCACTTGCAGATTCTGCAAAAAGAGTGTTTCAAAACCGCTCCATTAAAAGGAATGTTGAACTCTGTGAGTTGAATGGAAACATCACAACTCAGTTGCTGAGAATGCTTCTGACTAGATTTTATGGTAAGATATTTCCTTTTCTACCGTAGGCTTCAATGCCCTCTAAATACACCCTTGCAAATTCTACAAAGAGACTGTTTCATAACTGCTCTATAGGAAGAAAGGTTCAACTCTGTGAGTTGAATGCAGAGATCACAACGTGGTTTCTGCGAATGATTCTTTGTAGTTTTTACATGAAGATATTTCGTTGTCAACCGTAGGCTTCAAAGCACTCAAAGTATTCACTTGGAACTTTTACAAAAAGAGTGTTAGAAAACTGCTCTTTCCAAAGTAAGGTTCAACTCTGTGAGTTGAATGCACACATAACAATCAAGAAGTTTCTGAGAATTCTTCTGTCCTGGTTTATATGAACAAATCCCGTTTCCAACGAAGGCCTCAAAGACGTTTAAATATCCACTTGCAGACTTCAAAAACAGAGTGTTTCCAAACTGCTCTATGAAAAGAAAGGTTAAACTCTGTGAGTTGAACGCACACATCACAAAGTAGTTTCTGAGAATGATACTGTCTAGTTTTTATACGAAGATATTTCCTTTCTACCATTGGCGTCAAAGCGCTAGAATTCTCCACTTGCAAATTCCACAAAAAGAGTGTTTCCAATCTGCTCTGTCTAAAGGAAGGTTCAACTCTGTGAGTTGAATACACACACACAAAGAAGCTACTGAGAATTCTTTTGTCAAGAATTATAAGAAGAAATCCCGTTTCCAACGAAGGCCTCAAAGAGTTCCAAATATCCACTTGCACACTGCACAAACTAAGTCTTTCCAAACTGCTCTATGCAAAGAAATGTTCAACTCTGTGAGTTTAATACACACATCACAAAGCAGTTTCTGAGAATGATACTGTCTAGTTTTTATACGAAGATATTTCCTTTTGTACCATTGGCCTCATACTGCTAGAATTTTCCACTTGCAAATTCCACAAAAAGAGTGTTTCCAATCCGCTCTGTCTAAAGGAAGGTTCAACTCTCTGATTTGAATACATACATCCCAAAAGAAGTTACTGAGAATTCTTCTGTCTAGCATTATGTGAAGAAATCCCGTTTCCAACGAAAGCCTCAAAGAGGTCCAAATATCCAGTTGCAGAATTTACAAACTGACTGTTTCCAAACTCATCTATGAAAAGAAAGGTTAAACTCTGGGAGTTGAATGCACATATCACAAAGTAGTTCCTGAGAATGATTCTGTCTAGTTTTTATACGAAGATATTTCCTTTTCCACCAATGGCCTCAAAGTGCTTGAAATCTCCCCTTGCAAATTCCACAGACAAGTGTTTCAAATCTGCACTGTCTAAAGGAAGGTTCAACCCTGTGAGTTGAATACACACACACAGAAAAAAATTCACTGAGAATTCTATTGTCTATCATGACACGAAGAAATCCCGTTTACTACGAAAGCCTCAAAGAGGTCCAAATATCCAGCTGCAGACATTACAAACTGAGTGTTTCCAAAGTGCTCTATGAAAAGAAGTGTTAAACACTGTGAGTTCAATGCACACATCCCAAAGCAGTTTCTGAGAATGATTCCGTCTATTTTTTCTACGAAGATATTTCCTTTTCTGCCGTTGGCCTCAAAGCGCTTGAAATCTCCACTTGCAAATTCCACAAAAAGAGAGTTTCAAATCTGCTCTGTCTAAAGGAAGGTTCAACTCTGTGAGTTGAATACACACCACAAAAAGAAGTTACTGAGAATTCTTCTGTCTAGCATTATATGAAAAATCCCGTTTCCAACGAAGGCCACAAAGAGGTCCAAATATCCACTTGCAGATTCTGCAAAAAGAGTGTTTCCAAACTGCTCTATGAAAAGAAACGTTAAACTCTGTGAGTTGAACGCAAACATCACAAAGTAGTTTCTGAGAATGACTCCGTCTAGTTTTTATACGAAGATATTTCCTTTCCTACCATTCACTTCAAAGCGCTTGAAGTCTCCCCCTGAAAATTCCACAAAAAGTGTTTCCAATCTGCTCCGCCTAAAGGAAGCTTCAACTCTGTGACTTGAATACCCACAACCCAAAGAAGTTACTGAGAATTCTTCTGTCTAGCATTATATGAAGAAATCCCGTTTCCAACGAAGGCCTCAAATACATCCAAATATCCAGTTGCTGACTTTACAAACTGAGTGTTTCCAAACTGCTCTATGAAAAGAAAGGTTAAACACTGTGAGTTGAACACACACGTACCAAAGTAGTTTCTGAGAATGATTCTGTCTAGTTTGCATACGAAGATATTTCCTTTTCTACCATTGGCCTCAAAGCTCTGAAATCTCCACTTGCAAATTCCACAAAAAGAGAGTTTCAAATCTGCTGTTTCTAAAGGAAAGTTCAACTCTGAGAGTTGAATACACACCAGAAAAAGCAGTTACTGAGAAGTCTTCTGTCTAGCATTATATGAAGAAATCCCATTTCCAACGAAGACTTCAAAGAGGTCCAAATATCCACTTGCAGATTCTGCAAAAAGAGTGTTTCGAAACAACTGTATGAAAAGAAAGGTTAAACACTGTGAGTTGAACGCACACATTGCAAAGCAGTTTCTGAGAATGATTCCGTCTAATTATTATACGAAGGTATTTCCTTTTCTATCATTGGCCTCAAAGCGCTTGATACCTCCACCTGAAAATTCCACAAAAAGAGTGTTTCCAATCTACTCTGTCTAAAGGAACGTTCAACTCTGTGAGTTGAATACACACACACAGAAAGAATTCACTGAGAATTCTTCTGTCTGGCATTACATGAAGAAATCCCGTTTCCAACGAAGGCCTCAAAGAGGTCCAAATATCCACTTGCAGATTCTGCAAAAAGAGTGTTTCAAAACCGCTCCATTAAAAGGAATGTTGAACTCTGTGAGTTGAATGCAAACATCACAACTCAGTTTCTGAGAATGCTTCTGACTAGATTTTATGGTAAGATATTTCCTTTTCTACCGTAGGCTTCAATGCCCTCTAAATACACCCTTGCAAATTCTACAAAGAGACTGTTTCATAACTGCTCTATAGGAAGAAAGGTTGAACTCTGTGAGTTGACTGCAGAGATCACAACGTGGTTTCTGCGAATGATTCTTTGTAGTTTTTACATGAAGAATATTTCGTTGTCTACCGTAGGCTTCAAAGCACTCAAAGTATTCACTTGGAACTTTTACAAAAAGAGTGTTAGAAAACTGCTCTTTCCAAAGTAAGGTTCAACTCTGTGAGTTGAATGCACACATAACAAACAAGAAGTTTCTGAGAATCCTTCTGTCCTGGTTTATATGAAAAAATCCCGTTTCCAACGAAGGCCTCAAAGACGTTTAAATATCCACTTGCAGACTTCACAAACAGAGGGTTTCCAAACTGCTCTATGAAAAGAAAGGTTAAACTCTGTGAGTTGAACGCACACATCACAAAGTAGCTTCTGAGAATGATACTGTCTAGTTTTTATACGAAGATATTTCCTTTCTACCATTGGCGTCAAAGCGCTAGAATTCTCCACTTGCAAATTCCACAAAAAGAGTGTTTCCAATCTGCTCTGTCTAAAGGAAGGTTCAACTCTGTGAGTTGAATACACACACACAAAGAAGCTACTGAGAATTCTTCTGTCTGGCATTACATGAAGAAATCCCGTTTCCAACGAAGGCCTCAAAGAGTTCCAAATATCCACTTGCACACTGCACAAACTAAGTCTTTCCAAACTGCTCTATGCAAAGAAATGTTCAACTCTGTGAGTTTAATACACACATCACAAAGCAGTTTCTGAGAATGATACTGTCTAGTTTTTATACGAAGATATTTCCTTTTGTACCATTGGCCTCATACTGCTAGAGTTTTCCACTTGCAAATTCCACAAAAAGAGTGTTTCCAATCCGCTCTGTCTAAAGGAAGGTTCAACTCTCTGATTTGAATACATACATCCCAAAAGAAGTTACTGAGAATTCTTCTGTCTAGCATTATGTGAAGAAATCCCGTTTCCAACGAAAGCCTCAAAGAGGTCCAAATATCCAGTTGCAGAATTTACAAACTGACTGTTTCCAAACTCATCTATGAAAAGAAAGGTTAAACTCTGGGAGTTGAATGCACATATCACAAAGTAGTTCCTGAGAATGATTCTGTCTAGTTTTCATACGAAGATATTTCCTTTTCCACCAATGGCCTCAAAGTGCTTGAAATCTCCCCTTGCAAATTCCACAGACAAGTGTTTCAAATCTGCACTGTCTAAAGGAAGGTTCAACCCTGTGAGTTGAATACACACACACAGAAAAAAATTCACTGAGAATTCTATTGTCTATCATTACACGAAGAAATCCCGTTTACTACGAAGGCCTCAAAGAGGTCCAAATATCCAGCTGCAGACATTACAAACTGAGTGTTTCCAAAGTGCTCTGTGAAAAGAAGTGTTAAACACTGTGAGTTCAATGCACACATCCCAAAGCAGTTTCTGAGAATGATTCCGTCTATTTTTTCTACGAAGATATTTCCTTTTCTACCGTTGGCCTCAAAGCGCTTGAAATCTCCACTTGCAAATTCCACGAAAAGAGAGTTTCAAATCTGCTCTGTCTAAAGGAAGGTTCAACTCTGTGAGTTGAATACACACCACAAAAAGAAGTTACTGAGAATTCTTCCTGTCTAGCATTATATGAAAAATCCCGTTTCCAACGAAGGCCACAAAGAGGTCCAAATATCCACTTGCAGATTCTGCAAAAAGAGTGTTTCCAAACTGCTCTATGAAAAGAAACGTTAAACTCTGTGAGTTGAACGCAAACATCACAAAGTAGTTTCTGAGAATGACTCCGTCTAGTTTTTATACGAAGATATTTCCTTTCCTACCATTCACTTCAAAGCGCTTGAAGTCTCCCCCTGAAAATTCCACAAAAAGTGTTTCCAATCTGCTCCGCCTAAAGGAAGCTTCAACTCTGTGAGTTGAATACCCACAACCCAAAGAAGTTACTGAGAATTCTTCTGTCTAGCATTATATGAAGAAATCCCGTTTCCAACGAAGGCCTCAAATACATCCAAATATCCAGTTGCTGACTTTACAAACTGAGTGTTTCCAAACTGCTCTATGAAAAGAAAGGTTAAACACTGTGAGTTGAACACACACGTACCAAAGTAGTTTCTGAGAATGATTCTGTCTAGTTTGCATACGAAGATATTTCCTTTTCTACCATTGGCCTCAAAGCTCTGAAATCTCCACTTGCAAATTCCACAAAAAGAGAGTTTCAAATCTGCTGTTTCTAAAGGAAAGTTCAACTCTGAGAGTTGAATACACACCAGAAAAAGCAGTTACTGAGAAGTCTTCTGTCTAGCATTATATGAAGAAATCCCATTTCCAACGAAGACTTCAAAGAGGTCCAAATATCCACTTGCAGATTCTGCAAAAAGAGTGTTTCGAAACAACTGTATGAAAAGAAAGGTTAAACACTGTGAGTTGAACGCACACATTGCAAAGCGGTTTCTGAGAATGATTCCGTCTAATTATTATACGAAGGTATTTCCTTTTCTATCATTGGCCTCAAAGCGCTTGATACCTCCACCTGAAAATTCCACAAAAAGAGTGTTTCCAATCTACTCTGTCTAAAGGAACGTTCAACTCTGTGAGTTGAATACACACACACAGAAAGAATTCACTGAGAATTCTTCTGTCTGGCATTACATGAAGAAATCCCGTTTCCAACGAAGGCCTCAAAGAGGTCCAAATATCCACTTGCAGATTCTGCAAAAAGAGTGTTTCAAAACCGCTCCATTAAAAGGAATGTTGAACTCTGTGAGTTGAATGCAAACATCACAACTCAGTTTCTGAGAATGCTTCTGACTAGATTTTATGGTAAGATATTTCCTTTTCTACCGTAGGCTTCAATGCCCTCTAAATACACCCTTGCAAATTCTACAAAGAGACTGTTTCATAACTGCTCTATAGGAAGAAAGGTTCAACTCTGTGAGTTGAATGCAGAGATCACAACGTGGTTTCTGCGAATGATTCTTTGTAGTTTTTACATGAAGATATTTCGTTGTCAACCGTAGGCTTCAAAGCACTCAAAGTATTCACTTGGAACTTTTACAAAAAGAGTGTTAGAAAACTGCTCTTTCCAAAGTAAGGTTCAACTGCTGTGAGTTGAATGCACACATAACAATCAAGAAGTTTCTGAGAATTCTTCTGTCCTGGTTTATATGAAAAAATCCCGTTTCCAACGAAGGCCTCAAAGACGTTTAAATATCCACTTGCAGACTTCACAAACAGAGGGTTTCCAAACTGCTCTATGAAAAGAAAGGTTAAACTCTGTGAGTTGAACGCACACATCACAAAGTAGTTTCTGAGAATGATACTGTCTAGTTTTTATACGAAGATATTTCCTTTCTACCATTGGCGTCAAAGCGCTAGAATTCTCCACTTGCAAATTCCACAAAAAGAGTGTTTCCAATCTGCTCTGTCTAAAGGAAGGTTCAACTCTGTGAGTTGAATACACACACACAAAGAAGCTACTGAGAATTCTTTTGTCAAGAATTATAAGAAGAAATCCCGTTTCCAACGAAGGCCTCAAAGAGTTCCAAATATCCACTTGCACACTGCACAAACTAAGTCTTTCCAAACTGCTCTATGCAAAGAAATGTTCAACTCTGTGAGTTTAATACACACATCACAAAGCAGTTTCTGAGAATGATACTGTCTAGTTTTTATACGAAGATATTTCCTTTTGTACCATTGGCCTCATACTGCTAGAATTTTCCACTTGCAAATTCCACAAAAAGAGGGTTTCCAATCCGCTCTGTCTAAAGGAAGGTTCAACTCTCTGATTTGAATACATACATCCCAAAAGAAGTTACTGAGAATTCTTCTGTCTAGCATTATGTGAAGAAATCCCGTTTCCAACGAAAGCCTCAAAGAGGTCCAAATATCCAGTTGCAGAATTTACAAACTGACTGTTTCCAAACTCATCTATGAAAAGAAAGGTTGAACTCTGGGAGTTGAATGCACATATCACAAAGTAGTTCCTGAGAATGATTCTGTCTAGTTTTCATACGAAGATATTTCCTTTTCCACCAATGGCCTCAAAGTGCTTGAAATCTCCCCTTGCAAATTCCACAGACAAGTGTTTCAAATCTGCACTGTCTAAAGGAAGGTTCAACCCTGTGAGTTGAATACACACACACAGAAAAAAATTCACTGAGAATTCTATTGTCTATCATTACACGAAGAAATCCCGTTTACTACGAAGGCCTCAAAGAGGTCCAAATATCCAGCTGCAGACATTACAAACTGAGTGTTTCCAAAGTGCTCTATGAAAAGAAGTGTTAAACACTGTGAGTTCAATGCACACATCCCAAAGCAGTTTCTGAGAATGATTCCGTCTATTTTTTCTACGAAGATATTTCCTTTTCTGCCGTTGGCCTCAAAGCGCTTGAAATCTCCACTTGCAAATTCCACAAAAAGAGAGTTTCAAATCTGCTCTGTCTAAAGGAAGGTTCAACTCTGTGAGTTGAATACACACCACAAAAAGAAGTTACTGAGAATTCTTCTGTCTAGCATTATATGAAAAATCCCGTTTCCAACGAAGGCCACAAAGAGGTCCAAATATCCACTTGCAGATTCTGCAAAAAGAGTGTTTCCAAACTGCTCTATGAAAAGAAACGTTAAACTCTGTGAGTTGAACGCAAACATCACAAAGTAGTTTCTGAGAATGACTCCGTCTAGTTTTTATACGAAGATATTTCCTTTCCTACCATTCACTTCAAAGCGCTTGAAGTCTCCCCCTGAAAATTCCACAAAAAGTGTTTCCAATCTGCTCCGCCTAAAGGAAGCTTCAACTCTGTGACTTGAATACCCACAACCCAAAGAAGTTACTGAGAATTCTTCTGTCTAGCATTATATGAAGAAATCCCGTTTCCAACGAAGGCCTCAAATACATCCAAATATCCAGTTGCTGACTTTACAAACTGAGTGTTTCCAAACTGCTCTATGAAAAGAAAGGTTAAACACTGTGAGTTGAACACACACGTACCAAAGTAGTTTCTGAGAATGATTCTGTCTAGTTTGCATACGAAGATATTTCCTTTTCTACCATTGGCCTCAAAGCTCTGAAATCTCCACTTGCAAATTCCACAAAAAGAGAGTTTCAAATCTGCTGTTTCTAAAGGAAAGTTCAACTCTGAGAGTTGAATACACACCAGAAAAAGCAGTTACTGAGAAGTCTTCTGTCTAGCATTATATGAAGAAATCCCATTTCCAACGAAGACTTCAAAGAGGTCCAAATATCCACTTGCAGATTCTGCAAAAAGAGTGTTTCGAAACAACTGTATGAAAAGAAAGGTTAAACACTGTGAGTTGAACCGCACACATTGCAAAGCGGTTTCTGAGAATGATTCCGTCTAATTATTATACGAAGGTATTTCCTTTTCTATCATTGGCCTCAAAGCGCTTGATACCTCCACCTGAAAATTCCACAAAAAGAGTGTTTCCAATCTACTCTGTCTAAAGGAACGTTCAACTCTGTGAGTTGAATACACACACACAGAAAGAATTCACTGAGAATTCTTCTGTCTGGCATTACATGAAGAAATCCCGTTTCCAACGAAGGCCTCAAAGAGGTCCAAATATCCACTTGCAGATTCTGCAAAAAGAGGGTTTCAAAACCGCTCCATTAAAAGGAATGTTGAACTCTGTGAGTTGAATGCAAACATCACAACTCAGTTTCTGAGAATGCTTCTGACTAGATTTTATGGTAAGATATTTCCTTTTCCACCGTAGGCTTCAATGCCCTCTAAATACACCCTTGCAAATTCTACAAAGAGACTGCTTCATAACTGCTCTATAGGAGGAAAGGTTCAACTCTGTGAGTTGAATGCAGAGATCACAACGTGGTTTCTGCGAATGATTCTTTGTAGTTTTTACATGAAGATATTTCGTTGTCTACCGTAGGCTTCAAAGCACTCAAAGTATTCACTTGGAACTTTCACAAAAAGAGTGTTAGAAAACTGCTCTTTCCAAAGTAAGGTTCAACTCTGTGAGTTGAATGCACACATAACAAACAAGAAGTTTCTGAGAATTCTTCTGTCCTGGTTTATATGAAGAAATCCCGTTTCCAACGAAGGCCTCAAAGACGTTTAAATATCCACTTGCAGACTTCACAAACAGAGTGTTTCCAAACTGCTCTATGAAAAGAAAGGGTAAACACTGTGAGTTGAACGCACACATCACAAAGTAGTTTCTGAGAATGATACTGTCTAGTTTTTATACGAAGATATTTCCTTTTGTACCATTGGCCTCATACTGCTAGAATTTTCCACTTGCAAATTCCACAAAAAGAGTGTTTCCAATCTGCTCTGTCTAAAGGAAGGTTCAACTCTGTGAGTTGAGTACACACACACAAAGAAGCTACTGAGAATTCTTTGTCAAGAATTATAAGAAGAAATCCCGTTTCCAACGAAGGGCCTCAAAGAGTTCCAAATATCCACTTGCACACTGCACAAACTAAGTCTTTCCAAACTGCTCTATGCAAAGAAATGTTCAACTCTGTGAGTTTAATACACACATCACAAAGCAGTTTCTGAGAATGATACTGTCTAGTTTTTATACGAAGATATTTCCTTTTGTACCATTGGCCTCATACTGCTAGAATTTTCCACTTGCAAATTCCACAAAAAGAGTGTTTCCAATCCGCTCTGTCTAAAGGAAGGTTCAACTCTCTGATTTGAATACATACATCCCAAAAGAAGTTACTGAGAATTCTTCTGTCTAGCATTATGTGAAGAAATCCCGTTTCCAACGAAAGCCTCAAAGAGGTCCAAATATCCAGTTGCAGAATTTACAAACTGACTGTTTCCAAACTCATCTATGAAAAGAAAGGTTAAACTCTGGGAGTTGAATGCACATATCACAAAGTAGTTCCTGAGAATGATTCTGTCTAGTTTTTATACGAAGATATTTCCTTTTCCACCAATGGCCTCAAAGTGCTTGAAATCTCCCCTTGCAAATTCCACAGACAAGTGTTTCAAATCTGCACTGTCTAAAGGAAGGTTCAACCCTGTGAGTTGAATACACACACACAGAAAAAAATTCACTGAGAATTCTATTGTCTATCATTACACGAAGAAATCCCGTTTACTACGAAGGCCTCAAAGAGGTCCAAATATCCAGCTGCAGACATTACAAACTGAGTGTTTCCAAAGTGCTCTATGAAAAGAAGTGTTAAACACTGTGAGTTCAATGCACACATCCCAAAGCAGTTTCTGAGAATGATTCCGTCTATTTTTTCTACGAAGATATTTCCTTTTCTGCCGTTGGCCTCAAAGCGCTTGAAATCTCCACTTGCAAATTCCACAAAAAGAGAGTTTCAAATCTGCTCTGTCTAAAGGAAGGTTCAACTCTGTGAGTTGAATACACACCACAAAAAGAAGTTACTGAGAATTCTTCTGTCTAGCATTATATGAAAAATCCCGTTTCCAACGAAGGCCACAAAGAGGTCCAAATATCCACTTGCAGATTCTGCAAAAAGAGTGTTTCCAAACTGCTCTATGAAAAGAAACGTTAAACTCTGTGATTTGAACGCAAACATCACAAAGTAGTTTCTGAGAATGACTCCGTCTAGTTTTTATACGAAGATATTTCCTTTCCTACCATTCACTTCAAAGCGCTTGAAGTCTCCCCCTGAAAATTCCACAAAAAGTGTTTCCAATCTGCTCCGCCTAAAGGAAGCTTCAACTCTGTGACTTGAATACCCACAACCCAAAGAAGTTACTGAGAATTCTTCTGTCTAGCATTATATGAAGAAATCCCGTTTCCAACGAAGGCCTCAAATACATCCAAATATCCAGTTGCTGACTTTACAAACTGAGTGTTTCCAAACTGCTCTATGAAAAGAAAGGTTAAACACTGTGAGTTGAACACACACGTACCAAAGTAGTTTCTGAGAATGATTCTGTCTAGTTTGCATACGAAGATATTTCCTTTTCTACCATTGGCCTCAAAGCTCTGAAATCTCCACTTGCAAATTCCACAAAAAGAGAGTTTCAAATCTGCTGTTTCTAAAGGAAAGTTCAACTCTGAGAGTTGAATACACACCAGAAAAAGCAGTTACTGAGAAGTCTTCTGTCTAGCATTATATGAAGAAATCCCATTTCCAACGAAGACTTCAAAGAAGTCCAAATATCCACTTGCAGATTCTGCAAAAAGAGTGTTTCAAAACAACTGTATGAAAAGAAAAGTTAAACACTGTGAGTTGAACGCACACATTGCAAAGCAGTTTCTGAGAATGATTCCGTCTAATTATTATACGAAGGTATTTCCTTTTCTATCATTGGCCTCAAAGCGCTTGATACCTCCACCTGAAAATTCCACAAAAAGAGTGTTTCCAATCTACTCTGTCTAAAGGAACGTTCAACTCTGTGAGTTGAATACACACACACAGAAAGAATTCACTGAGAATTCTTCTGTCTGGCATTACATGAAGAAATCCCGTTTCCAACGAAGGCCTCAAAGAGGTCCAAATATCCACTTGCAGATTCTGCAAAAAGAGTGTTTCAAAACCGCTCCATTAAAAGGAATGTTGAACTCTGTGAGTTGAATGCAAACATCACAACTCAGTTGCTGAGAATGCTTCTGACTAGATTTTATGGTAAGATATTTCCTTTTCTACCGTAGGCTTCAATGCCCTCTAAATACACCCTTGCAAATTCTACAAAGAGACTGTTTCATAACTGCTCTATAGGAAGAAAGGTTCAACACTGTGAGTTGAATGCAGAGATCACAACGTGGTTTCTGCGAATGATTCTTTGTAGTTTTTACATGAAGATATTTCGTTGTCAACCGTAGGCTTCAAAGCACTCAAAGTATTCACTTGGAACTTTTACAAAAAGAGTGTTAGAAAACTGCTCTTTCCAAAGTAAGGTTCAACTCTGTGAGTTGAATGCACACATAACAATCAAGAAGTTTCTGAGAATTCTTCTGTCCTGGTTTATATGAAAAAATCCCGTTTCCAACGAAGGCCTCAAAGACGTTTAAATATCCACTTGCAGACTTCACAAACAGAGGGTTTCCAAACTGCTCTATGAAAAGAAAGGTTAAACTCTGTGAGTTTAATACACACATCACAAAGCAGTTTCTGAGAATGATACTGTCTAGTTTTTATACGAAGATATTTCCTTTTGTACCATTGGCCTCATACTGCTAGAATTTTCCACTTGCAAATTCCACAAAAAGAGTGTTTCCAATCCGCTCTGTCTAAAGGAAGGTTCAACTCTCTGATTTGAATACATACATCCCAAAAGAAGTTACTGAGAATTCTTCTGTCTAGCATTATGTGAAGAAATCCCGTTTCCAACGAAAGCCTCAAAGAGGTCCAAATATCCAGTTGCAGAATTTACAAACTGACTGTTTCCAAACTCATCTATGAAAAGAAAGGTTAAACTCTGTGAGTTGAATGCACATATCACAAAGTAGTTCCTGAGAATGATTCTGTCTAGTTTTCATACGAAGATATTTCCTTTTCCACCAATGGCCTCAAAGTGCTTGAAATCTCCCCTTGCAAATTCCACAGACAAGTGTCTCAAATCTGCACTGTCTAAAGGAAGGTTCAACCCTGTGAGTTGAATACACACACACAGAAAAAAATTCACTGAGAATTCTATTGTCTATCATTACACGAAGAAATCCCGTTTACTACGAAGGCCTCAAAGAGGTCCAAATATCCAGCTGCAGACATTACAACCTGAGTGTTTCCAAAGTGCTCTATGAAAAGAAGTGTTAAACACTGTGAGTTCAATGCACACATCCCAAAGCAGTTTCTGAGAATGATTCCGTCTATTTTTTCTACGAAGATATTTCCTTTTCTGCCGTTGGCCTCAAAGCGCTTGAAATCTCCACTTGCAAATTCCACAAAAAGAGAGTTTCAAATCTGCTCTGTCTAAAGGAAGGTTCAACTCTGTGAGTTGAATACACACCACAAAAAGAAGTTACTGAGAATTCTTCTGTCTAGCATTATATGAAAAATCCCGTTTCCAACGAAGGCCACAAAGAGGTCCAAATATCCACTTGCAGATTCTGCAAAAAGAGTGTTTCCAAACTGCTCTATGAAAAGAAACGTTAAACTCTGTGAGTTGAACGCAAACATCACAAAGTAGTTTCTGAGAATGACTCCGTCTAGTTTTTATACCGAAGATATTTCCTTTCCTACCATTCACTTCAAAGCGCTTGAAGTCTCCCCCTGAAAATTCCACAAAAAGTGTTTCCAATCTGCTCCGCCTAAAGGAAGCTTCAACTCTGTGACTTGAATACCCACAACCCAAAGAAGTTACTGAGAATTCTTCTGTCTAGCATTATATGAAGAAATCCCGTTTCCAACGAAGGCCTCAAATACATCCAAATATCCAGTTGCTGACTTTACAAACTGAGTGTTTCCAAACTGCTCTATGAAAAGAAAGGTTAAACACTGTGAGTTGAACACACACGTACCAAAGTAGTTTGCTGAGAATGATTCTGTCTAGTTTGCATACGAAGATATTTCCTTTTCTACCATTGGCCTCAAAGCTTTGAAATCTCCACTTGCAAATTCCACAAAAAGAGAGTTTCAACTCTGCTGTTTCTAAAGGAAAGTTCAACTCTGAGAGTTGAATACACACCAGAAAAAGCAGTTACTGAGAAGTCTTCTGTCTAGCATTATATGAAGAAATCCCATTTCCAACGAAGACTTCAAAGAGGTCCAAATATCCACTTGCAGATTCTGCAAAAAGAGTGTTTCGAAACAAAACTGTATGAAAAGAAAGGTTAAACACTGTGAGTTGAACGCACACATTGCAAAGCAGTTTCTGAGAATGATTCCGTCTAATTATTATACGAAGGTATTTCCTTTTCTATCATTGGCCTCAAAGCGCTTGATACCTCCACCTGAAAATTCCACAAAAAGAGTGTTTCCAATCTACTCTGTCTAAAGGAACGTTCAACTCTGTGAGTTGAATACACACACACAGAAAGAATTCACTGAGAATTCTTCTGTCTGGCATTACATGAAGAAATCCCGTTTCCAACGAAGGCCTCAAAGAGGTCCAAATATCCACTTGCAGATTCTGCAAAAAGAGTGTTTCAAAACCGCTCCATTAAGAGGAATGTTGAACTCTGTGAGTTGAATGCAAACATCACAACTCAGTTTCTGAGAATGCTTCTGACTAGTATTTTATGGTAAGATATTTCCTTTTCTACCGTAGGCTTCAATGCCCTCTAAATACACCCTTGCAAATTCTACAAAGAGACTGTTTCATAACTGCTCTATAGGAAGAAAGGTTGAACTCTGTGAGTTGACTGCAGAGATCACAACGTGGTTTCTGCGAATGATTCTTTGTAGTTTTTACATGAAGATATTTCGTTGTCTACCGTAGGCTTCAAAGCACTCAAAGTATTCACTTGGAACTTTTACAAAAAGAGTGTTAGAAAACTGCTCTTTCCAAAGTAAGGTTCAACTCTGTGAGTTGAATGCACACATAACAAACAAGAAGTTTCTGAGAATTCTTCTGTCCTGGTTTATATGAAAAAATCCCGTTTCCAACGAAGGCCTCAAAGACGTTTAAATATCCACTTGCAGACTTCACAAACAGAGTGTTTCCAAACTGCTCTATGAAAAGAAAGGTTAAACTCTGTGAGTTGAACGCACACATCACAAAGTAGTTTCTGAGAATGATACTGTCTAGTTTTTATACGGAGATATTTCCTTTCCTTCCATTGGCGTCAAAGCGCTAGAATTCTCCACTTGCAAATTCCACAAAAAGAGTGTTTCCAATCTGCTCTGTCTAAAGGAAGGTTCAACTCTGTGAGTTGAATACACACACACAAAGAAGCTACTGAGAATTCTTTTGTCAAGAATTATAAGAAGAAATCCCGTTTCCAACGAAGGCCTCAAAGAGTTCCAAATATCCACTTGCACACTGTACAAACTAAGTCTTTCCAAACTGCTCTATGCAAAGAAATGTTCAACTCTGTGAGTTTAATGCACACATCACAAAGCAGTTTCTGAGAATGATTCCCTCTAGTTTTTATACGAAGATAGCCTTTTCTACCATTGGCCTCAAGGCTCTTGGAATCTCCACCTGAAAATTCCGCAAAAAGCGTGTTTCCAATCCGCTCTGTCTAAAGGAAGGTTCAACTCTCTGAGTTGAATACATACATCCCAAAAGAAGTTACTGAGAATTCTTCTGTCTAGCATTATGTGAAGAAATCCCGTTTCCAACGAAAGCCTCAAAGAGGTCCAAATATCCAGTTGCAGAATTTACAAACTGACTGTTTCCAAACTCATCTATGAAAAGAAAGGTTAAACTCTGTGAGTTGAATGCACATATCACAAAGTAGTTCCTGACAATGACTCTGTCTAGTTTTTATACGAAGATATTCCCTTTTCCACCAATGGCCACAAAGTGCTTGAAATCTCCCCTTGCAAATTCCACAGAAAAGTGTTTCAAATCTGTACTGTCTGAAGGAAGGTTCAACCCTGTGAGTTGAATACACACACACAGAAAAAAATTCACTGAGAATTCTATTGTCTATCATTACCCGAAGAAATCCCGTTTACTACGAAGGCCTCAAAGAGGTCCAAATATCCAGCTGCAGACATTCCAAACTGACTGTTTCCAAAGTGCTCTATGAAAAGAAGTGTTAAACACTGTGAGTTCAATGCACACATCCCAAAGCAGTTTCTGAGAATGATTCCGTCTATTTTTTCTACGAAGATATTTCCTTTTCTACCGTTGGCCTCAAAGCGCTTGAAATCTCCACTTGCAAATTCCACAAAAAGAGAGTTTCAAATCTGCTCTGTCTAAAGGAAGGTTCAACTCTGTGAGTTGAATACACACCACAAAAAGAAGTTACTGAGAATTCTTCTGTCTAGCATTATATGAAAAATCCCGTTTCCAACGAAGGCCACAAAGAGGTCCAAATATCCACTTGCAGATTCTGCAAAAAGAGTGTTTCCAAACTGCTCTATGAAAAGAAACGTTAAACTCTGTGAGTTGAACGCAAACATCACAAAGTAGTTTCTGAGAATGACTCCGTCTAGTTTTTATACGAAGATATTTCCTTTCCTACCATTCACTTCAAAGCGCTTGAAGTCTCCCCCTGAAAATTCCACAAAAAGTGTTTCCAATCTGCTCCGCCTAAAGGAAGCTTCAACTCTGTGAGTTGAATACCCACAACCCAAAGAAGTTACTGAGAATTCTTCTGTCTAGCATTATATGAAGAAATCCCGTTTCCAACGAAGGCCTCAAATACATCCAAATATCCAGTTGCTGACTTTACAAACTGAGTGTTTCCAAACTGCTCTATGAAAAGAAAGGTTAAACACTGTGAGTTGAACACACACGTACCAAAGTAGTTTCTGAGAATGATTCTGTCTAGTTTGCATACAAAGATATTTCCTTTTCTACCACTGGCCTCAAAGCTTTGAAATCTCCACTTGCAAATTCCACAAAAAGAGAGTTTCAAATCTGCTGTTCCTAAAGGAAAGTTCAACTCTGAGAGTTGAATACACACCAGAAAAAGCAGTTACTGAGAAGTCTTCTGTCTAGCATTATATGAAGAAATCCCATTTCCAACGAAGACTTCAAAGAGGTCCAAATATCCACTTGCAGATTCTGCAAAAAGAGTGTTTCGAAACAACTGTATGAAAAGAAAGGTTAAACACTGTGAGTTGAACGCACACATTGCAAAGCAGTTTCTGAGAATGATTCCGTCTAATTATTATACGAAGGTATTTCCTTTTCTATCATTGGCCTCAAAGCGCTTGATACCTCCACCTGAAAATTCCACAAAAAGAGTGTTTCCAATCTACTCTGTCTAAAGGAACGTTCAACTCTGTGAGTTGAATACACACACACAGAAAGAATTCACTGAGAATTCTTCTGTCTGGCATTACATGAAGAAATCCCGTTTCCAACGAAGGCCTCAAAGAGGTCCAAATATCCACTTGCAGATTCTGCAAAAAGAGTGTTTCAAAACCGCTCCATTAAAAGGAATGTTGAACTCTGTGAGTTGAATGCAAACATCACAACTCAGTTGCTGAGAATGCTTCTGACTAGATTTTATGGTAAGATATTTCCTTTTCTACCGTAGGCTTCAATGCCCTCTAAATACACCCTTGCAAATTCTACAAAGAGACTGTTTCATAACTGCTCTATAGGAAGAAAGGTTCAACTCTGTGAGTTGAATGCAGAGATCACAACGTTGGTTTCTGCGAATGATTCTTTGTAGTTTTTACATGAAGATATTTCGTTGTCAACCGTAGGCTTCAAAGCACTCAAAGTATTCACTTGGAACTTTTACAAAACGAGTGTTAGGAAACTGCTCTTTCCAAAGTAAGGTTCAACTCTGTGAGTTGAATGCACACATAACAATCAAGAAGTTTCTGAGAATTCTTCTGTCCTGGTTTATATGAAAAAATCCCGTTTCCAACGAAGGCCTCAAAGACGTTTAAATATCCACTTGCAGACTTCACAAACAGAGGGTTTCCAAACTGCTCTATGAAAAGAAAGGTTAAACTCTGTGAGTTGAACGCACACATCACAAAGTAGCTTCTGAGAATGATACTGTCTAGTTTTTATACGAAGATATTTCCTTTCTACCATTGGCGTCAAAGCGCTAGAATTCTCCACTTGCAAATTCCACAAAAAGAGTGTTTCCAATCTGCTCTGTCTAAAGGAAGGTTCAACTCTGTGAGTTGAATACACACACACAAAGAAGCTACTGAGAATTCTTTTTTCAAGAAATTATAAGAAGAAATCCCGTTTCCAACGAAGGCCTCAAAGAGTTCCAAATATCCACTTGCACACTGCACAAACTAAGTCTTTCCAAACTGCTCTATGCAAAGAAATGTTCAACTCTGTGAGTTTAATACACACATCACAAAGCAGTTTCTGAGAATGATACTGTCTAGTTTTTATACGAAGATATTTCCTTTTGTACCATTGGCCTCATACTGCTAGAATTTTCCACTTGCAAATTCCACAAAAAGAGGGTTTCCAATCCGCTCTGTCTAAAGGAAGGTTCAACTCTCTGATTTGAATACATACATCCCAAAAGAAGTTACTGAGAATTCTTCTGTCTAGCATTATGTGAAGAAATCCCGTTTCCAACGAAAGCCTCAAAGAGGTCCAAATATCCAGTTGCAGAATTTACAAACTGACTGTTTCCAAACTCATCTATGAAAAGAAAGGTTAAACTCTGTGAGTTGAATGCACATATCACAAAGTAGTTCCTGAGAATGATTCTGTCTAGTTTTCATACGAAGATATTTCCTTTTCCACCAATGGCCTCAAAGTGCTTGAAATCTCCCCTTGCAAATTCCACAGACAAGTGTCTCAAATCTGCACTGTCTAAAGGAAGGTTCAACCCTGTGAGTTGAATACACACACACAGAAACAAATTCACTGAGAATTCTATTGTCTATCATTACACGAAGAAATCCCGTTTACCACGAAGGCCTCAAAGAGGTCCAAATATCCAGCTGCAGACATTACAAACTGAGTGTTTCCAAAGTGCTCTATGAAAAGAAGTGTTAAACACTGTGAGTTCAATGCACACATCCCAAAGCAGTTTCTGAGAATGATTCCGTCTATTTTTTCTACGAAGATATTTCCTTTTCTGCCGTTGGCCTCAAAGCGCTTGAAATCTCCACTTGCAAATTCCACAAAAAGAGAGTTTCAAATCTGCTCTGTCTAAAGGAAGGTTCAACTCTGTGAGTTGAATACACACCACAAAAAGAAGTTACTGAGAATTCTTCTGTCTAGCATTATATGAAAAATCCCGTTTCCAACGAAGGCCACAAAGAGGTCCAAATATCCACTTGCAGATTCTGCAAAAAGAGTGTTTCCAAACTGCTCTATGAAAAGAAACGTTAAACTCTGTGAGTTGAACGCAAACATCACAAAGTAGTTTCTGAGAATGACTCCGTCTAGTTTTTATACGAAGATATTTCCTTTCCTACCATTCACTTCAAAGCGCTTGAAGTCTCCCCCTGAAAATTCCACAAAAAGTGTTTCCAATCTGCTCCGCCTAAAGGAAGCTTCAACTCTGTGACTTGAATACCCACAACCCAAAGAAGTTACTGAGAATTCTTCTGTCTAGCATTATATGAAGAAATCCCGTTTCCAACGAAGGCCTCAAATACATCCAAATATCCAGTTGCTGACTTTACAAACTGAGTGTTTCCAAACTGCTCTATGAAAAGAAAGGTTAAACACTGTGAGTTGAACACACACGTACCAAAGTAGTTTCTGAGAATGATTCTGTCTAGTTTGCATACGAAGATATTTCCTTTTCTACCATTGGCCTCAAAGCTCTGAAATCTCCACTTGCAAATTCCACAAAAAGAGAGTTTCAAATCTGCTGTTTCTAAAGGAAAGTTCAACTCTGAGAGTTGAATACACACCAGAAAAAGCAGTTACTGAGAAGTCTTCTGTCTAGCATTATATGAAGAAATCCCATTTCCAACGAAGACTTCAAAGAGGTCCAAATATCCACTTGCAGATTCTGCAAAAAGAGTGTTTCGAAACAACTGTATGAAAAGAAAGGTTAAACACTGTGAGTTGAACGCACACATTGCAAAGCGGTTTCTGAGAATGATTCCGTCTAATTATTATACGAAGGTATTTCCTTTTCTATCATTGGCCTCAAAGCGCTTGATACCTCCACCTGAAAATTCCACAAAAAGAGTGTTTCCAATCTACTCTGTCTAAAGGAACGTTCAACTCTGTGAGTTGAATACACACACACAGAAAGAATTCACTGAGAATTCTTCTGTCTGGCATTACATGAAGAAATCCCGTTTGCAACGAAGGCCTCAAAGAGGTCCAAATATCCACTTGCAGATTCTGCAAAAAGAGTGTTTCAAAACCGCTCCATTAAAAGGAATGTTGAACTCTGTGAGTTGAATGCAAACATCACAACTCAGTTTCTGAGAATGCTTCTGACTAGATTTTATGGTAAGATATTTCCTTTTCTACCGTAGGCTTCAATGCCCTCTAAATACACCCTTGCAAATTCTACAAAGAGACTGTTTCATAACTGCTCTATAGGAAGAAAGGTTGAACTCTGTGAGTTGAATGCAGAGATCACAACGTGGTTTCTGCGAATGATTCTTTGTAGTTTTTACATGAAGATATTTCGTTGTCAACCGTAGGCTTCAAAGCACTCAAAGTATTCACTTGGAACTTTTACAAAAAGAGTGTTAGAAAACTGCTCTTTCCAAAGTAAGGTTCAACTCTGTGAGTTGAATGCACACATAACAATCAAGAAGTTTCTGAGAATTCTTCTGTCCTGGTTTATATGAAAAAATCCCGTTTCCAACGAAGGCCTCAAAGACGTTTAAATATCCACTTGCAGACTTCACAAACAGAGTGTTTCCAAACTGCTCTATGAAAAGAAAGGTTAAACTCTGTGAGTTGAACGCACACATCACAAAGTAGTTTCTGAGAATGATACTGTCTAGTTTTTATACGAAGATATTTCCTTTCTACCATTGGCGTCAAAGCGCTAGAATTCTCCACTTGCAAATTCCACAAAAAGAGTGTTTCCAATCTGCTCTGTCTCAAGGAAGGTTCAACTCTGTGAGTTGAATACACACACACAAAGAAGCTACTGAGAATTCTTTTGTCAAGAATTATAAGAAGAAATCCCGTTTCCAACGAAGGCCTCAAAGAGTTCCAAATATCCACTTGCACACTGCACAAACTAAGTCTTTCCAAACTGCTCTATGCAAAGAAATGTTCAACTCTGTGAGTTTAATACACACATCACGAAGCAGTTTCTGAGAATGATACTGTCTAGTTTTTATACGAAGATATTTCCTTTTGTACCATTGGCCTCATACTGCTAGAATTTTCCACTTGCAAATTCCACAAAAGAGTGTTTCCAATCCGCTCTGTCTAAAGGAAGGTTCAACTCTCTGATTTGAATACATACATCCCAAAAGAAGTTACTGAGAATTCTTCTGTCTAGCATTATGTGAAGAAATCCCGTTTCCAACGAAAGCCTCAAAGAGGTCCAAATATCCAGTTGCAGAATTTACAAACTGACTGTTTCCAAACTCATCTATGAAAAGAAAGGTTAAACTCTGGGAGTTGAATGCACATATCACAAAGTAGTTCCTGAGAATGATTCTGTCTAGTTTTTATACGAAGATATTTCCTTTTCCACCAATGGCCTCAAAGTGCTTGAAATCTCCCCTTGCAAATTCCACAGACAAGTGTTTCAAATCTGCACTGTCTAAAGGAAGGTTCAACCCTGTGAGTTGAATACACACACACAGAAAAAAATTCACTGAGAATTCTATTGTCTATCATTACACGAAGAAATCCCGTTTACTACGAAGGCCTCAAAGAGGTCCAAATATCCAGCTGCAGACATTACAAACTGAGTGTTTCCAAAGTGCTCTATGAAAAGAAGTGTTAAACACTGTGAGTTCAATGCACGCATCCCAAAGCAGTTTCTGAGAATGATTCCGTCTATTTTTTCTACGAAGATATTTCCTTTTCTACCGTTGGCCTCAAAGCGCTTGAAATCTCCACTTGCAAATTCCACAAAAAGAGAGTTTCAAATCTGCTCTGTCTAAAGGAAGGTTCAACTCTGTGAGTTGAATACACACCACAAAAAGAAGTTACTGAGAATTCTTCTGTCTAGCATTATATGAAAAATCCCGTTTCCAACGAAGGCCACAAAGAGGTCCAAATATCCACTTGCAGATTCTGCAAAAAGAGTGTTTCCAAACTGCTCTATGAAAAGAAACGTTAAACTCTGTGAGTTGAACGCAAACATCACAAAGTAGTTTCTGAGAATGACTCCGTCTACTTTTTATACGAAGATATTTCCTTTTCTACCATTCACTTCAAAGCGCTTGAAGTCTCCCCCTGAAAATTCCACAAAAAGTGTTTCCAATCTGCTCCGCCTAAAGGAAGCTTCAACTCTGTGAGTTGTATACCCACAACCCAAAGAAGTTACTGAGAATTCTTCTGTCTAGCATTATATGAAGAAATCCCGTTTCCAACGAAGGCCTCAAATACATCCAAATATCCAGTTGCTGACTTTACAAACTGAGTGTTTCCAAACTGCTCTATGACAAGAAAGGTTAAACACTGTGAGTTGAACACACACGTACCAAAGTAGTTTCTGAGAATGATTCTGTCTAGTTTGCATACGAAGATATTTCCTTTTCTACCATTGACCTCAAAGCTCTGAAATCTCCACTTGCAAATTCCACAAAAAGAGAGTTTCAAATCTGC
Organism: Homo sapiens; assembly: GCF_000001405.40. NCBI lineage: Eukaryota > Metazoa > Chordata > Mammalia > Primates > Hominidae > Homo > Homo sapiens. Next base: position 92,054,040 of record NC_000003.12, on the reverse strand, counting down.
TGTTTCTAAAGGAAAGTTCAACTCTGAGAGTTGAATACACACCAGAAAAAGCAGTTACTGAGAAGTCTTCTGTCTAGCATTATATGAAGAAATCCCATTTCCAACGAAGACTTCAAAGAGGTCCAAATATCCACTTGCAGATTCTGCAAAAAGAGTGTTTCGAAACAACTGTATGAAAAGAAAGGTTAAACACTGTGAGTTGAACGCACACATTGCAAAGCGGTTTCTGAGAATGATTCCGTCTAATTATTATACGAAGGTATTTCCTTTTCTATCATTGGCCTCAAAGCGCTTGATACCTCCACCTGAAAATTCCACAAAAAGAGTGTTTCCAATCTACTCTGTCTAAAGGAACGTTCAACTCTGTGAGTTGAATACACACACACAGAAAGAATTCACTGAGAATTCTTCTGTCTGGCATTACATGAAGAAATCCCGTTTCCAACGAAGGCCTCAAAGAGGTCCAAATATCCACTTGCAGATTCTGCAAAAAGAGTGTTTCAAAACCGCTCCATTAAAAGGAATGTTGAACTCTGTGAGTTGAATGCAAACATCACAACTCAGTTTCTGAGAATGCTTCTGACTAGATTTTATGGTAAGATATTTCCTTTTCTACCGTAGGCTTCAATGCCCTGTAAATACACCCTTGCAAATTCTACAAAGAGACTGCTTCATAACTGCTCTATAGGAGGAAAGGTTCAACTCTGTGAGTTGAATGCAGAGATCACAACGTGGTTTCTGCGAATGATTCTTTGTAGTTTTTACATGAAGATATTTCGTTGTCTACCGTAGGCTTCAAAGCACTCAAAGTATTCACTTGGAACTTTCACAAAAAGAGTGTTAGAAAACTGCTCTTTCCAAAGTAAGGTTCAACTCTGTGAGTTGAATGCACACATAACAAACAAGAAGTTTCTGAGAATTCTTCTGTCCTGGTTTATAGGAAAAAATCCCGTTTCCAACGAAGGCCTCAAAGACGTTTAAATATCCACTTGCAGACTTCACAAACAGAGTGTTTCCAAACTGCTCTATGAAAAGAAAGGTTAAACTCTGTGAGTTGAACGCACACATCACAAAGTAGTTTCTGAGAATGATACTGTCTAGTTTATATACCGAAGATATTTCCTTTCTACCATTGGCGTCAAAGCGCTAGAATTCTCCACTTGCAAATTCCACAAAAAGAGTGTTTCCAATCTGCTCTGTCTAAAGGAAGGTTCAACTCTGTGAGTTGAATACACACACACAAAGAAGCTACTGAGAATTCTTTTGTCAAGAATTATAAGAAGAAATCCCGTTTCCAACGAAGGCCTCAAAGAGTTCCAAATATCCACTTGCACACTGCACAAACTAAGTCTTTCCAAACTGCTCTATGCAAAGAAATGTTCAACTCTGTGAGTTTAATACACACATCACAAAGCAGTTTCTGAGAATGATACTGTCTAGTTTTTATACGAAGATATTTCCTTTTGTACCATTGGCCTCATACTGCTAGAATTTTCCACTTGCAAATTCCACAAAAAGAGTGTTTCCAATCCGCTCTGTCTAAAGGAAGGTTCAACTCTCTGATTTGAATACATACATCCCAAAAGAAGTTACTGAGAATTCTTCTGTCTAGCATTATGTGAAGAAATCCCGTTTCCAACGAAAGCCTCAAAGAGGTCCAAATATCCAGTTGCAGAATTTACAAACTGACTGTTTCCAAACTCATCTATGAAAAGAAAGGTTAAACTCTGTGAGTTGAATGCACATATCACAAAGTAGTTCCTGAGAATGATTCTGTCTAGTTTTCATACGAAGATATTTCCTTTTCCACCAATGGCCTCAAAGTGCTTGAAATCTCCCCTTGCAAATTCCACAGACAAGTGTTTCAAATCTGCACTGTCTAAAGGAAGGTTCAACCCTGTGAGTTGAATACACACACACAGAAAAAAATTCACTGAGAATTCTATTGTCTATCATTACACGAAGAAATCCCGTTTACTACGAAGGCCTCAAAGAGGTCCAAATATCCAGCTGCAGACATTACAAACTGAGTGTTTCCAAAGTGCTCTATGAAAAGAAGTGTTAAACACTGTGAGTTCAATGCACACATCCCAAAGCAGTTTCTGAGAATGATTCCGTCTATTTTCTCTACGAAGATATTTCCTTTTCTGCCGTTGGCCTCAAAGCGCTTGAAATCTCCACTTGCAAATTCCACAAAAAGAGAGTTTCAAATCTGCTCTGTCTAAAGGAAGGTTCAACTCTGTGAGTTGAATACACACCACAAAAAGAAGTTACTGAGAATTCTTCTGTCTAGCATTATATGAAAAATCCCGTTTCCAACGAAGGCCACAAAGAGGTCCAAATATCCACTTGCAGATTCTGCAAAAAGAGTGTTTCCAAACTGCTCTATGAAAAGAAACGTTAAACTCTGTGAGTTGAACGCAAACATCACAAAGTAGTTTCTGAGAATGACTCCGTCTAGTTTTTATACGAAGATATTTCCTTTCCTACCATTCACTTCAAAGCGCTTGAAGTCTCCCCCTGAAAATTCCACAAAAAGTGTTTCCAATCTGCTCCGCCTAAAGGAAGCTTCAACTCTGTGACTTGAATACCCACAACCCAAAGAAGTTACTGAGAATTCTTCTGTCTAGCATTATATGAAGAAATCCCGTTTCCAACGAAGGCCTCAAATACATCCAAATATCCAGTTGCTGACTTTACAAACTGAGTGTTTCCAAACTGCTCTATGAAAAGAAAGGTTAAACACTGTGAGTTGAACACACACGTACCAAAGTAGTTTCTGAGAATGATTCTGTCTAGTTTGCATACGAAGATATTTCCTTTTCTACCATTGGCCTCAAAGCTTTGAAATCTCCACTTGCAAATTCCACAAAAAGAGAGTTTCAAATCTGCTGTTTCTAAAGGAAAGTTCAACTCTGAGAGTTGAATACACACCAGAAAAAGCAGTTACTGAGAATTCTTCTGTCTAGCATTATATGAAGAAATACCATTTCCAACGAAGACTTCAAAGAGGTCCAAATATCCACTTGCAGATTCTGCAAAAAGAGTGTTTCGAAACAACTGTATGAAAAGAAAGGTTAAACGCTGTGAGTTGAAGGCACACATTGCAAAGCAGTTTCTGAGAATGATTCCGTCTAATTATTATACGAAGGTATTTCCTTTTCTATCATGGGCCTCAAAGCGCTTGATACCTCCACCTGAAAATTCCACAAAAAGAGTGTTTCCAATCTACTCTGTCTAAAGGAACGTTCAACTCTGTGAGTTGAATACACACACACAGAAAGAATTCACTGAGAGTTCTTCTGTCTGGCATTACATGAAGAAATCCCGTTTCCAACGAAGGCCTCAAAGAGGTCCAAATATCCACTTGCAGATTCTGCAAAAAGAGTGTTTCAAAACCGCTCCATGAAAAGGAATGTTGAACTCTGTGAGTTGAATGCAAACATCACAACTCAGTTTCTGAGAATGCTTCTGACTAGATTTTATGGTAAGATATTTCCTTTTCTACCATAGGCTTCAATGCCCTCTAAATACACCCTTGCAAATTCTACAAAGAGACTGTTTCATAACTGCTCTATAGGAAGAAAGGTTCAACTCTGTGAGTTGAATGCAGAGATCACAACGTGGTTTCTGCGAATGATTCTTTGTAGTTTTTACATGAAGATATTTCGTTGTCAACCGTAGGCTTCAAAGCACTCAAAGTATTCACTTGGAACTTTTACAAAAAGAGTGTTAGAAAACTGCTCTTTCCAAAGTAAGGTTCAACTCTGTGAGTTGAATGCACACATAACAATCAAGAAGTTTCTGAGAATTCTCTGTCCTGGTTTATATGAAGAAATCCCGTTTCCAACGAAGGCCTCAAAGACGTTTAAATATCCACTTGCAGACTTCACAAACAGAGTGTTTCCAAACTGCTCTATGAAAAGAAAGGTTAAACACTGTGAGTTGAACGCACACCTCACAAAGTAGTTTCTGAGAATGATACTGTCTAGTTTTTATACGAAGATATTTCCTTTTGTACCATTGGCCTCATACTGCTAGAATTTTCCACTTGCAAATTCCACAAAAAGAGTGTTTCCAATCTGCTCTGTCTAAAGGAAGGTTCAACTCTGTGAGTTGAGTACACACACACAAAGAAGCTACTGAGAATTCTTTTGTCAAGAATTATAAGAAGAAATCCCGTTTCCCAACCAAGGCCTCAAAGAGTTCCAAATATCCACTTGCACACTGCACAAACTAAGTCTTTCCATACTGCTCTATGCAAAGAAATGTTCAAATCTGTGAGTTTAATACACACATCACAAAGCAGTTTCTGAGAATGATACTGTCTAGTTTTTATACGAAGATATTTCCTTTTGTACCATTGGCCTCATACTGCTAGAATTTTCCACTTGCAAATTCCACAAAAAGAGTGTTTCCAATCCGCTCTGTCTAAAGGAAGGTTCAACTCTCTGATTTGAATACATACATCCCAAAAGAAGTTACTGAGAATTCTTCTGTCTAGCATTATGTGAAGAAATCCCGTTTCCAACGAAAGCCTCAAAGAGGCCCAAATATCCAGTTGCAGCATTTACAAACTGACTGTTTCCAAACTCATCTATGAAAAGAAAGGTTAAACTCTGTGAGTTGAATGCACATATCACAAAGTAGTTCCTGAGAATGATTCTGTCTAGTTTTTATACGAAGATATTTCCTTTTCCACCAATGGCCTCAAAGTGCTTGAAATCTCCCCTTGCAAATTCCACAGACAAGTGTCTCAAATCTGCACTGTCTAAAGGAAGGTTCAACCCTGTGAGTTGAATACACACACACAGAAAAAAATTCACTGAGAATTCTATTGTCTATCATTACACGAAGAAATCCCCTTTACTACGAAGGCCTCAAAGAGGTCCAAATATCCAGCTGCAGACATTACAAACTGAGTGTTTCCAAAGTGCTCTATGAAAAGAAGTGTTAAACACTGTGAGTTCAATGCACACATCCCAAAGCAGTTTCTGAGAATGATTCCGTCTATTTTTTCTACGAAGATATTTCCTTTTCTGCCGTTGGCCTCAAAGCGCTTGAAATCTCCACTTGCAAATTCCACAAAAAGAGAGTTTCAAATCTGCTCTGTCTAAAGGAAGGTTCAACTCTGTGAGTTGAATACACACCACAAAAAGAAGTTACTGAGAATTCTTCTGTCTAGCATTATATGAAAAATCCCGTTTCCAACGAAGGCCACAAAGAGGTCCAAATATCCACTTGCAGATTCTGCAAAAAGAGTGTTTCCAAACTGCTCTATGAAAAGAAACGTTAAACTCTGTGAGTTGAACGCAAACATCACAAAGTAGTTTCTGAGAATGACTCCGTCTAGTTTTTATACGAAGATATTTCCTTTTCTACCGTTGGCCTCAAAGCGCTTGAAGTCTCCCCCTGAAAATTCCACAAAAAGTGTTTCCAATCTGCTCCGCCTAAAGGAAGCTTCAACTCTGTGAGTTGAATACCCACAACACAAAGAAGTTACTGAGAATTCTTCTGTCTAGCATTATATGAAGAAATCCCGTTTCCAACGAAGGCCTCAAATACATCCAAATATCCAGTTGCTGACTTTACAAACTGAGTGTTTCCAAACTGCTCTATGAAAAGAAAGGTTAAACACTGTGAGTTGAACACACACGTACCAAAGTAGTTTCTGAGAATGATTCTGTCTAGTTTGCATACAAAGATATTTCCTTTTCTACCACTGGCCTCAAAGCTTTGAAATCTCCACTTGCAAATTCCACAAAAAGAGAGTTTCAAATCTGCTGTTCCTAAAGGAAAGTTCAACTCTGAGAGTTGAATACACACCAGAAAAAGCAGTTACTGAGAAGTCTTCTGTCTAGCATTATATGAAGAAATCCCATTTCCAACGAAGACTTCAAAGAGGTCCAAATATCCACTTGCAGATTCTGCAAAAAGAGTGTTTCGAAACAACTGTATGAAAAGAAAGGTTAAACACTGTGAGTTGAACGCACACATTGCAAAGCAGTTTCTGAGAATGATTCCGTCTAATTATTATACGAAGGTATTTCCTTTTCTATCATTGGTCTCAAAGCGCTTGATACCTCCACCTGAAAATTCCACAAAAAGAGTGTTTCCAATCTACTCTGTCTAAAGGAACGTTCAACTCTGTGAGTTGAATACACACACACAGAAAGAATTCACTGAGAATTCTTCTGTCTGGCATTACATGAAGAAATCCCGTTTCCAACGAAGGCCTCAAAGAGGTCCAAATATCCACTTGCAGATTCTGCAAAAAGAGTGTTTCAAAACCGCTCCATTAAAAGGAATGTTGAACTCTGTGAGTTGAATGCAAACATCACAACTCAGTTTCTGAGAATGCTTCTGACTAGATTTTATGGTAAGATATTTCCTTTTCTACCGTAGGCTTCAATGCCCTCTAAATACACCCTTGCAAATTCTACAAAGAGACTGTTTCATAACTGCTCTATAGGAAGAAAGGTTCAACACTGTGAGTTGAATGCAGAGATCACAACGTGGTTTCTGCGAATGATTCTTTGTAGTTTTTACATGAAGATATTTCGTTGTCAACCGTAGGCTTCAAAGCACTCAAAGTATTCACTTGGAACTTTTACAAAAAGAGTGTTAGAAAACTGCTCTTTCCAAAGTAAGGTTCAACTCTGTGAGTTGAATGCACACATAACAATCAAGAAGTTTCTGAGAATTCTTCTGTCCTGGTTTATATGAAAAAATCCCGTTTCCAACGAAGGCCTCAAAGACGTTTAAATATCCACTTGCAGACTTCACAAACAGAGGGTTTCCAAACTGCTCTATGAAAAGAAAGGTTAAACTCTGTGAGTTTAATACACACATCACAAAGCAGTTTCTGAGAATGATACTGTCTAGTTTTTATACGAAGATATTTCCTTTTGTACCATTGGCCTCATACTGCTAGAATTTTCCACTTGCAAATTCCACAAAAAGAGTGTTTCCAATCCGCTCTGTCTAAAGGAAGGTTCAACTCTCTGATTTGAATACATACATCCCAAAAGAAGTTACTGAGAATTCTTCTGTCTAGCATTATGTGAAGAAATCCCGTTTCCAACGAAAGCCTCAAAGAGGTCCAAATATCCAGTTGCAGAATTTACAAACTGACTGTTTCCAAACTCATCTATGAAAAGAAAGGTTAAACTCTGTGAGTTGAATGCACATATCACAAAGTAGTTCCTGAGAATGATTCTGTCTAGTTTTTATACGAAGATATTTCCTTTTCCACCAATGGCCTCAAAGTGCTTGAAATCTCCACTTGCAAATTCCACAGAAAAGTGTTTCAAATCTGCACTGTCTAAAGGAAGGTTCAACCCTGTGAGTTGAATACACACACACAGAAAAAAATTCACTGAGAATTCTATTGTCTATCATTACACGAAGAAATCCCGTTTACTACGAAGGCCTCAAAGACGTCCAAATATCCAGCTGCAGACATTACAAACTGAGTGTTTCCAAAGTGCTCTATGAAAAGAAGTGTTAAACACTGTGAGTTCAATGCACACATCCCAAAGCAGTTTCTGAGAATGATTCCGTCTATTTTTTCTACGAAGATATTTCCTTTTCTACCGTTGGCCTCAAAGCGCCTGAAATCTCCACTTGCAAATTCCACGAAAAGAGAGTTTCAAATCTGCTCTGTCTAAAGGAAGGTTCCACTCTGTGAGTTGAATACACACCACAAAAAGAAGTTACTGAGAATTCTTCTGTCTAGCATTATATGAAAAATCCCGTTTCCAACGAAGGCCCCAAAGAGGTCCAAATATCCACTTGCAGATTCTGCAAAAAGAGTGTTTCCAAACTGCTCTATGAAAAGAAACGTTAAACTCTGTGAGTTGAACGCAAACATCACAAAGTAGTTTCTGAGAATGACTCCGTCTAGTTTTTATACGAAGATATTTCCTTTTCTACCGTTGGCCTCAAAGCGCTTGAAGTCTCCCCCTGAAAATTCCACAAAAAGTGTTTCCAATCTGCTCCGCCTAAAGGAAGCTTCAACTCTGTGAGTTGAATACCCACAACACAAAGAAGTTACTGAGAATTCTTCTGTCTCGCATTATAGGAAGAAATCCCGTTTCCAACGAAGGCCTCAAATACATCCACATATCCAGTTGCTGACTTTACAAACTGAGTGTTTCCAAACTGCTCTATGAAAAGAAAGGTTAAACACTGTGAGTTGAACACACACGTACCAAAGTAGTTTCTGAGAATGATTCTGTCTAGTTTGCATACAAAGATATTTCCTTTTCTACCACTGGCCTCAAAGCTTTGAAATCTCCACTTGCAAATTCCACAAAAAGAGAGTTTCAAATCTGCTGTTTCTAAAGGAAAGTTCAACTCTGAGAGTTGAATACACACCAGAAAAAGCAGTTACTGAGAAGTCTTCTGTCTAGCATTATATGAAGAAATCCCATTTCCAAAGAAGACTTCAAACAGGTCCAAATATCCACTTGCAGATTCTGCAAAAAGAGTGTTTCGAAACAACTGTATGAAAAGAAAGGTTAAACACTGTGAGTTGAACGCACCCATTGCAAAGCATTTTCTGAGAATGATTCCGTCTAATTATTATACGAAGGTATTTCCTTTTCTATCATGGGCCTCAAAGCGCTTGATACCTCCACCTGAAAATTCCACAAAAAGAGTGTTTCCAATCTACTCTGTCTAAAGGAACGTTCAACTCTGTGAGTTGAATACACACACACAGAAAGAATTCACTGAGAATTCTTCTGTCTGGCATTACATGAAGAAATCCCGTTTCCAACGAAGGCCTCAAAGAGGTCCAAATATCCACTTGCAGATTCTGCAAAAAGAGTGTTTCAAAACCGCTCTATTAAAAGGAATGTTGAACTCTGTGAGTTGAATGCAAACATCACAACTCAGTTTCTGAGAATGCTTCTGACTAGATTTTATGGTAAGATATTTCCTTTTCTACCGTAGGCTTCAATGCCCTCTAAATACACCCTTGCAAATTCTACAAAGAGACTGTTTAATAACTGCTCTATAGGAAGAAAGGTTGAACTCTGTGAGTTGAATGCAGAGATCACAACGTGGTTTCGGCGAATGATTCTTTGTAGTTTTTACATGAAGATATTTCGTTGTCAACCGTAGGCTTCAAAGCACTCAAAGTATTCACTTGGAACTTTTACAAAAAGAGTGTTAGAAAACTGCTCTTTCCAAAGTAAGGTTGAACTCTGTGAGTTGAATGCACACATAACAATCAAGAAGTTTCTGAGAATTCTTCTGTCCTGGTTTATATGAAAAAATCCCGTTTCCAACGAAGGCCTCAAAGACGTTTAAATATCCACTTGCAGACTTCACAAACAGAGGGTTTCCAAACTGCTCTATGAAAAGAAAGGTTAAACTCTGTGAGTTGAACGCACACATCACAAAGTAGCTTCTGAGAATGATACTGTCTAGTTTTTATACGAAGATATTTCCTTTCTACCATTGGCGTCAAAGCGCTAGGAATTCTCCACTTGCAAATTCCACAAAAAGAGTGTTTTCAATCTGCTCTGTCTAAAGGAAGGTTCAACTCTGTGAGTTGAATACACACACACAAAGAAGCTACTGAGAATTCTTTTGTCAAGAATTATAAGAAGAAATCCCGTTTCCAACGAAGGCCTCAAAGAGTTCCAAATATGCACTTGCACACTGCACAAACTAAGTCTTTCCAAACTGCTCTATGCAAAGAAATGTTCAACTCTGTGAGTTTAATACACACATCACAAAGCAGTTTCTGAGAATGATTCCGTCTAGTTTTTATATGAAGATAGCCTTTTCTACCATTGGCCTCAAGGCTCTTGAAATCTCCAACTGAAAATTCCGCAAAAAGCGTGTTTCCAATCCGCTCTGTCTAAAGGAAGGTTCAACTCTCTGAGTTGAATACATACATCCCAAAAGAAGTTACTGCGAATTCTTCTGTCTAGCATTATGTGAAGAAATCCCGTTTCCAACGAAAGCCTCCAAGAGGTCCAAATATCCAGTTGCAGAATTTACAAACTGACTGTTTCCAAACTCATCTATGAAAAGAAAGGTTAAACTCTGTGATTTGAATGCACATATCACAAAGTAGTTCCTGAGAATGATTCTGTCTAGTTTTTATACGAAGATATTTCCTTTTCCACCAATGGCCTCAAAGTGCTTGAAATCTCCCCTTGCAAATTCCACAGAAAAGTGTTTCAAATCTGCACTGTCTAAAGGAAGGTTCAACCCTGTGAGTTGAATACACACACACAGAAAAAAATTCACTGAGAATTCTATTGTCTATCATTACACGAAGAAATCCCGTTTACTACGAAGGCCTCAAAGAGGTCCAAATATCCAGCTGCAGACATTACAAACTGAGTGTTTCCAAAGTGCTCTATGAAAAGAAGTGTTAAACACTGTGAGTTCAATGCACACATCCCAAAGCAGTTTCTGAGAATGATTCCATCTATTTTCTCTACGAAGATATTTCCTTTTCTACCGTTGGCCTCAAAGCGCTTGAAATCTCCACTTGCAAATTCCACAAAAAGAGAGTTTCAAATCTGCTCTGTCTAAAGGAAGGTTCAACTCTGTGAGTTGAATACACACCACAAAAAGAAGTTACTGAGAATTCTTCTGTCTAGCATTATATGAAAAATCCCGTTTCCAACGAAGGCCACAAAGAGGTCCAAATATCCACTTGCAGATTCTGCAAAAAGAGTGTTTCCAAACTGCTCTATGAAAAGAAACGTTAAACTCTGTGAGTTGAACGCAAACATCACAAAGTAGTTTCTGAGAATGACTCCGTCTAGTTTTTATACGAAGATATTTCCTTTCCTACCATTCACTTCAAAGCGCTTGAAGTCTCCCCCTGAAAATTCCACAAAAAGTGTTTCCAATCTGCTCCGCCTAAAGGAAGCTTCAACTCTGTGAGTTGAATACCCACAACCCAAAGAAGTTACTGAGAATTCTTCTGTCTAGCATTATATGAAGAAATCCCGTTTCCAACGAAGGCCTCAAATACATCCAAATATCCAGTTGCTGACTTTACAAACTGAGTGTTTCCAAACTGCTCTATGAAAAGAAAGGTTAAACACTGTGAGTTGAACACACACGTACCAAAGTAGTTTCTGAGAATGATTCTGTCTAGTTTGCATACGAAGATATTTCCTTTTCTACCATTGGCCTCAAAGCTCTGAAATCTCCACTTGCAAATTCCACAAAAAGAGAGTTTCAAATCTGCTGTTTCTAAAGGAAAGTTCAACTCTGAGAGTTGAATACACACCAGAAAAAGCAGTTACTGAGAAGTCTTCTCTCTAGCATTGTATGAAGAAATCCCATTTCCAACGAAGACTTCAAAGAGGTCCAAATATCCACTTGCAGATTCTGCAAAAAGAGTGTTTCGAAACAACTGTATGAAAAGAAAGGTTAAACACTGTGAGTTGAACGCACACATTGCAAAGCAGTTTCTGAGAATGATCCGTCTAATTATTATACGAAGGTATTTCCTTTTCTATCATTGGCCTCAAAGCGCTTGATACCTCCACCTGAAAATTCCACAAAAAGAGTGTTTCCAATCTACTCTGTCTAAAGGAACGTTCAACTCTGTGAGTTGAATACACACACACAGAAAGAATTCACTGAGAATTCTTTCTGTCTGGCATTACATGAAGAAATCCCGTTTCCAACGAAGGCCTCAAAGAGGTCCAAATATCCACTTGCAGATTCTGCAAAAAGAGTGTTTCAAAACCGCTCCATTAAAAGGAATGTTGAACTCTGTGAGTTGAATGCAAACATCACAACTCAGTTTCTGAGAATGCTTCTGACTAGATTTTATGGTAAGATATTTCCTTTTCTACCGTAGGCTTCAATGCCCTCTAAATACACCCTTGCAAATTCTACAAAGAGACTGTTTCATAACTGCTCTATAGGAAGAAAGGTTGAACTCTGTGAGTTGACTGCAGAGATCACAACGTGGTTTCTGCGAATGATTCTTTGTAGTTTTTACATGAAGATATTTCGTTGTCAACCGTAGGCTTCAAAGCACTCAAAGTATTCACTTGGAACTTTTACAAAAAGAGTGTTAGAAAACTGCTCTTTCCAAAGTAAGGTTCAACTCTGTGAGTTGAATGCACACATAACAATCAAGAAGTTTCTGAGAATTCTTCTGTCCTGGTTTATATGAACAAATCCCGTTTCCAACGAAGGCCTCAAAGACGTTTAAATATCCACTTGCAGACTTCACAAACAGAGTGTTTCCAAACTGCTCTATGAAAAGAAAGGTTAAACTCTGTGAGTTGAATTCACACATCACAAAGTAGTTTCTGAGAATGATACTGTCTAGTTTTTATACGAAGATATTTCCTTTCTACCATTGGCGTCAAAGCGCTAGAATTCTCCACTTGCAAATTCCACAAAAAGAGTGTTTCCAATCTGCTCTGTCTAAAGGAAGGTTCAACTCTGTGAGTTGAATACACACACACAAAGAAGCTACTGAGAATTCTTTTGTCAAGAATTATAAGAAGAAATCCCGTTTCCAACGAAGGCCTCAAAGAGTTCCAAATATCCACTTGCACACTGCACAAACTAAGTCTTTCCAAACTGCTCTATGCAAAGAAATGTTCAACTCTGTGAGTTTAATACACACATCACAAAGCAGTTTCTGAGAATGATACTGTCTAGTTTTTATACGAAGATATTTCCTTTTGTACCATTGGCCTCATACTGCTAGAATTTTCCACTTGCAAATTCCACAAAAAGAGTGTTTCCAATCCGCTCTGTCTAAAGGAAGGTTCAACTCTCTGATTTGAATACATACATCCCAAAAGAAGTTCCTGAGAATTCTTCTGTCTAGCATTATGTGAAGAAATCCCGTTTCCAACGAAAGCCTCAAAGCGGTCCAAATATCCAGTTGCAGAATTTACAAACTGACTGTTTCCAAACTCATCTATGAAAAGAAAGGTTAAACTCTGTGAGTTGAATGCACATATCACAAAGTAGTTCCTGAGAATGATTCTGTCTAGTTTTCATACGAAGATATTTCCTTTTCCACCAATGGCCTCAAAGTGCTTGAAATCTCCCCTTGCAAATTCCACAGACAAGTGTCTCAAATCTGCACTGTCTAAAGGAAGGTTCAACCCTGTGAGTTGAATACACACACACAGAAAAAAATTCACTGAGAATTCTATTGTCTATCATTACACGAAGAAATCCCGTTTACTACGAAGGCCTCAAAGAGGTCCAAATATCCAGCTGCAGACATTACAACCTGAGTGTTTCCAAAGTGCTCTATGAAAAGAAGTGTTAAACACTGTGAGTTCAATGCACACATCCCAAAGCAGTTTCTGAGAATGATTCCGTCTATTTTTTCTACGAAGATATTTCCTTTTCTGCCGTTGGCCTCAAAGCGCTTGAAATCTCCACTTGCAAATTCCACAAAGAGAGAGTTTCAAATCTGCTCTGTCTAAAGGAAGGTTCAACTCTGTGAGTTGAATACACACCACAAAAAGAAGTTACTGAGAATTCTTCTGTCTAGCATTATATGAAAAATCCCGTTTCCAACGAAGGCCACAAAGAGGTCCAAATATCCACTTGCAGATTCTGCAAAAAGAGTGTTTCCAAACTGCTCTATGAAAAGAAACGTTAAACTCTGTGAGTTGAACGCAAACATCACAAAGTAGTTTCTGAGAATGACTCCGTCTAGTTTTTATACGAAGATATTTCCTTTTCTACCATTCACTTCAAAGCGCTTGAAGTCTCCCCCTGAAAATTCCACAAAAAGTGTTTCCAATCTGCTCCGCCTAAAGGAAGCTTCAACTCTGTGAGTTGAATACCCGCAACCCAAAGAAGTTACTGAGAATTCTTCTGTCTAGCATTATATGAAGAAATCCCGTTTCCAACGAAGGCCTCAAATACATCCAAATATCCAGTTGCTGACTTTACAAACTGAGTGTTTCCAAACTGCTCTATGAAAAGAAAGGTTAAACACTGTGAGTTGAACACACACGTACCAAAGTAGTTTCTGAGAATGATTCTGTCTAGTTTGCATACGAAGATATTTCCTTTTCTACCATTGGCCTCAAAGCTCTGAAATCTCCACTTGCAAATTCCACAAAAAGAGAGTTTCAAATCTGCTGTTTCTAAAGGAAAGTTCAACTCTGAGAGTTGAATACACACCAGAAAAAGCAGTTACTGAGAAGTCTTCTGTCTAGCATTATATGAAGAAATCCCATTTCCAACGAAGACTTCAAAGAGGTCCAAATATCCACTTGCAGATTCTGCAAAAAGAGTGTTTCGAAACAACTGTATGAAAAGAAAGGTTAAACACTGTGAGTTGAACGCACACATTGCAAAGCAGTTTCTGAGAATGATTCCGTCTAATTATTATACGAAGGTATTTCCTTTTCTATCATTGGCCTCAAAGCGCTTGATACCTCCACCTGAAAATTCCACAAAAAGAGTGTTTCCAATCTACTCTGTCTAAAGGAACGTTCAACTCTGTGAGTTGAATACACACACACAGAAAGAATTCACTGAGAATTCTTCTGTCTGGCATTACATGAAGAAATCCCGTTTCCAACGAAGGCCTCAAAGAGGTCCAAATATCCACTTGCAGATTCTGCAAAAAGAGTGTTTCAAAACCGCTCCATTAAAAGGAATGTTGAACTCTGTGAGTTGAATGCAAACATCACGACTCAGTTGCTGAGAATGCTTCTGACTAGATTTTATGGTAAGATATTTCCTTTTCTACCGTAGGCTTCAATGCCCTCTAAATACACCCTTGCAAATTCTACAAAGAGACTGTTTCATAACTGCTCTATAGGAAGAAAGGTTCAACTCTGTGAGTTGAATGCAGAGATCACAACGTGGTTTCTGCGAATGATTCTTTGTAGTTTTTACATGAAGATATTTCGTTGTCAACCGTAGGCTTCAAAGCACTCAAAGTATTCACTTGGAACTTTTACAAAAAGAGTGTTAGAAAACTGCTTTTTCCAAAGTAAGGTTCAACTCTGTGAGTTGAATGCACACATAACAATCAAGAAGTTTCTGAGAATTCTTCTGTCCTGGTTTATATGAAAAAATCCCGTTTCCAACGAAGGCCTCAAAGACGTTTAAAT
This sequence comes from Homo sapiens, assembly GCF_000001405.40. Classification (NCBI taxonomy): domain Eukaryota; kingdom Metazoa; phylum Chordata; class Mammalia; order Primates; family Hominidae; genus Homo; species Homo sapiens. The sequence goes on along the minus strand of NC_000003.12, from coordinate 92,038,939 downwards.
ATCCACTTGCAGACTTCACAAACAGAGGGTTTCCAAACTGCTTTATGAAAAGAAAGGTTAAACTCTGTGAGTTGAACGCACACATCACAAAGTAGCTTCTGAGAATGATACTGTCTAGTTTGCATACGAAGATATTTCCTTTCTACCATTGGCGTCAAAGCGCTAGAATTCTCCACTTGCAAATTCCACAAAAAGAGTGTTTCCAATCTGCTCTGTCTAAAGGAAGGTTCAACTCTGTGAGTTGAATACACACACACAAAGAAGCTACTGAGAATTCTTTTGTCAAGAATTATAAGAAGAAATCCCGTTTCCAACGAAGGCCTCAAAGAGTTCCAAATATCCACTTGCACACTGCACAAACTAAGTCTTTCCAAACTGCTCTATGCAAAGAAATGTTCAACTCTGTGAGTTTAATACACACATCACAAAGCAGTTTCTGAGAATGATACTGTCTAGTTTTTATACGAAGATATTTCCTTTTGTACCATTGGCCTCATACTGCTAGAATTTTCCACTTGCAAATTCCACAAAAAGAGTGTTTCCAATCCGCTCTGTCTAAAGGAAGGTTCAACTCTCTGATTTGAATACATACATCCCAAAAGAAGTTACTGAGAATTCTTCTGTCTAGCATTATGTGAAGAAATCCCGTTTCCAACGAAAGCCTCAAAGAGGTCTAAATATCCAGTTGCAGAATTTACAAACTGACTGTTTCCGAACTCATCTATGAAAAGAAAGGTTAAACTCTGGGAGTTGAATGCACATATCACAAAGTAGTTCCTGAGAATGATTCTGTCTAGTTTTCATACGAAGATATTTCCTTTTCCACCAATGGCCTCAAAGTGCTTGAAATCTCCCCTTGCAAATTCCACAGACAAGTGTTTCAAATCTGCACTGTCTAAAGGAAGGTTCAACCCTGTGAGTTGAATACACACACACAGAAACAAATTCACTGAGAATTCTATTGTCTATCATGACACGAAGAAATCCCGTTTACTACGAAGGCCTCAAAGAGGTCCAAATATCCAGCTGCAGACATTACAAACTGAGTGTTTCCAAAGTGCTCTATGAAAAGAAGTGTTAAACACTGTGAGTTCAATGCACACATCCCAAAGCAGTTTCTGAGAATTATTCCGTCTATTTTCTCTACGAAGATATTTCCTTTTCTCCCGTTGGCCTCAAAGCGCTTGAAATCTCCACTTGCAAATTCCACAAAAAGAGAGTTTCAAATCTGCTCTGTCTAAAGGAAGGTTCAACTCTGTGAGTTGAATGCACACCACAAAAAGAAGTTACTGAGAATTCTTCTGTCTAGCATTATATGAAAAATCCCGTTTCCAACGAAGGCCACAAAGAGGTCCAAATATCCACTTGCAGATTCTGCAAAAAGAGTGTTTCCAAACTGCTCTATGAAAAGAAACGTTAAACTCTGTGAGTTGAACGCAAACATCACAAAGTAGTTTCTGAGAATGACTCCGTCTAGTTTTTATACGAAGATATTTCCTTTCCTACCATTCACTTCAAAGCGCTTGAAGTCTCCCCCTGAAAATTCCACAAAAAGTGTTTCCAATCTGCTCCGCCTAAAGGAAGCTTCAACTCTGTGAGTTGAATACCCACAACCCAAAGAAGTTACTGAGAATTCTTCTGTCTAGCACTATATGAAGAAATCCCGTTTCCAACGAAGGCCTCAAATACATCCAAATATCCAGTTGCTGACTTTACAAACTGAGTGTTTCCAAACTGCTCTATGAAAAGAAAGGTTAAACACTGTGAGTTGAACACACACGTACCAAAGTAGTTTCTGAGAATGATTCTGTCTAGTTTGCATACGAAGATATTTCCTTTTCTACCATTGGCCTCAAAGCTTTGAAATCTCCACTTGCAAATTCCACAAAAAGAGAGTTTCAACTCTGCTGTTTCTAAAGGAAAGTTCAACTCTGAGAGTTGAATACACACCAGAAAAAGCAGTTACTGAGAAGTCTTCTGTCTAGCATTATATGAAGAAATCCCATTTCCAACGAAGACTTCAAAGAGGTCCAAATATCCACTTGCAGATTCTGCAAAAAGAGTGTTTCGAAACAACTGTATGAAAAGAAAGGTTAAACACTGTGAGTTGAACGCACACATTGCAAAGCAGTTTCTGAGAATGATTCCGTCTAATTATTATACGAAGGTATTTCCTTTTCTATCATTGGCCTCAAAGCGCTTGATACCTCCACCTGAAAATTCCACAAAAAGAGTGTTTCCAATCTACTCTGTCTAAAGGAACGTTCAACTCTGTGAGTTGAATACACACACACAGAAAGAATTCACTGAGAATTCTTCTGTCTGGCATTACATGAAGAAATCCCGTTTCCAACGAAGGCCTCAAAGAGGTCCAAATATCCACTTGCAGATTCTGCAAAAAGAGTGTTTCAAAACCGCTCCATTAAAAGGAATGTTGAACTCTGTGAGTTGAATGCAAACATCACAACTCAGTTTCTGAGAATGCTTCTGACTAGATTTTATGGTAAGATATTTCCTTTTCTACCGTAGGCTTCAATGCCCTCTAAATACACCCTTGCAAATTCTACAAAGAGACTGTTTCATAACTGCTCTATAGGAAGAAAGGTTGAACTCTGTGAGTTGAATGCAGAGATCACAACGTGGTTTCTGCGAATGATTCTTTGTAGTTTTTACATGAAGATATTTCGTTGTCAACCGTAGGCTTCAAAGCACTCAAAGTATTCACTTGGAACTTTTACAAAAAGAGTGTTAGAAAACTGCTCTTTCCAAAGTAAGGTTCAACTCTGTGAGTTGAATGCACACATAACAATCAAGACGTTTCTGAGAATTCTTCTGTCCTGGTTTATATGAAAAAATCCCGTTTCCAACGAAGGCCTCAAAGACGTTTAAATATCCACTTGCAGACTTCACAAACAGAGGGTTTCCAAACTGCTCTATGAAAAGAAAGGTTAAACTCTGTGAGTTGAACGCACACATCACAAAGTAGCTTCTGAGAATGATACTGTCTAGTTTTTATACGAAGATATTTCCTTTCTACCATTGGCGTCAAAGCGCTAGAATTCTCCACTTGCAAATTCCACAAAAAGAGTGTTTCCAATCTGCTCTGTCTAAAGGAAGGTTCAACTCTGTGAGTTGAATACACACACACAAAGAAGCTACTGAGAATTCTTTTTTCAAGAAATTATAAGAAGAAATCCCGTTTCCAACGAAGGCCTCAAAGAGTTCCAAATATCCACTTGCACACTGCACAAACTAAGTCTTTCCAAACTGCTCTATGCAAAGAAATGTTCAACTCTGTGAGTTTAATACACACATCACAAAGCAGTTTCTGAGAATGATACTGTCTAGTTTTTATACGAAGATATTTCCTTTTGTACCATTGGCCTCATACTGCTAGAATTTTCCACTTGCAAATTCCACAAAAAGAGTGTTTCCAATCCGCTCTGTCTAAAGGAAGGTTCAACTCTCTGATTTGAATACATACATCCCAAAAGAAGTTCCTGAGAATTCTTCTGTCTAGCATTATGTGAAGAAATCCCGTTTCCAACGAAAGCCTCAAAGAGGTCCAAATATCCAGTTGCAGAATTTACAAACTGACTGTTTCCAAACTCATCTATGAAAAGAAAGGTTAAACTCTGGGAGTTGAATGCACATATCACAAAGTAGTTCCTGAGAATGATTCTGTCTAGTTTTTATACGAAGATATTTCCTTTTCCACCAATGGCCTCAAAGTGCTTGAAATCTCCCCTTGCAAATTCCACAGACAAGTGTTTCAAATCTGCACTGTCTAAAGGAAGGTTCAACCCTGTGAGTTGAATACACACACACAGAAAAAAATTCACTGAGAATTCTATTGTCTATCATTACACGAAGAAATCCCGTTTACTACGAAGGCCTCAAAGAGGTCCAAATATCCAGCTGCAGACATTTCAAACTGAGTGTTTCCAAAGTGCTCTATGAAAAGAAGTGTTAAACACTGTGAGTTCAATGCACACATCCCAAAGCAGTTTCTGAGAATGATTCCGTCTAATTATTATACGAAGGTATTTCCTTTTCTATCATTGGCCTCAAAGCGCTTGATACCTCCACCTGAAAATTCCACAAAAAGAGTGTTTCCAATCTACTCTGTCTAAAGGAACGTTCAACTCTGTGAGTTGAATACACACACACAGAAAGAATTCACTGAGAATTCTTCTGTCTGGCATTACATGAAGAAATCCCGTTTCCAACGAAGGCCTCAAAGAGGTCCAAATATCCACTTGCAGATTCTGCAAAAAGAGTGTTTCAAAACCGCTCCATTAAAAGGAATGTTGAACTCTGTGAGTTGAATGCAAACATCACAACTCAGTTGCTGAGAATGCTTCTGACTAGATTTTATGGTACGATATTTCCTTTTCTACCGTAGGCTTCAATGCCCTCTAAATACACCCTTGCAAATTCTACAAAGAGACTGTTTCATAACTGCTCTATAGGAAGAAAGGTTCAACTCTGTGAGTTGAATGCAGAGATCACAACGTGGTTTCTGCGAATGATTCTTTGTAGTTTTTACAGGAAGATATTTCGTTGTCAACCGTAGGCTTCAAAGCACTCAAAGTATTCACTTGGAACTTTTACAAAAAGAGTGTTAGAAAACTGCTCTTTCCAAAGTAAGGTTCAACTCTGTGAGTTGAATGCACACATAACAATCAAGAAGTTTCTGAGAATTCTTCTGTCCTGGTTTATATGAAAAAATCCCGTTTCCAACGAAGGCCTCAGAGACGTTTAAATATCCACTTGCAGACTTCACAAACAGAGTGTTTCCAAACTGCTCTATGAAAAGAAAGGTTAAACTCTGTGAGTTGAACGCACACATCACAAAGTTGTTTCTGAGAAAGATACTGTCTAGTTTTTATACGAAGATATTTCCTTTCTACCATTGGCGTCAAAGCGTTAGAATTCTCCACTTGCAAATTCCACAAAAAGAGTGTTTCCAATCTGCTCTGTCTAAAGGAAGGTTCAACTCTGTGAGTTGAATACACACACACAAAGAAGCTACTGAGAATTCTTTTGTCAAGAATTATAAGAAGAAATCCCGTTTCCAACGAAGGCCTCAAAGAGTTCCAAATATCCACTTGCACACTGCACAAACTAAGTCTTTCCAAACTGCTCTATGCAAAGAAATGTTCAACTCTGTGAGTTTAATTCACACATCACAAAGCAGTTTCTGAGAACGATACTGTCTAGTTTTTATACGAAGATATTTCCTTTTGTACCATTGGCCTCATACTGCTAGAATTTTCCACTTGCAAATTCCACAAAAAGAGTGTTTCCAATCCGCTCTGTCTAAAGGAAGGTTCAACTCTCTGATTTGAATACATACATCCCAAAAGAAGTTACTGAGAATTCTTCTGTCTAGCATTATGTGAAGAAATCCCGTTTCCAACGAAAGCCTCAAAGAGGTCCAAATATCCAGTTGCAGAATTTACAAACTGACTGTTTCCAAACTCATCTATGAAAAGAAAGGTTAAACTCTGTGAGTTGAATGCACATATCACAAAGTAGTTCCTGAGAATGATTCTGTCTAGTTTTCATACGAAGATATTTCCTTTTCCACCAATGGCCTCAAAGTGCTTGAAATCTCCCCTTGCAAATTCCACAGACAAGTGTTTCAAATCTGCACTGTCTAAAGGATGGTTCAACCCTGTGAGTTGAATACACACACACAGAAAAAAATTCACTGAGAATTCTATTGTCTATCATTACACGAAGAAATCCCGTTTACTACGAAGGCCTCAAAGAGGTCCAAATATCCAGCTGCAGACATTATAAACTGAGTGTTTCCAAAGTGCTCTATGAAAAGAAGTGTTAAACACTGTGAGTTCAATGCACACATCCCAAAGCAGTTTCTGAGAATGATTCCGTCTATTTTTTCTACGAAGATATTTCCTTTTCTGCCGTTGGCCTCAAAGCGCTTGAAATCTCCACTTGCAAATTCCACAAAAAGAGAGTTTCAAATCTGCTCTGTCTAAAGGAAGGTTCAACTCTGTGAGTTGAATACACACCACAAAAAGAAGTTACTGAGAATTCTTCTGTCTAGCATTATATGAAAAATCCCGTTTCCAACGAAGGCCACAAAGAGGTCCAAATATCCACTTGCAGATTCTGCAAAAAGAGTGTTTCCAAACTGCTCTATGAAAAGAAACGTTAAACTCTGTGAGTTGAACGCAAACATCACAAAGTAGTTTCTGAGAATGACTCCGTCTAGTTTTTATACGAAGATATTTCCTTTCCTACCATTCACTTCAAAGCGCTTGAAGTCTCCCCCTGAAAATTCCACAAAAAGTGTTTCCAATCTGCTCCGCCTAAAGGAAGCTTCAACTCTGTGAGTTGAATACCCACAACCCAAAGAAGTTACTGAGAATTCTTCTGTCTAGCATTATATGAAGAAATCCCGTTTCCAACGAAGGCCTCAAATACATCCAAATATCCAGTTGCTGACTTTACAAACTGAGTGTTTCCAAACTGCTCTATGAAAAGAAAGGTTAAACACTGTGAGTTGAACACACACGTACCAAAGTAGTTTCTGAGAATGATTCTGTCTAGTTTGCATACGAAGATATTTCCTTTTCTACCATTGGCCTCAAAGCTCTGAAATCTCCACTTGCAAATTCCACAAAAAGAGAGTTTCAAATCTGCTGTTTCTAAAGGAAAGTTCAACTCTGAGAGTTGAATACACACCAGAAAAAGCAGTTACTGAGAAGTCTTCTGTCTAGCATTATATGAAGAAATCCCATTTCCAACGAAGACTTCAAAGAGGTCCAAATATCCACTTGCAGATTCTGCAAAAAGAGTGTTTCGAAACAACTGTATGAAAAGAAAGGTTAAACACTGTGAGTTGAACGCACACATTGCAAAGCAGTTTCTGAGAATGATTCCGTCTAATTATTATACGAAGGTATTTCCTTTTCTATCATTGGCCTCAAAGCGCTTGATACCTCCACCTGAAAATTCCACAAAAAGAGTGTTTCCAATCTACTCTGTCTAAAGGAACGTTCAACTCTGTGAGTTGAATACACACACACAGAAAGAATTCACTGAGAATTCTTCTGTCTGGCATTACATGAAGAAATCCCGTTTCCAACGAAGGCCTCAAAGAGGTCCAAATATCCACTTGCAGATTCTGCAAAAAGAGTGTTTCAAAACCGCTCCATTAAAAGGAATGTTGAACTCTGTGAGTTGAATGCAAACATCACAACTCAGTTTCTGAGAATGCTTCTGACTAGATTTTATGGTAAGATATTTCCTTTTCTACCGTAGGCTTCAATGCCCTGTAAACACACCCTTGCAAATTCTACAAAGAGACTGCTTCATAACTGCTCTATAGGAGGAAAGGTTCAACTCTGTGAGTTGAATGCAGAGATCACAACGTGGTTTCTGCGAATGATTCTTTGTAGTTTTTACATGAAGATATTTCGTTGTCTACCGTAGGCTTCAAAGCACTCAAAGTATTCACTTGGAACTTTCACAAAAAGAGTGTTAGAAAACTGCTCTTTCCAAAGTAAGGTTCAACTCTGTGAGTTGAATGCACACATAACAAACAAGAAGTTTCTGAGAATTCTTCTGTCCTGGTTTATATGAAGAAATCCCGTTTCCAACGAAGGCCTCAAAGACGTTTAAATATCCACTTGCAGACTTCACAAACAGAGTGTTTCCAAACTGCTCTATGAAAAGAAAGGGTAAACACTGTGAGTTGAACGCACACATCACAAAGTAGTTTCTGAGAATGATACTGTCTAGTTTTTATACGAAGATATTTCCTTTTGTACCATTGGCCTCATACTGCTAGAATTTTCCACTTGCAAATTCCACAAAAAGAGTGTTTCCAATCTGCTCTGTCTAAAGGAAGGTTCAACTCTGTGAGTTGAGTACACACACACACAAAGAAGCTACTGAGAATTCTTTTGTCAAGAATTATAAGAAGAAATCCCGTTTCCAACCAAGGCCCTCAAAGAGTTCCAAATATCCACTTGCACACTGCACAAACTAAGTCTTTCCATACTGCTCTATGCAAAGAAATGTTCAAATCTGTGAGTTTAATACACACATCACAAAGCAGTTTCTGAGAATGATACTGTCTAGTTTTTATACGAAGATATTTCCTTTTGTACCATTGGCCTCATACTGCTAGAATTTTCCACTTGCAAATTCCACAAAAAGAGTGTTTCCAATCCGCTCTGTCTAAAGGAAGGTTCAACTCTCTGATTTGAATACATACATCCCAAAAGAAGTTACTGAGAATTCTTCTGTCTAGCATTATGTGAAGAAATCCCGTTTCCAACGAAAGCCTCAAAGAGGCCCAAATATCCAGTTGCAGCATTTACAAACTGACTGTTTCCAAACTCATCTATGAAAAGAAAGGTTAAACTCTGTGAGTTGAATGCACATATCACAAAGTAGTTCCTGAGAATGATTCTGTCTAGTTTTTATACGAAGATATTTCCTTTTCCACCAATGGCCTCAGAGTGCTTGAAATCTCCCCTTGCAAATTCCACAGACAAGTGTTTCAAATCTGCACTGTCTAAAGGAAGGTTCAACCCTGTGAGTTGAATACACACACAGAGAAAAAAATTCACTGAGAATTCTATTGTCTATCATTACACGAAGAAATCCCGTTTACTACGAAGGCCTCAAAGAGGTCCAAATATCCAGCTGCAGACATTACAAACTGAGTGTTTCCAAAGTGCTCTATGAAAAGAAGTGTTAAACACTGTGAGTTCAATGCACACATCCCAAAGCAGTTTCTGAGAATGATTCCGTCTATTTTTTTCTACGAAGATATTTCCTTTTCTACCGTTGGCCTCAAAGCGCTTGAAATCTCCATTTGCAAATTCCACAAAAAGAGAGTTTCAAATCTGCTCTGTCTAAAGGAAGGTTCAACTCTGTGAGTTGAATACACACCACAACAAGAAGTTACTGAGAATTCTTCTGTCTAGCATTATATGAAAAATCCCGTTTCCAACGAAGGCCACAAAGAGGTCCAAATATCCACTTGCAGATTCTGCAAAAAGAGTGTTTCCAAACTGCTCTATGAAAAGAAACGTTAAACTCTGTGAGTTGAACGCAAACATCACAAAGTAGTTTCTGAGAATGACTCCGTCTAGTTTTTATACGAAGATATTTCCTTTCCTACCATTCACTTCAAAGCGCTTGAAGTCTCCCCCTGAAAATTCCACAAAAAGTGTTTCCAATCTGCTCCGCCTAAAGGAAGCTTCAACTCTGTGACTTGAATACCCACAACCCAAAGAAGTTACTGAGAATTCTTCTGTCTAGCATTATATGAAGAAATCCCGTTTCCAACGAAGGCCTCAAATACATCCACATATCCAGTTGCTGACTTTACAAACTGAGTGTTTCCAAACTGCTCTATGAAAAGAAAGGTTAAACACTGTGAGTTGAACACACACGTACCAAAGTAGTTTCTGAGAATGATTCTGTCTAGTTTGCATACGAAGATATTTCCTTTTCTACCATTGGCCTCAAAGCTCTGAAATCTCCACTTGCAAATTCCACAAAAAGAGAGTTTCAAATCTGCTGTTTCTAAAGGAAAGTTCAACTCTGAGAGTTGAATACACACCAGAAAAAGCAGTTACTGAGAAGTCTTCTGTCTAGCATTATATGAAGAAATCCCATTTCCAACGAAGACTTCAAAGAGGTCCAAATATCCACTTGCAGATTCTGCAAAAAGAGTGTTTCGAAACAACTGTATGAAAAGAAAGGTTAAACACTGTGAGTTGAACGCACACATTGCAAAGCGGTTTCTGAGAATGATTCCGTCTAATTATTATACGAAGGTATTTCCTTTTCTATCATTGGCCTCAAAGCGCTTGATACCTCCACCTGAAAATTCCACAAAAAGAGTGTTTCCAATCTACTCTGTCTAAAGGAACGTTCAACTCTGTGAGTTGAATACACACACACAGAAAGAATTCACTGAGAATTCTTCTGTCTGGCATTACATGAAGAAATCCCGTTTCCAACGAAGGCCTCAAAGAGGTCCAAATATCCACTTGCAGATTCTGCAAAAAGAGTGTTTCAAAACCGCTCCATTAAAAGGAATGTTGAACTCTGTGAGTTGAATGCAAACATCACAACTCAGTTGCTGAGAATGCTTCTGACTAGATTTTATGGTAAGATATTTCCTTTTCTACCGTAGGCTTCAATGCCCTCTAAATACACCCTTGCAAATTCTACAAAGAGACTGTTTCATAACTGCTCTATAGGAAGAAAGGTTGAACTCTGTGAGTTGAATGCAGAGATCACAACGTGGTTTCTGCGAATGATTCTTTGTAGTTTTTACATGAAGATATTTCGTTGTCAACCGTAGGCTTCAAAGCACTCAAAGTATTCACTTGGAACTTTTACAAAAAGAGTGTTAGAAAACTGCTCTTTCCAAAGTAAGGTTCAACTCTGTGAGTTGAATGCACACATAACAATCAAGAAGTTTCTGAGAATTCTTCTGTCCTGGTTTATATGAAAAAATCCCGTTTCCAACGAAGGCCTCAAAGACGTTTAAATATTCACTTGCAGACATCACAAACAGAGTGTTTCCAAACTGCTCTATGAAAAGAAAGGTTAAACTCTGTGAGTTGAACGCACACATCACAAAGTAGTTTCTGAGAATGATACTGTCTAGTTTTTATACGAAGATATTTCCTTTCTACCATTGGCGTCAAAGCGCTAGAATTCTCCACTTGCAAATTCCACAAAAAGAGTGTTTCCAATCTGCTCTGTCTAAAGGAAGGTTCAACTCTGTGAGTTGAATACACACACACAAAGAAGCTACTGAGAATTCTTTTGTCAAGAATTATAAGAAGAAATCCCGTTTCCAACGAAGGCCTCAAAGAGTTCCAAATATCCACTTGCACACTGCACAAACTAAGTCTTTCCAAACTGCTCTATGCAAAGAAATGTTCAACTCTGTGAGTTTAATACGCACATCACAAAGCGAGTTTCTGAGAATGATACTGTCTAGTTTTTATACGAAGATATTTCCTTTTGTACCATTGGCCTCATACTGCTAGAATTTTCCACTTGCAAATTCCACAAAAAGAGTGTTTCCAATGCGCTCTGTCTAAAGGAAGGTTCAACTCTCTGATTTGAATACATACATCCCAAAAGAAGTTACTGAGAATTCTTCTGTCTAGCATTATGTGAAGAAATCCCGTTTCCAACGAAAGCCTCAAAGAGGTCCAAATATCCAGTTGCAGAATTTACAAACTGACTGTTTCCAAACTCATCTATGAAAAGAAAGGTTAAACTCTGTGAGTTGAATGCACATATCACAAAGTAGTTCCTGAGAATGATTCTGTCTAGTTTTTATACGAAGATATTTCCTTTTCCACCAATGGCCTCAAAGTGCTTGAAATCTCCCCTTGCAAATTCCACAGACAAGTGTTTCAAATCTGCACTGTCTAAAGGAAGGTTCAACCCTGTGAGTTGAATACACACACACAGAAAAAAATTCACTGAGAATTCTATTGTCTATCATTACACGAAGAAATCTCGTTTACTACGAAGGCCTCAAAGAGGTCCAAATATCCAGCTGCAGACATTACAAACTGAGTGTTTCCAAAGTGCTCTATGAAAAGAAGTGTTAAACACTGTGAGTTCAATGCACACATCCCAAAGCAGTTTCTGAGAATGATTCCGTCTATTTTTTCTACGAAGATATTTCCTTTTCTGCCGTTGGCCTCAAAGCGCTTGAAATCTCCACTTGCAAATTCCACAAAAAGAGAGTTTCAAATCTGCTCTGTCTAAAGGAAGGTTCAACTCTGTGAGTTGAATACACACCACAAAAAGAAGTTACTGAGAATTCTTCTGTCTAGCATTATATGAAAAATCCCGTTTCCAACGAAGGCCACAAAGAGGTCCAAATATCCACTTGCAGATTCTGCAAAAAGAGTGTTTCCAAACTGCTCTATGAAAAGAAACGTTAAACTCTGTGAGTTGAACGCAAACATCACAAAGTAGTTTCTGAGAATGACTCCGTCTAGTTTTTATACGAAGATATTTCCTTTCCTACCATTCACTTCAAAGCGCTTGAAGTCTCCCCCTGAAAATTCCACAAAAAGTGTTTCCAATCTGCTCCGCCTAAAGGAAGCTTCAACTCTGTGACTTGAATACCCACAACCCAAAGAAGTTACTGAGAATTCTTCTGTCTAGCATTATATGAAGAAATCCCGTTTCCAACGAAGGCCTCAAATACATCCAAATATCCAGTTGCTGACTTTACAAACTGAGTGTTTCCAAACTGCTCTATGAAAAGAAAGGTTAAACACTGTGAGTTGAACACACACGTACCAAAGTAGTTTCTGAGAATGATTCTGTCTAGTTTGCATACGAAGATATTTCCTTTTCTACCATTGGCCTCAAAGCTCTGAAATCTCCACTTGCAAATTCCACAAAAAGAGAGTTTCAAATCTGCTGTTTCTAAAGGAAAGTTCAACTCTGAGAGTTGAATACACACCAGAAAAAGCAGTTACTGAGAAGTCTTCTGTCTAGCATTATATGAAGAAATCCCATTTCCAACGAAGACTTCAAAGAGGTCCAAATATCCACTTGCAGATTCTGCAAAAAGAGTGTTTCGAAACAACTGTATGAAAAGAAAGGTTAAACACTGTGAGTTGAACGCACACATTGCAAAGCAGTTTCTGAGAATGATTCCGTCTAATTATTATACGAAGGTATTTCCTTTTCTATCATTGGCCTCAAAGCGCTTGATACCTCCACCTGAAAATTCCACAAAAAGAGTGTTTCCAATCTACTCTGTCTAAAGGAACGTTCAACTCTGTGAGTTGAATACACACACACAGAAAGAATTCACTGAGAATTCTTCTGTCTGGCATTACATGAAGAAATCCCGTTTCCAACGAAGGCCTCAAAGAGGTTCAAATATCCACTTGCAGATTCTGCAAAAAGAGTGTTTCAAAACCGCTCCATTAAAAGGAATGTTGAACTCTGTGAGTTGAATGCAAACATCACAACTCAGTTGCTGAGAATGCTTCTGACTAGATTTTATGGTAAGATATTTCCTTTTCTACCGTAGGCTTCAATGCCCTCTAAATACACCCTTGCAAACTCTACAAAGAGACTGTTTCATAACTGCTCTATAGGAAGAAAGGTTCAACTCTGTGAGTTGAATGCAGAGATCACAACGTGGTTTCTGCAAATGATTCTTTGTAGTTTTTACATGAAAATATTTCGTTGTCAACCGTAGGCTTCAAAGCACTCAAAGTATTCACTTGGAACTTTTACAAAAAGAGTATTAGAAAACTGCTCTTTCCAAAGTAAGGTTCAACTCTGTGAGTTGAATGCACACATAACAATCAAGACGTTTCTGAGAATTCTTCTGTCCTGGTTTATATGAAAAAATCCCGTTTCCAACGAAGGCCTCAAAGACGTTTAAATATCCACTTGCAGACTTCACAAACAGAGGGTTTCCAAACTGCTCTATGAAAAGAAAGGTTAAACTCTGTGAGTTGAACGCACACATCACAAAGTAGCTTCTGAGAATGATACTGTCTAGTTTTTATACGAAGATATTTCCTTTCTACCATTGGCGTCAAAGCGCTAGAATTCTCCACTTGCAATTTCCACAAAAAGAGTGTTTCCAATCTGCTCTGTCTAAAGGAAGGTTCAACTCTGTGAGTTGAATACACACACACAAAGAAGCTACTGAGAATTCTTTTGTCAAGAATTATAAGAAGAAATCCCGTTTCCAACGAAGGCCTCAAAGAGTTCCAAATATCCACTTGCACACTGCACAAACTAAGTCTTTCCAAACTGCTCTATGCAAAGAAATGTTCAACTCTGTGAGTTTAATACACACATCACAAAGCAGTTTCTGAGAATGATACTGTCTAGTTTTTATACGAAGATATTTCCTTTTGTACCATTGGCCTCATACTGCTAGAATTTTCCACTTGCAAATTCCACAAAAAGAGTGTTTCCAATCCGCTCTGTCTAAAGGAAGGTTCAACTCTCTGATTTGAATACATACATCCCAAAAGAAGTTCCTGAGAATTCTTCTGTCTAGCATTATGTGAAGAAATCCCGTTTCCAACGAAAGCCTCAAAGAGGTCCAAATATCCAGTTGCAGAATTTACAAACTGACTGTTTCCAAACTCATCTATGAAAAGAAAGGTTAAACTCTGGGAGTTGAATGCACATATCACAAAGTAGTTCCTGAGAATGATTCTGTCTAGTTTTCATACGAAGATATTTCCTTTTCCACCAATGGCCTCAAAGTGCTTGAAATCTCCCCTTGCAAATTCCACAGACAAGTGTCTCAAATCTGCACTGTCTAAAGGAAGGTTCAACCCTGTGAGTTGAATACACACACACAGAAAAAAATTCACTGAGAATTCTATTGTCTATCATTACACGAAGAAATCCCGTTTACTACGAAGGCCTCAAAGAGGTCCAAATATCCAGCTGCAGACATTACAACCTGAGTGTTTCCAAAGTGCTCTATGAAAAGAAGTGTTAAACACTGTGAGTTCAATGCACACATCCCAAAGCAGTTTCTGAGAATGATTCCGTCTATTTTTTCTACGAAGATATTTCCTTTTCTGCCGTTGGCCTCAAAGCGCTTGAAATCTCCACTTGCAAATTCCACAAAGAGAGAGTTTCAAATCTGCTCTGTCTAAAGGAAGGTTCAACTCTGTGAGTTGAATACACACCACAAAAAGAAGTTACTGAGAATTCTTCTGTCTAGCATTATATGAAAAATCCCGTTTCCAACGAAGGCCACAAAGAGGTCCAAATATCCACTTGCAGATTCTGCAAAAAGAGTGTTTCCAAACTGCTCTATGAAAAGAAACGTTAAACTCTGTGAGTTGAACGCAAACATCACAAAGTAGTTTCTGAGAATGACTCCGTCTAGTTTTTATACGAAGATATTTCCTTTCCTACCATTCACTTCAAAGCGCTTGAAGTCTCCCCCTGAAAATTCCACAAAAAGTGTTTCCAATCTGCTCCGCCTAAAGGAAGCTTCAACTCTGTGACTTGAATACCCACAACCCAAAGAAGTTACTGAGAATTCTTCTGTCTAGCATTATATGAAGAAATCCCGTTTCCAACGAAGGCCTCAAATACATCCAAATACCCAGTTGCTGACTTTACAAACTGAGTGTTTCCAAACTGCTCTATGAAAAGAAAGGTTAAACACTGTGAGTTGAACACACACGTACCAAAGTAGTTTCTGAGAATGATTCTGTCTAGTTTGCATACGAAGATATTTCCTTTTCTACCAGTGGCCTCAAAGCTCTGAAATCTCCACTTGCAAATTCCACAAAAAGAGAGTTTCAAATCTGCTGTTTCTAAAGGAAAGTTCAACTCTGAGAGTTGAATACACACCAGAAAAAGCAGTTACTGAGAAGTCTTCTGTCTAGCATTATATGAAGAAATCCCATTTCCAACGAAGACTTCAAAGAGGTCCAAATATCCACTTGCAGATTCTGCAAAAAGAGTGTTTCGAAACAACTGTATGAAAAGAAAGGTTAAACACTGTGAGTTGAACGCACACATTGCAAAGCGGTTTCTGAGAATGATTCCGTCTAATTATTATACGAAGGTATTTCCTTTTCTATCATTGGCCTCAAAGCGCTTGATACCTCCACCTGAAAATTCCACAAAAAGAGTGTTTCCAATCTACTCTGTCTAAAGGAACGTTCAACTCTGTGAGTTGAATACACACACACAGAAAGAATTCACTGAGAATTCTTCTGTCTGGCATTACATGAAGAAATCCCGTTTCCAACGAAGGCCTCAAAGAGGTCCAAATATCCACTTGCAGATTCTGCAAAAAGAGTGTTTCAAAACCGCTCCATTAAAAGGAATGTTGAACTCTGTGAGTTGAATGCAAACATCACAACTCAGTTTCTGAGAATGCTTCTGACTAGATTTTATGGTAAGATATTTCCTTTTCTACCGTAGGCTTCAATGCCCTCTAAATACACCCTTGCAAATTCTACAAAGAGACTGTTTCATAACTGCTCTATAGGAAGAAAGGTTGAACTCTGTGAGTTGACTGCAGAGATCACAACGTGGTTTCTGCGAATGATTCTTTGTAGTTTTTACATGAAGGATATTTCGTTGTCAACCGTAGGCTTCAAAGCACTCAAAGTATTCACTTGGAACTTTTACAAAAAGAGTGTTAGAAAACTGCTCTTTCCAAAGTAAGGTTCAACTCTGTGAGTTGAATGCACACATAACAATCAAGAAGTTTCTGAGAATTCTTCTGTCCTGGTTTATATGAACAAATCCCGTTTCCAACGAAGGCCTCAAAGATGTTTAAATATCCACTTGCAGACTTCACAAACAGAGTGTTTCCAAACTGCTCTATGAAGAGAAAGGTTAAACTCTGTGAGTTGAACGCACACATCACAAAGTAGTTTCTGAGAATGATACTGTCTAGTTTTTATACGAAGATATTTCCTTTCCACCATTGGCGTCAAAGCGCTAGAATTCTCCACTTGCAAATTCCACAAAAAGAGTGTTTCCAATCTGCTCTGTCTAAAGGAAGGTTCAACTCTGTGAGTTGAATACACACACACAAAGAAGCTACTGAGAATTCTTTTGTCAAGAATTATAAGAAGAAATCCCGTTTCCAACCAAGGCCTCAAAGAGTTCCAAATATCCACTTGCACACTGCACAAACTAAGTCTTTCCATACTGCTCTATGCAAAGAAATGTTCAAATCTGTGAGTTTAATACACACATCACAAAGCAGTTTGCTGAGAATGATACTGTCTAGTTTTTATACGAAGATATTTCCTTTTGTACCATTGGCCTCATACTGCTAGGAATTTTCCACTTGCAAATTCCACAAAAAGAGTGTTTCCAATCCGCTCTGTCTAAAGGAAGGTTCAACTCTCTGATTTGAATACATACATCCCAAAAGAAGTTACTGAGAATTCTTCTGTCTAGCATTATGTGAAGAAATCCCGTTTCCAACGAAAGCCTCAAAGAGGTCCAAATATCCAGTTGCAGAATTTACAAACTGACTGTTTCCAAACTCATCTATGAAAAGAAAGGTTAAACTCTGTGAGTTGAATGCACATATCACAAAGTAGTTCCTGAGAATGATTCTGTCTAGTTTTCATACGAAGATATTTCCTTTTCCACCAATGGCCTCAAAGTGCTTGAAATCTCCCCTTGCAAATTCCACAGACAAGTGTCTCAAATCTGCACTGTCTAAAGGAAGGTTCAACCCTGTGAGTTGAATACACACACACAGAAAAAAATTCACTGAGAATTCTATTGTCTATCATTACACGAAGAAATCCCGTTTACTACGAAGGCCTCAAAGAGGTCCAAATATCCAGCTGCAGACATTACAACCTGAGTGTTTCCAAAGTGCTCTATGAAAAGAAGTGTTAAACACTGTGAGTTCAATGCACACATCCCAAAGCAGTTTCTGAGAATGATTCCGTCTATTTTTTCTACGAAGATATTTCCTTTTCTGCCGTTGGCCTCAAAGCGCTTGAAATCTCCACTTGCAAATTCCACAAAAAGAGAGTTTCAAATCTGCTCTGTCTAAAGGAAGGTTCAACTCTGTGAGTTGAATACACACCACAAAAAGAAGTTACTGAGAATTCTTCTGTCTAGCATTATATGAAAAATCCCGTTTCCAACGAAGGCCACAAAGAGGTCCAAATATCCACTTGCAGATTCTGCAAAAAGAGTGTTTCCAAACTGCTCTATGAAAAGAAACGTTAAACTCTGTGAGTTGAACGCAAACATCACAAAGTAATTTCTGAGAATGACTCCGTCTAGTTTTTATACGAAGATATTTCCTTTCCTACCATTCACTTCAAAGCGCTTGAAGTCTCCCCCTGAAAATTCCACAAAAAGTGTTTCCAATCTGCTCCGCATAAAGGAAGCTTCAACTCTGTGAGTTGAATACCCACAACCCAAAGAAGTTACTGAGAATTCTTCTGTCTAGCATTATATGAAGAAATCCCGTTTCCAACGAAGGCCTCAAATACATCCAGATATCCAGTTGCTGACTTTACAAACTGAGTGTTTCCAAACTGCTCTATGAAAGGAAAGGTTGAACACTGTGAGTTGAACACACACGTACAAAAGTAGTTTCTGAGAATGATTCTGTCTAGTTTGCATACGAAGATATTTCCTTTTCTACCATTGGCCTCAAAGCTCTGAAATCTCCACTTGCAAATTCCACAAAAAGAGAGTTTCAAATCTGCTGTTTCTAAAGGAAAGTTCAACTCTGAGAGTTGAATACACACCAGAAAAAGCAGTTACTGAGAAGTCTTCTGTCTAGCATTATATGAAGAAATCCCATTTCCAACGAAGACTTCAAAGAGGTCCAAATATCCACTTGCAGATTCTGCAAAAAGAGTGTTTCGAAACAACTGTATGAAAAGAAAGGTTAAACACTGTGAGTTGAACGCACACATTGCAAAGCAGTTTCTGAGAATGATTCCGTCTAATTATTATACGAAGGTATTTCCTTTTCTATCATTGGCCTCAAAGCGCTTGATACCTCCACCTGAAAATTCCACAAAAAGAGTGTTTCCAATCTACTCTGTCTAAAGGAACGTTCAACTCTGTGAGTTGAATACACACACACAGAAAGAATTCACTGAGAATTCTTCTGTCTGGCATTACGTGAAGAAATCCCGTTTCCAACGAAGGCCTCAAAGAGGTCCAAATATCCACTTGCAGATTCTGCAAAAAGAGTGTTTCAAAACCGCTCCATTAAAAGGAATGTTGAACTCTGTGAGTTGAATGCAAACATCACAACTCAGTTTCTGAGAATGCTTCTGACTAGATTTTATGGTAAGATATTTCCTTTTCTACCGTAGGCTTCAATGCCCTCTAAATACACCCTTGCAAATTCTACAAAGAGACTGTTTCATAACTGCTCTATAGGAAGAAAGGTTCAACTCTGTGAGTTGAATGCAGAGATCACAACGTGGTTTCTGCGAATGATTCTTTGTAGTTTTTACATGAAGATATTTCGTTGTCAACCGTAGGCTTCAAAGCACTCAAAGTATTCACTTGGAACTTTTACAAAAAGAGTGTTAGAAAACTGCTCTTTCCAAAGTAAGGTTCAACTCTGTGAGTTGAATGCACACATAACAATCAAGAAGTTTCTGAGAATTCTTCTGTCCTGGTTTATATGAAAAAATCCCGTTTCCAACGAAGGCCTCAAAGACGTTTAAATATCCACTTGCAGACTTCACAAACAGAGGGTTTCCAAACTGCTCTATGAAAAGAAAGGTTAAACTCTGTGAGTTGAACGCACACATCACAAAGTAGCTTCTGAGAATGATACTGTCTAGTTTTTATACGAAGATATTTCCTTTCTACCATTGGCGTCAAAGCGCTAGAATTCTCCACTTGCAAATTCCACAAAAAGAGTGTTTCCAATCTGCTCTGTCTAAAGGAAGGTTCAACTCTGTGAGTTGAATACACACACACAAAGAAGCTACTGAGAATTCTTTTGTCAAGAATTATAAGAAGAAATCCCGTTTCCAACGAAGGCCTCAAAGAGTTCCAAATATCCACTTGCACACTGCACAAACTAAGTCTTTCCAAACTGCTCTATGCAAAGAAATGTTCAACTCTGTGAGTTTAATACACACATCACAAAGCAGTTTCTGAGAATGATACTGTCTAGTTTTTATACGAAGAATATTTCCTTTTGTACCATTGGCCTCATACTGCTAGAATTTTCCACTTGCAAATTCCACAAAAAGAGTGTTTCCAATCCGCTCTGTCTAAAGGAAGGTTCAACTCTCTGATTTGAATACATACATCCCAAAAGAAGTTACTGAGAATTCTTCTGTCTAGCATTATGTGAAGAAATCCCGTTTCCAACGAAAGCCTCAAAGAGGTCCAAATATCCAGTGGCAGAATTTACAAACTGACTGTTTCCAAACTCATCTATGAAAAGAAAGGTTAAACTCTGTGAGTTGAATGCACATATCACAAAGTAGTTCCTGAGAATGATTCTGTCTAGTTTTCATACGAAGATATTTCCTTTTCCACCAATGGCCTCAAAGTGCTTGAAATCTCCCCTTGCAAATTCCACAGACAAGTGTTTCAAATCTGCACTGTCTAAAGGAAGGTTCAACCCTGTGAGTTGAATACACACACACAGAAAAAAATTCACTGAGAATTCTATTGTCTATCATTACACCGAAGAAATCCCGTTTACTACGAAGGCCTCAAAGAGGTCCAAATATCCAGCTGCAGACATTACAAACTGAGTGTTTCCAAAGTGCTCTATGAAAAGAAGTGTTAAACACTGTGAGTTCAATGCACACATCCCAAAGCAGTTTCTGAGAATGATTCCGTCTATTTTTTCTACGAAGATATTTCCTTTTCTGCCGTTGGCCTCAAAGCGCTTGAAATCTCCACTTGCAAATTCCACAAAAAGAGAGTTTCAAATCTGCTCTGTCTAAAGGAAGGTTCAACTCTGTGAGTTGAATACACACCACAAAAAGAAGTTACTGAGAATTCTTCTGTCTAGCATTATATGAAAAATCCCGTTTCCAACGAAGGCCACAAAGAGGTCCAAATATCCACTTGCAGATTCTGCAAAAAGAGTGTTTCCAAACTGCTCTATGAAAAGAAACGTTAAACTCTGTGAGTTGAACGCAAACATCACAAAGTAGTTTCTGAGAATGACTCCGTCTAGTTTTTATACGAAGATATTTCCTTTTCTACCATTCACTTCAAAGCGCTTGAAGTCTCCCCCTGAAAATTCCACAAAAAGTGTTTCCAATCTGCTCCGCCTAAAGGAAGCTTCAACTCTGTGAGTTGAATACCCACAACCCAAAGAAGTTACTGAGAATTCTTCTGTCTAGCATTATATGAAGAAATCCCGTTTCCAACGAAGGCCTCAAATACATCCAAATATCCAGTTGCTGACTTTACAAACTGAGTGTTTCCAAACTGCTCTATGAAAAGAAAGGTTAAACACTGTGAGTTGAACACACACGTACCAAAGTAGTTTCTGAGAATGATTCTGTCTAGTTTGCATACGAAGATATTTCCTTTTCTACCATTGGCCTCAAAGCTTTGAAATCTCCACTTGCAAATTCCACAAAAAGAGAGTTTCAACTCTGCTGTTTCTAAAGGAAAGTTCAACTCTGAGAGTTGAATACACACCAGAAAAAGCAGTTACTGAGAAGTCTTCTGTCTAGCATTATATGAAGAAATCCCATTTCCAACGAAGACTTCAAAGAGGTCCAAATATCCACTTGCAGATTCTGCAAAAAGAGTGTTTCGAAACAACTGTATGAAAAGAAAGGTTAAACACTGTGAGTTGAACGCACACATTGCAGAGCAGTTTCTGAGAATGATTCCGTCTAATTATTATACGAAGGTATTTCCTTTTCTATCATTGGCCTCAAAGCGCTTGATACCTCCACCTGAAAATTCCACAAAAAGAGTGTTTCCAATCTACTCTGTCTAAAGGAACGTTCAACTCCGTGAGTTGAATACACACACACAGAAAGAATTCACTGAGAATTCTTCTGTCTGGCATTACATGAAGAAATCCCGTTTCCAACGAAGGCCTCAAAGAGGTCCAAATATCCACTTGCAGATTCTGCAAAAAGAGTGTTTCAAAACCGCTCCATTAAAAGGAATGTTGAACTCTGTGAGTTGAATGCAAACATCACAACTCAGTTTCTGAGAATGCTTCTGACTAGATTTTATGGTAAGATATTTCCTTTTCTACCATAGGCTTCAATGCCCTGTAAATACACCCTTGCAAATTCAACAAAGAGACTGTTTCATAACTGCTCTATAGGAGGAAAGGTTCAACTCTGTGAGTTGAAAGCAGAGATCACAACGTGGTTTCTGCGAATGATTCTTTGTAGTTTTTACATGAAGATATTTCGTTGTCTACCGTAAGGCTTCAAAGCACTCAAAGTATTCACTTGGAAATTTAAAAAAAAGAGTGTTAGAAAACTGCTCTTTCCAAAGTAAGGTTCAACTCTGTGAGTTGAATGCACACATAACAAACAAGAAGTTTCTGAGAATTCTTCTGTCCTGGTTTATATGAAGAAATCCCGTTTCCAACGAAGGCCTCAAAGACGTTTAAATATCCACTTGCAGACTTCACAAACAGAGTGTTTCCAAACTGCTCTATGAAAAGAAAGGGTAAACACTGTGAGTTGAACGCACACCTCACAAAGTAGTTTCTGAGAATGATACTGTCTAGTTTTTATACGAAGATATTTCCTTTTGTACCATTGGCCTCATACTGCTAGAATTTTCCACTTGCAAATTCCACAAAAAGAGTGTTTCCAATCTGCTCTGTCTAAAGGAAGGTTCAACTCTGTGAGTTGAGTACACACACACAAAGAAGCTACTGAGAATTCTTTTGTCAAGAATTATAAGAAGAAATCCCGTTTCCAACCAAGGCCTCAAAGAGTTCCAAATATCCACTTGCACACTGCACAAACTAAGTCTTTCCATACTGCTCTATGCAAAGAAATGTTCAAATCTGTGAGTTTAATACACACATCACAAAGCAGTTTCTGAGAATGATACTGTCTAGTTTTTATACGAAGATATTTCCTTTTGTACCATTGGCCTCATACTGCTAGAATTTTCCACTTGCAAATTCCACAAAAAGAGTGTTTCCAATCCGCTCTGTCTAAAGGAAGGTTCAACTCTCTGATTTGAATACATACATCCCAAAAGAAGTTACTGAGAATTCTTCTGTCTAGCATTATGTGAAGAAATCCCGTTTCCAACGAAAGCCTCAAAGAGGCCCAAATATCCAGTTGCAGCATTTACAAACTGACTGTTTCCAAACTCATCTATGAAAAGAAAGGTTAAACTCTGTGAGTTGAATGCACATATCACAAAGTAGTTCCTGAGAATGATTCTGTCTAGTTTTTATACGAAGATATTTCCTTTTCCACCAATGGCCTCAAAGTGCTTGAAATCTCCCCTTGCAAATTCCACAGACAAGTGTCTCAAATCTGCACTGTCTAAAGGAAGGTTCAACCCTGTGAGTTGAATACACACACACAGAAAAAAATTCACTGAGAATTCTATTGTCTATCATTACACGAAGAAATCCCGTTTACTACGAAGGCCTCAAAGAGGTCCAAATATCCAGCTGCAGACATTTCAAACTGAGTGTTTCCAAAGTGCTCTATGAAAAGAAGTGTTAAACACTGTGAGTTCAATGCACACATCCCAAAGCAGTTTCTGAGAATGATTCCGTCTATTTTTTCTACGAAGATATTTCCTTTTCTACCGTTGGCCTCAAAGCGCTTGAAATCTCCACTTGCAAATTCCACAAAAAGAGAGTTTCAAATCTGCTCTGTCTAAAGGAAGGTTCAACTCTGTGAGTTGAATACACACCACAAAAAGAAGTTACTGAGAATTCTTCTGTCTAGCATTATATGAAAAATCCCGTTTCCAACGAAGGCCACAAAGAGGTCCAAATATCCACTTGCAGATTCTGCAAAAAGAGTGTTTCCAAACTGCTCTATGAAAAGAAACGTTAAACTCTGTGAGTTGAACGCAAACATCACAAAGTAGTTTCTGAGAATGACTCCGTCTAGTTTTTATACGAAGATATTTCCTTTTCTACCATTCACTTCAAAGCGCTTGAAGTCTCCCCCTGAAAATTCCAGAAAAAGTGTTTCCAATCTGCTCCGCCTAAAGGAAGCTTCAACTCTGTGAGTTGAATACCCACAACCCAAAGAAGTTACTGAGAATTCTTCTGTCTAGCATTATATGAAGAAATCCCGTTTCCAACGAAGGCCTCAAATACATCCAAATATCCAGTTGCTGACTTTACAAACTGAGTGTTTCCAAACTGCTCTATGAAAAGAAAGGTTAAACACTGTGAGTTGAACACACACGTACCAAAGTAGTTTCTGAGAATGATTCTGTCTAGTTTGCATACGAAGATATTTCCTTTTCTACCATTGGCCTCAAAGCTTTGAAATCTCCACTTGCAAATTCCACAAAAAGAGAGTTTCAACTCTGCTGTTTCTAAAGGAAAGTTCAACTCTGAGAGTTGAATACACACCAGAAAAAGCAGTTACTGAGAAGTCTTCTGTCTAGCATTATATGAAGAAATCCCATTTCCAACGAAGACTTCAAAGAGGTCCAAATATCCACTTGCAGATTCTGCAAAAAGAGTGTTTCGAAACAACTGTATGAAAAGAAAGGTTAAACACTGTGAGTTGAACGCACACATTGCAGAGCAGTTTCTGAGAATGATTCCGTCTAATTATTATACGAAGGTATTTCCTTTTCTATCATTGGCCTCAAAGCGCTTGATACCTCCACCTGAAAATTCCACAAAAAGAGTGTTTCCAATCTACTCTGTCTAAAGGAACGTTCAACTCTGTGAGTTGAATACACACACACAGAAAGAATTCACTGAGAATTCTTCTGTCTGGCATTACATGAAGAAATCCCGTTTCCAACGAAGGCCTCAAAGAGGTCCAAATATCCACTTGCAGATTCTGCAAAAAGAGTGTTTCAAAACCGCTCCATTAAAAGGAATGTTGAACTCTGTGAGTTGAATGCAAACATCACAACTCAGTTTCTGAGAATGCTTCTGACTAGATTTTATGGTAAGATATTTCCTTTTCTACCGTAGGCTTCAATGCCCTCTAAATACACCCTTGCAAATTCTACAAAGAGACTGTTTCATAACTGCTCTATAGGAAGAAAGGTTCAACTCTGTGAGTTGAATGCAGAGATCACAACGTGGTTTCTGCGAATGATTCTTTGTAGTTTTTACATGAAGATATTTCGTTGTCAACCGTAGGCTTCAAAGCACTCAAAGTATTCACTTGCAACTTTTACAAAAAGAGTGTTAGAAAACTGCTCTTTCCAAAGTAAGGTTCAACTCTGTGTGTTGAATGCACACATAACAATCAAGAAGTTTCTGAGAATTCTTCTGTCCTGGTTTATATGAAAAAATCCCGTTTCCAACGAAGGCCTCAAAGACGTTTAAATATCCACTTGCAGACTTCACAAACAGAGGGTTTCCAAACTGCTCTATGAAAAGAAAGGTTAAACCTTGTGAGTTGAACGCACACATCACAAAGTAGCTTCTGAGAATGATACTGTCTAGTTTTTATACGAAGATATTTCCTTTCTACCATTGGCGTCAAAGCGCTAGAATTCTCCACTTGCAAATTCCACAAAAAGAGTGTTTCCAATCTGCTCTGTCTAAAGGAAGGTTCAACTCTGTGAGTTGAATACACACACACAAAGAAGCTACTGAGAATTCTTTTGTCAAGAATTATAAGAAGAAATCCCGTTTCCAACGAAGGCCTCAAAGAGTACCAAATATCCACTTGCACACTGCACAAACTAAGTCTTTCCAAACTGCTCTATGCAAAGAAATGTTCAACTCTGTGAGTTTAATACACACATCACAAAGCAGTTTCTGAGAATGATACTGTCTAGTTTTTATACGAAGATATTTCCTTTTGTACCATTGGCCTCATACTGCTAGAATTTTCCACTTGCAAATTCCACAAAAAGAGTGTTTCCAATCCGCTCTGTCTAAAGGAAGGTTCAACTCTCTGATTTGAATACATACATCCCAAAAGAAGTTACTGAGAATTCTTCTGTCTAGCATTATGTGAAGAAATCCCGTTTCCAACGAAAGCCTCAAAGAGGTCCAAATATCCAGTTGCAGAATTTACAAACTGACTGTTTCCAAACTCATCTATGAAAAGAAAGGTTAAACTCTGGGAGTTGAATGCACATATCACAAAGTAGTTCCTGAGAATGATTCTGTCTAGTTTTCATACGAAGATATTTCCTTTTCCACCAATGGCCTCAAAGTGCTTGAAATCTCCCCTTGCAAATTCCACAGACAAGTGTTTCAAATCTGCACTGTCTAAAGGAAGGTTCAACCCTGTGAGTTGAATACACACACACAGAAAAAAATTCACTGAGAATTCTATTGTCTATCATTACACGAAGAAATCCCGTTTACTACGAAGGCCTCAAAGAGGTCCAAATATCCAGCTGCAGACATTACAAACTGAGTGTTTCCAAAGTGCTCTATGAAAAGAAGTGTTAAACACTGTGAGTTCAATGCACACATCCCAAAGCAGTTTCTGAGAATGATTCCGTCTATTTTTTCTACGAAGATATTTCCTTTTCTGCCGTTGGCCTCAAAGCGCTTGAAATCTCCACTTGCAAATTCCACAAAAAGAGAGTTTCAAATCTGCTCTGTCTAAAGGAAGGTTCAACTCTGTGAGTTGAATACACACCACAAAAAGAAGTTACTGAGAATTCTTCTGTCTAGCATTATATGAAAAATCCCGTTTCCAACGAAGGCCACAAAGAGGTCCAAATATCCACTTGCAGATTCTGCAAAAAGAGTGTTTCCAAACTGCTCTATGAAAAGAAACGTTAAACTCTGTGAGTTGAACGCAAACATCACAAAGTAGTTTCTGAGAATGACTCCGTCTAGTTTTTATACGAAGATATTTCCTTTTCTACCATTCACTTCAAAGCGCTTGAAGTCTCCCCCTGAAAATTCCACAAAAAGTGTTTCCAATCTGCTCCGCCTAAAGGAAGCTTCAACTCTGTGAGTTGAATACCCACAACCCTAAGAAGTTACTGAGAATTCTTCTGTCTAGCATTATATGAAGAAATCCCGTTTCCAACGAAGGCCTCAAATACATCCAAATATCCAGTTGCTGACTTTACAAACTGAGTGTTTCCAAACTGCTCTATGAAAAGAAAGGTTAAACACTGTGAGTTGAACACACACGTACCAAAGTAGTTTCTGAGAATGATTCTGTCTAGTTTGCATACGAAGATATTTCCTTTTCTACCATTGGCCTCAAAGCTTTGAAATCTCCACTTGCAAATTCCACAAAAAGAGAGTTTCAACTCTGCTGTTTCTAAAGGAAAGTTCAACTCTGAGAGTTGAATACACACCAGAAAAAGCAGTTACTGAGAAGTCTTCTGTCTAGCATTATATGAAGAAATCCCATTTCCAACGAAGACTTCAAAGAGGTCCAAATATCCACTTGCAGATTCTGCAAAAAGAGTGTTTCGAAACAACTGTATGAAAAGAAAGGTTAAACACTGTGAGTTGAACGCACACATTGCAAAGCAGTTTCTGAGAATGATTCCGTCTAATTATTATACGAAGGTATTTCCTTTTCTATCATTGGCCTCAAAGCGCTTGATGCCTCCACCTGAAAATTCCACAAAAAGAGTGTTTCCAATCTACTCTGTCTAAAGGAACGTTCAACTCCGTGAGTTGAATACACACACACAGAAAGAATTCACTGAGAATTCTTCTGTCTGGCATTACATGAAGAAATCCCGTTTCCAACGAAGGCCTCAAAGAGGTCCAAATATCCACTTGCAGATTCTGCAAAAAGAGTGTTTCAAAACCGCTCCATTTAAAGGAATGTTGAACTCTGTGAGTTGAATGCAAACATCACAACTCAGTTTCTGAGAATGCTTCTGACTAGATTTTATGGTAAGATATTTCCTTTTCTACCGTAGGCTTCAATGCCCTCTAAATACACCCTTGCAAATTCTACAAAGAGACTGTTTCATAACTGCTCTATAGGAAGAAAGGTTCAACTCTGTGAGTTGAATGCAGAGATCACAACGTGGTTCTGCGAATGATTCTTTGTAGTTTTTACATGAAGGATATTTCGTTGTCAACCGTAGGCTTCAAAGCACTCAAAGTATTCACTTGGAACTTTTACAAAAAGAGTGTTAGAAAACTGCTCTTTCCAAAGTAAGGTTCAACTCTGTGAGTTGAATGCACACATAACAATCAAGAAGTTTCTGAGAATTCTTCTGTCCTGGTTTATATGAACAAATCCCGTTTCCAATGAAGGCCTCAAAGACGTTTAAATATCCACTTGCAGACTTCACAAACAGAGTGTTTCCAAACTGCTCTATGAAAAGAAAGGTTAAACTCTGTGAATTGAACGCACACATCACAAAGTAGTTTCTGAGAATGATACTGTCTAGTTTTTATACGAAGATATTTCCTTTCTACCATTGGCGTCAAAGCGCTAGAATTCTCCACTTGCAAATTCCACAAAAAGAGTGTTTCCAATCTGCTCTGTCTAAAGGAAGGTTCAACTCTGTGAGTTGAATACACACACACAAAGAAGCTACTGAGAATTCTTTTGTCAAGAATTATAAGAAGAAATCCCGTTTCCAACGAAGGCCTCAAAGAGTTCCAAATATCCACTTTCACACTGCACAAACTAAGTCTTTCCAAACTGCTCTATGCAAAGAAATGTTCAACTCTGTGAGTTTAATACACACATCACAAAGCAGTTTCTGAGAATGATACTGTCTAGTTTTTATACGAAGATATTTCCTTTTGTACCATTGGCCTCATACTGCTAGAATTTTCCACTTGCAAATTCCACAAAAAGAGTGTTTCCAATCCGCTCTGTCTAAAGGAAGGTTCAACTCTCTGATTTGAATACATACATCCCAAAAGAAGTTACTGAGAATTCTTCTGTCTAGCATTATGTGAAGAAATCCCGTTTCCAACGAAAGCCTCAAAGAGGTCCAAATATCCAGTTGCAGAATTTACAAACTGACTGTTTCCAAACTCATCTATGAAAAGAAAGGTTAAACTCTGGGAGTTGAATGCACATATCACAAAGTAGTTCCTGAGAATGATTCTGTCTAGTTTTTATACGAAGATATTTCCTTTTCCACCAATGGCCTCAAAGTGCTTGAAATCTCCCCTTGCAAATTCCACAGACAAGTGTTTCAAATCTGCACTGTCTAAAGGAAGGTTCAACCCTGTGAGTTGAATACACACACACAGAAAAAAATTCACTGAGAATTCTATTGTCTATCATTACACGAAGAAATCCCGTTTACTACGAAGGCCTCAAAGAGGTCCAAATATCCAGCTGCAGACATTACAAACTGAGTGTTTCCAAAGTGCTCTATGAAAAGAAGTGTTAAACACTGTTAGTTCAATGCACACATCCCAAAGCAGTTTCTGAGAATGATTCCGTCTATTTTCTCTACGAAGATATTTCCTTTTCTGCCGTTGGCCTCAAAGCGCTTGAAATCTCCACTTGCAAATTCCACAAAAAGAGAGTTTCAAATCTGCTCTGTCTAAAGGAAGGTTCAACTCTGTGAGTTGAATACACACCACAAAAAGAAGTTACTGAGAATTCTTCTGTCTAGCATTATATGAAAAATCCCGTTTCCAACGAAGGCCACAAAGAGGTCCAAATATCCACTTGCAGATTCTGCAAAAAGAGTGTTTCCAAACTGCTCTATGAAAAGAAACGTTAAACTCTGTGAGTTGAACGCAAACATCACAAAGTAGTTTCTGAGAATGACTCCGTCTAGTTTTTATACGAAGATATTTCCTTTCCTACCATTCACTTCAAAGCGCTTGAAGTCTCCCCCTGAAAATTCCACAAAAAGTGTTTCCAATCTGCTCCGCCTAAAGGAAGCTTCAACTCTGTGAGTTGAATACCCACAACCCAAAGAAGTTACTGAGAATTCTTCTGTCTAGCATTATATGAAGAAATCCCGTTTCCAACGAAGGCCTCAAATACATCCAAATATCCAGTTGCTGACTTTACAAACTGAGTGTTTCCAAACTGCTCTATGAAAAGAAAGGTTAAACACTGTGAGTTGAACACACACGTACCAAAGTAGTTTCTGAGAATGATTCTGTCTAGTTTGCATACGAAGATATTTCCTTTTCTACCATTGGCCTCAAAGCTCTGAAATCTCCACTTGCAAATTCCACAAAAAGAGAGTTTCAAATCTGCTGTTTCTAAAGGAAAGTTCAACTCTGAGAGTTGAATACACACCAGAAAAAGCAGTTACTGAGAAGTCTTCTGTCTAGCATTATATGAAGAAATCCCATTTCCAACGAAGACTTCAAAGAGGTCCAAATATCCACTTGCAGATTCTGCAAAAAGAGTGTTTCGAAACAACTGTATGAAAAGAAAGGTTAAACACTGTGAGTTGAACGCACACATTGCAAAGCAGTTTCTGAGAATGATTCCGTCTAATTATTATACGAAGGTATTTCCTTTTCTATCATTGGCCTCAAAGCGCTTGATACCTCCACCTGAAAATTCCACAAAAAGAGTGTTTCCAATCTACTCTGTCTAAAGGAACGTTCAACTCTGTGAGTTGAATACACACACACAGAAAGAATTCACTGAGAATTCTTCTGTCTGGCATTACATGAAGAAATCCCGTTTCCAACGAAGGCCTCAAAGAGGTCCAAATATCCACTTGCAGATTCTGCAAAAAGAGTGTTTC
Source organism: Homo sapiens (assembly GCF_000001405.40). Lineage (NCBI taxonomy): Eukaryota > Metazoa > Chordata > Mammalia > Primates > Hominidae > Homo > Homo sapiens. Next base: position 92,008,621 of record NC_000003.12, on the reverse strand, counting down.
AAAACCGCTCCATTAAAAGGAATGTTGAACTCTGTGAGTTGAATGCAAACATCGCAACTCAGTTGCTGAGAATGCTTCTGACTAGATTTTATGGTAAGATATTTCCTTTTCTACCGTAGGCTTCAATGCCCTCTAAATACACCCTTGCAAATTCTACAAAGAGACTGTTTCATAACTGCTCTATAGGAAGAAAGGTTGAACTCTGTGAGTTGAATGCAGAGATCACAACGTGGTTTCTGCGAATGATTCTTTGTAGTTTTTACATGAAGATATTTCGTTGTCAACCGTAGGCTTCAAAGCACTCAAAGTATTCACTTGGAACTTTTACAAAAAGAGTGTTAGAAAACTGCTCTTTCCAAAGTAAGGTTCAACTCTGTGAGTTGAATGCACACATAACAATCAAGAAGTTTCTGAGAATTCTTCTGTCCTGGTTTATATGAAAAAATCCCGTTTCCAACGAAGGCCTCAAAGACGTTTAAATATCCACTTGCAGACTTCACAAACAGAGGGTTTCCAAACTGCTCTATGAAAAGAAAGGTTAAACTCTGTGAGTTGAACGCACACATCACAAAGTAGCTTCTGAGAATGATACTGTCTAGTTTTTATACGAAGATATTTCCTTTCTACCATTGGCGTCAAAGCGCTAGAATTCTCCACTTGCAAATTCCACAAAAAGAGTGTTTCCAATCTGCTCTGTCTAAAGGAAGGTTCAACTCTGTGAGTTGAATACACACACACAAAGAAGCTACTGAGAATTCTTTTGTCAAGAATTATAAGAAGAAATCCCGTTTCCAACGAAGGCCTCAAAAAGTTCCAAATATCCACTTGCACACTGCACAAACTAAGTCTTTCCAAACTGCTCTATGCAAAGAAATGTTCAACTCTGTGAGTTTAATACACACATCACAAAGCAGTTTCTGAGAATGATACTGTCTAGTTTTTATACGAAGATATTTCCTTTTGTACCATTGGCCTCATACTGCTAGAATTTTCCACTTGCAAATTCCACAAAAAGAGTGTTTCCAATCCGCTCTGTCTAAAGGAAGGTTCAACTCTCTGATTTGAATACATACATCCCAAAAGAAGTTCCTGAGAATTCTTCTGTCTAGCATTATGTGAAGAAATCCCGTTTCCAACGAAAGCCTCAAAGAGGTCCAAATATCCAGTTGCAGAATTTACAAACTGACTGTTTCCAAACTCATCTATGAAAAGAAAGGTTAAACTCTGGGAGTTGAATGCACATATCACAAAGTAGTTCCTGAGAATGATTCTGTCTAGTTTTTATACGAAGATATTTCCTTTTCCACCAATGGCCTCAAAGTGCTTGAAATCTCCCCTTGCAAATTCCACAGACAAGTGTTTCAAATCTGCACTGTCTAAAGGAAGGTTCAACCCTGTGAGTTGAATACACACACACAGAAAAAATTCACTGAGAATTCATTGTCTATCATTACACGAAGAAATCCCGTTTACTACGAAGGCCTCAAAGAGGTCCAAATATCCAGCTGCAGACATTACAAACTGAGTTTTTCCAAAGTGCTCTATGAAAAGAAGTGTTAAACACTGTGAGTTCAATGCACACATCCCAAAGCAGTTTCTGAGAATGATGCCGTCTATTTTTTCTACGAAGATATTTCCTTTTCTGCCGTTGGCCTCAAAGCGCTTGAAATCTCCACTTGCAAATTCCACAAAAAGAGAGTTTCAAATCTGCTCTGTCTAAAGGAAGGTTCAACTGCTGTGAGTTGAATACACACCACAAAAAGAAGTTACTGAGAATTCTTCTGTCTAGCATTATATGAAGAAATCCCGTTTCCAACAAAGGTCTCAAAGAGGTCTAAATATTCACTTGCAGACTTTACAAACAGAGTGTTTCCAAAATGCTCCATCACAAGAAAGGTTAAACTCTGTGAGTTGAAAGCACACATCACAAAGTAGTTTCTGAAAATGATTCTCTCTAGTTTATATACGAAGATATTTCCTTTTCCAATATTGGCCTCAAAGCCCTTGAAATCTCCACTTCCAAATTCCTCAAAAAAGTGTTTCAAATCTGCTCTGTCTAAAGGAAGATTCACCGCTGTGAGTTGAATACACACAACACGAAGAAATTACTTAGAATTCTACTGTCCATCATTACACAAAGAAATCCCGTTTCCAACGAAGGCCTCAAAGAGGTCCAAATATCCACTTGCAGATTCTGCAAAAAGAGTGTTTCAAAACCGCTCTATTAAAAGGAATGTTGAACTCTGTGAGTTGAACGCAAACATCACAACTCAGTTTCTGAGAATGCTTCTGACTAGATTTTATGGTCAGATATTTCCTTTTCTACCGTAGGCTTCAATGCCTTCTAAATACACCCTTGCAAATTCTACAAAGAGACTGTTTAATAACTGCTCTATAGGAAGAAACGTTGAACTCTGTGAGTTGAATGCAGAGATCACAACGTGGTTTCGGCGAATGATTCTTCGCAGTTTTTACATGAAGATATTTCGTTGTCTACCGTAGGCTTCAAAGCACTCAAAGTATTCACTTGGAACTTTTACAAAAAGAGTGTTAGAAAACTGCTCTTTCCAAAGTAAGGTTCAACTCTGTGAGTTGAATGCACACATAACAAACAAGAAGTTTCTGAGAATTCTTCTGTCCTGGTTTATATGAAAAAATCCCGTTTCCAACGAAGGCCTCAAAGACGTTTAAATATCCACTTGCAGACTTCACAAACAGAGTGTTTCCAAACTGCTCTATGAAAAGAAAGGTTAAACTCTGTGAGTTGAACGCACACATCACAAAGTAGCTTCTGAGAATGATTACTGTCTAGTTTTTATACGAAGCATATTTCCTTTCTACCATTGGCGTCAAAGCGCTAGAATTCTCCACTTGCAAATTCCACAAAAAGAGTGTTTCCAATCTGCTCTGTCTAAAGGAAGGTTCAACTCTGTGAGTTGAATACACACACACAAAGAAGCTACTGAGAATTCTTTTGTCAAGAATTATAAGAAGAAATCCCGTTTCCAACGAAGGCCTCAAAGAGTTCCAAATATCCACTTGCACACTGCACAAACTAAGTCTTTCCAAACTGCTCTATGCAAAGAAATGTTCAACTCTGTGAGTTTAATACACACATCACAAAGCAGTTTCTGAGAATGATACTGTCTAGTTTTTATACGAAGATATTTCCTTTTGTACCATTGGCCTCATACTGCTAGAATTTTCCACTTGCAAATTCCACAAAAAGAGTGTTTCCAATCCGCTCTGTCTAAAGGAAGGTTCAACTCTCTGATTTGAATACATACATCCCAAAAGAAGTTCCTGAGAATTCTTCTGTCTAGCATTATGTGAAGAAATCCCGTTTCCAACGAAAGCCTCAAAGAGGTCCAAATATCCAGTTGCAGAATTTACAAACTGACTGTTTCCAAACTCATCTATGAAAAGAAAGGTTAAACTCTGGGAGTTGAATGCACATATCACAAAGTAGTTCCTGAGAATGATTCTGTCTAGTTTTCATACGAAGATATTTCCTTTTCCACCAATGGCCTCAAAGTGCTTGAAATCTCCCCTTGCAAATTCCACAGACAAGTGTCTCAAATCTGCACTGTCTAAAGGAAGGTTCAACCCTGTGAGTTGAATACACACACACAGAAAAAAATTCACTGAGAATTCTATTGTCTATCATTACACGAAGAAATCCCGTTTACTACGAAGGCCTCAAAGAGGTCCAAATATCCAGCTGCAGACATTACAACCTGAGTGTTTCCAAAGTGCTCTATGAAAAGAAGTGTTAAACACTGTGAGTTCAATGCACACATCCCAAAGCAGTTTCTGAGAATGATTCCGTCTATTTTTTCTACGAAGATATTTCCTTTTCTACCGTTGGCCTCAAAGCGCTTGAAATCTCCACTTGCAAATTCCACAAAAAGAGAGTTTCAAATCTGCTCTTTCTAAAGGAAGGTTCAACTCTGTGAGTTGAATACACACCACAAAAAGAAGTTACTGAGAATTCTTCTGTCTAGCATTATATGAAAAATCCCGTTTCCAACGAAGGCCACAAAGAGGTCCAAATATCCACTTGCAGATTCTGCAAAAAGAGTGTTTCCAAACTGCTCTATGAAAAGAAACGTTAAACTCTGTGAGTTGAACGCAAACATCACAAAGTAGTTTCTGAGAATGACTCCGTCTAGTTTTTATACGAAGATATTTCCTTTTCTACCATTCACTTCAAAGCGCTTGAAGTCTCCCCCTGAAAATTCCACAAAAAGTGTTTCCAATCTGCTCCGCCTAAAGGAAGCTTCAACTCTGTGAGTTGAATACCCACAACCCAAAGAAGTTACTGAGAAATTCTTCTGTCTAGCACTATATGAAGAAATCCCGTTTCCAACGAAGGCCTCAAATACATCCAAATATCCAGTTGCTGACTTTACAAACTGAGTGTTTCCAAACTGCTCTATGAAAAGAAAGGTTAAACACTGTGAGTTGAACACACACGTACCAAAGTAGTTTCTGAGAATGATTCTGTCTAGTTGGCATACGAAGATATTTCCTTTTCTACCATTGGCCTCAATGCTTTGAAATCTCCACTTGCAAATTCCACAAAAAGAGAGTTTCATATCTGCTGTTTCTAAAGGAAAGTTCAACTCTGAGAGTTGAATACACACCAGAAAAACCAGTTACTGAGAAGTCTTCTGTCTAGCATTATATGAAGAAATCCCATTTCCAACGAAGACTTCAAAGAGGTCCAAATATCCACTTCCAGATTCCGCAAAAAGGGTGTTTCGAAACAACTGTATGAAAAGAAAGGTTAAACACTGTGAGTTGAAGGCACACATTGCAAAGCAGTTTCTGAGAATGATTCCATCTAATTATTATACGAAGGTATTTCCTTTTCTATCATGGGCCTCAAAGCGCTTGATACCTCCACGTGAACATTCCACAAAAAGAGTGTTTCCAATCTACTCTGTCTAAGGGAACGTTCAACTCTGTGAGTTGAGTACACACACACAGAAAGAATTCACTGAGAGTTCTTCTGTCTGGGATTACATGAAGAAATCCCGTTTCCAACGAAGGCCTCAAAGAGGTCCAAATATCCACTTGCAGATTCTGGAAAAAGAGTGTTTCAAAACCGCTCTATGAAAAGGAATGTTGAACTCTGTGAGTTGAATGCAAACATCACAACTCAGTTTCTGAGAATGCTTCTGACTAGATTTTATGGTCAGATATTTCCTTTTCTACCGTAGGCCTCAATGCCCTCTAAATACACCCTTGCAAATTCTACAAAGAGACTGTTTAATAACTGCTCTATAGGAAGAAAGGTTGAACTCTGTGAGTTGAATGCAGAGATCACAACGTGGTTTCGGCGAATGATTATTTGCAGTTTTTACATGAAGATATTTCGTTGTCTACCGTAGGCTTCAAAGCACTCAAAGTATTCACTTGGAACTTTTACAAAAAGAGTGTTAGAAAACTGCTCTTTCCGAAGTAAGGTTCAACTCTGTGAGTTGAATGCACACATAAAAAACAAGAAGTTTCTGAGAATTCTTCTGTCCTGGTTTATATGAAAAAATCCCGTTTCCAACGAAGGCCTCAAAGACGTTTAAATATCCACTTGCAGACTTCACAAACAGAGTGTTTCCAAACTGCTCTATGAAAAGAAAGGTTAAACTCTGTGAGTTGAACGCACACATCACAAAGTAGTTTCTGAGAATGATACTGTCTAGTTTTTATACGGAGATATTTCCTTTCCTTCCATTGGCGTCAAAGCGCTAGAATTCTCCACTTGCAAATTCCACAAAAAGAGTGTTTCCAATCTGCTCTGTCTAAAGGAAGGTTCAACTCTGTGAGTTGAATACACACACACAAAGAAGCTACTGAGAATTCTTTTGTCAGGAATTATAAGAAGAAATCCCGTTTCCAACGAAGGCCTCAAAGAGTTCCAAATATCCACTTGCACACTGTACAAACTAAGTCTTTCCAAACTGCTCTATGCAAAGAAATGTTCAACTCTGTGAGTTTAATGCACACATCACAAAGCAGTTTCTGAGAATGATTCCGTCTAGTTTTTATACGAAGATAGCCTTTTCTACCATTGGCCTCAAGGCTCTTGAAATCTCCACCTGAAAATTCCGCAAAAAGCGTGTTTCCAATCCGCTCTGTCTAAAGGAAGGTTCAACTCTCTGAGTTGAATACATACATCCCAAAAGAAGTTACTGCGAATTCTTCTGTCTAGCATTATGTGAAGAAATCCCGTTTCCAACAAAAGCCTCCAAGAGGTCCAAATATCCAGTTGCAGAATTTACAAACTGACTGTTTCCAAACTCATCTATGAAAAGAAAGGTTAAACTCTGTGAGTTGAATGCACATATCACAAAGTAGTTCCTGAGAATGATTCTGTCTAGTTTTTATACGAAGATATTTCCTTTTCCACCAATGGCCTCAAAGTGCTTGAAATCTCCCCTTGCAAATTCCACAGAAAAGTGTTTCAAATCTGCACTGTCTAAAGGAAGGTTCAACCCTGTGAGTTGAATACACACACACAGAAAAAAATTCACTGAGAATTCTATTGTCTATCATTACACGAAGAAATCCCGTTTACTACGAAGGCCTCAAAGAGGTCCAAATATCCAGCTGCAGACATTCCAAACTGACTGTTTCCAAAGTGCTCTATGAAAAGAAGTGTTAAACACTGTGAGTTCAATGCACACATCCCAAAGCAGTTTCTGAGAATGATTCCGTCTATTTTCTCTACGAAGATATTTTCTTTTCTACCGTTGGCCTCAAAGCGCTTGAAATCTCCACTTGCAAATTCCACAAAAAGAGAGTTTCAAATCTGCTCTGTCTAAAGGAAGGTTCAACTCTGTGAGTTGAATACACACCACAAAAAGAAGTTACTGAGAATTCTTCTGTCTAGCATTATATGAAAAATCCCGTTTCCAACGAAGGCCACAAAGAGGTCCAAATATCCACTTGCAGATTCTGCAAAAAGAGTGTTTCCAAACTGCTCTATGAAAAGAAACGTTAAACTCTGTGAGTTGAACGCAAACATCACAAAGTAGTTTCTGAGAATGACTCCGTCTAGTTTTTATACGAAGATATTTCCTTTCCTACCATTCACTTCAAAGCGCTTGAAGTCTCCCCCTGAAAATTCCACAAAAAGTGTTTCCAATCTGCTCCGCCTAAAGGAAGCTTCAACTCTGTGACTTGAATACCCACAACCCAAAGAAGTTACTGAGAATTCTTCTGTCTAGCATTATATGAAGAAATCCCGTTTCCAACGAAGGCCTCAAATACATCCAAATATCCAGTTGCTGACTTTACAAACTGAGTGTTTCCAAACTGCTCTATGAAAAGAAAGGTTAAACACTGTGAGTTGAACACACACGTACCAAAGTAGTTTCTGAGAATGATTCTGTCTAGTTTGCATACGAAGATATTTCCTTTTCTACCATTGGCCTCAAAGCTCTGAAATCTCCACTTGCAAATTCCACAAAAAGAGAGTTTCAAATCTGCTGTTTCTAAAGGAAAGTTCAACTCTGAGAGTTGAATACACACCAGAAAAAGCAGTTACTGAGAAGTCTTCTGTCTAGCATTATATGAAGAAATCCCATTTCCAACGAAGACTTCAAAGAGGTCCAAATATCCACTTGCAGATTCTGCAAAAAGAGTGTTTCGAAACAACTGTATGAAAAGAAAGGTTAAACACTGTGAGTTGAACGCACACATTGCAAAGCGGTTTCTGAGAATGATTCCGTCTAATTATTATACGAAGGTATTTCCTTTTCTATCATTGGCCTCAAAGCGCTTGATACCTCCACCTGAAAATTCCACAAAAAGAGTGTTTCCAATCTACTCTGTCTAAAGGAACGTTCAACTCTGTGAGTTGAATACACACACACAGAAAGAATTCACTGAGAATTCTTCTGTCTGGCATTACATGAAGAAATCCCGTTTCCAACGAAGGCCTCAAAGAGGTCCAAATATCCACTTGCAGATTCTGCAAAAAGAGTGTTTCAAAACCGCTCCATTAAAAGGAATGTTGAACTCTGTGAGTTGAATGCAAACATCACAACTCAGTTGCTGAGAATGCTTCTGACTAGATTTTATGGTAAGATATTTCCTTTTCTACCGTAGGCTTCAATGCCCTCTAAATACACCCTTGCAAATTCTACAAAGAGACTGTTTCATAACTGCTCTATAGGAAGAAAGGTTCAACTCTGTGAGTTGAATGCAGAGATCACAACGTGGTTTCTGCGAATGATTCTTTGTAGTTTTTACATGAAGATATTTCGTTGTCAACCGTAGGCTTCAAAGCACTCAAAGTATTCACTTGGAACTTTTACAAAAAGAGTGTTAGAAAACTGCTCTTTCCAAAGTAAGGTTCAACTCTGTGAGTTGAATGCACACATAACAATCAAGAAGTTTCTGAGAATTCTTCTGTCCTGGTTTATATGAAAAAATCCCGTTTCCAACAAAGGCCTCAAAGACGTTTAAATATCCACTTGCAGACTTCACAAACAGAGTGTTTCCAAACTGCTCTATGAAAAGAAAGGTTAAACTCTGTGAGTTCAACGCACACATCACAAAGTAGCTTCTGAGAATGATACTGTCTAGTTTTTATACGAAGATATTTCCTTTCTACCATTGGCGTCAAAGCGCTAGAATTCTCCACTTGCAAATTCCACAAAAAGAGTGTTTCCAATCTGCTCTGTCTAAAGGAAGGTTCAACTCTCTGAGTTGAATACACAGACACAAAGAAGCTACTGAGAATTCTTTTGTCAAGAATTATAAGAAGAAATCCCGTTTCCAACGAAGGCCTCAAAGAGTTCCAAATATGCACTTGCACACTGCACAAACTAAGTCTTTCCAAACTGCTCTATGCAAAGAAATGTTCAACTCTGTGAGTTTAATACACACATCACAAAGCAGTTTCTGAGAATGATACTGTCTAGTTTTTATACGAAGATATTTCCTTTTGTACCATTGGCCTCATACTGCTAGAATTTTCCACTTGCAAATTCCACAAAAAGAGTGTTTCCAATCCGCTCTGTCTAAAGGAAGGTTCAACTCTCTGATTTGAATACATACATCCCAAAAGAAGTTACTGAGAATTCTTCTGTCTAGCATTATGTGAAGAAATCCCGTTTCCAACGAAAGCCTCAAAGAGGTCCAAATATCCAGTTGCAGAATTTACAAACTGACTGTTTCCAAACTCATCTATGAAAAGAAAGGTTAAACTCTGGGAGTTGAATGCACATATCACAAAGTAGTTCCTGAGAATGATTCTGTCTAGTTTTTATACGAAGATATTTCCTTTTCCACCAATGGCCTCAAAGTGCTTGAAATCTCCCCTTGCAAATTCCACAGACAAGTGTTTCAAATCTGCACTGTCTAAAGGAAGGTTCAACCCTGTGAGTTGAATACACACACACACAGAAACAAATTCACTGAGAATTCTATTGTCTATCATTACACGAAGAAATCCCGTTTACTACGAAGGCCTCAAAGAGGTCCAAATATACAGCTGCAGACATTACAAACTGAGTGTTTCCAAAGTGCTCTATGAAAAGAAGTGTTAAACACTGTGAGTTCAATGCACACATCCCAAAGCAGTTTCTGAGAATGATTCCGTCTATTTTTTCTACGAATATATTTCCTTTTCTACCGTTGGCCTCAAAGCGCTTGAAATCTCCACTTGCAAATTCCACAAAAAGAGAGTTTCAAATCTGCTCTGTCTAAAGGAAGGTTCAACTCTGTGAGTTGAATACACACCACAAAAAGAAGTTACTGAGAATTCTTCTGTCTAGCATTATATGAAAAATCCCGTTTCCAACGAAGGCCACAAAGAGGTCCAAATATCCACTTGCAGATTCTGCAAAAAGAGTGTTTCCAAACTGCTCTATGAAAAGAAACGTTAAACTCTGTGAGTTGAACGCAAACATCACAAAGTAGTTTCTGAGAATGACTCTGTCTAGTTTATATACGAAGATATTTCCTTTTCTACCATTCACTTCAAAGCGCTTGAAGTCTCCCCCTGAAAATTCCACAAAAAGTGTTTCCAATCTGCTCCGCCTAAAGGAAGCTTCAACTCTGTGAGTTGAATAGCCACAACCCTAAGAAGTTACTGAGAATTCTTCTGTCTAGCATTACATGAAGAAATCCCGTTTCCAACGAAGGCCTCAAATACATCCAAATATCCAGTTGCTGACTTTACAAACTGAGTGTTTCCAAACTGCTCTATGAAAAGAAAGGTTAAACACTGTGAGTTGAACACACACGTACCAAAGTAGTTTCTGAGAATGATTCTGTCTAGTTTGCATACGAAGATATTTCCTTTTCTACCATTGGCCTCAAAGCTCTGAAATCTCCACTTGCAAATTCCACAAAAAGAGAGTTTCAAATCTGCTGTTTCTAAAGGAAAGTTCAACTCTGAGAGTTGAATACACACCAGAAAAAGCAGTTACTGAGAAGTCTTCTGTCTAGCATTATATGAAGAAATCCCATTTCCAACGAAGACTTCAAAGAGGTCCAAATATCCACTTGCAGATTCTGCAAAAAGAGTGTTTCGAAACAACTGTATGAAAAGAAAGGTTAAACACTGTGAGTTGAACGCACACATTGCAAAGCAGTTTCTGAGAATGATTCCGTCTAATTATTATACGAAGGTATTTCCTTTTCTATCATTGGCCTCAAAGCGCTTGATACCTCCACCTGAAAATTCCACAAAAAGAGTGTTTCCAATCTACTCTGTCTAAAGGAACGTTCAACTCTGTGAGTTGAATACACACACACAGAAAGAATTCACTGAGAATTCTTCTGTCTGGCATTACATGAAGAAATCCCGTTTCCAACGAAGGCCTCAAAGAGGTCCAAATATCCACTTGCAGATTCTGCAAAAAGAGTGTTTCAAAACCGCTCCATTAAAAGGAATGTTGAACTCTGTGAGTTGAATGCAAACATCACAACTCAGTTGCTGAGAATGCTTCTGACTAGATTTTATGGTAAGATATTTCCTTTTCTACCGTAGGCTTCAATGCCCTCTAAATACACCCTTGCAAATTCTACAAAGAGACTGTTTCATAACTGCTCTATAGGAAGAAAGGTTCAACTCTGTGAGTTGAATGCAGAGATCACAACGTGGTTTCTGCGAATGATTCTTTGTAGTTTTTACATGAAGATATTTCGTTGTCAACCGTAGGCTTCAAAGCACTCAAAGTATTCACTTGGAACTTTTACAAAAAGAGTGTTAGAAAACTGCTCTTTCCAAAGTAAGGTTCAACTCTGTGAGTTGAATGCACACATAACAATCAAGAAGTTTCTGAGAATTCTTCTGTCCTGGTTTATATGAACAAATCCCGTTTCCAACGAAGGCCTCAAAGATGTTTAAATATCCACTTGCAGACTTCACAAACAGAGTGTTTCCAAACTGCTCTATGAAAAGAAAGGTTAAACTCTGTGAGTTGAACGCACACATCACAAAGTAGTTTCTGAGAATGATACTGTCTAGTTTTTATACGAAGATATTTCCTTTCTACCATTGGCGTCAAAGCGCTAGAATTCTCCACTTGCAAATTCCACAAAAAGAGTGTTTCCAATCTGCTCTGTCTAAAGGAAGGTTCAACTCTGTGAGTTGAATACACACACACAAAGAAGCTACTGAGAATTCTTTTGTCAAGAATTATAAGAAGAAATCCCGTTTCCAACGAAGGCCTCAAAGAGTTCCAAATATCCACTTGCACACTGCACAAACTAAGTCTTTCCAAACTGCTCTATGCAAAGAAATGTTCAACTCTGTGAGTTTAATTCACACATCACAAAGCAGTTTCTGAGAATGATACTGTCTAGTTTTTATACGAAGATATTTCCTTTTGTACCATTGGCCTCATACTGCTAGAATTTTCCACTTGCAAATTCCACAAAAAGAGTGTTTCCAATCCGCTCTGTCTAAAGGAAGGTTCAACTCTCTGATTTGAATACATACATCCCAAAAGAAGTTACTGAGAATTCTTCTATCTAGCATTATGTGAAGAAATCCCGTTTCCAACGAAAGCCTCAAAGAGGTCCAAATATCCAGTTGCAGAATTTACAAACTGACTGTTTCCAAACTCATCTATGAAAAGAAAGGTTAAACTCTGGGAGTTGAATGCCCATATCACAAAGTAGTTCCTGAGAATGATTCTGTCTAGTTTTTATACGAAGATATTCCCTTTTCCACCAATGGCCTCAAAGTGCTTGAAATCTCCCCTTGCAAATTCCACAGACAAGTGTTTCAAATCTGCACTGTCTAAAGGAAGGTTCAACCCTGTGAGTTGAATACACACACACAGAAAAAAATTCACTGAGAATTGCTATTGTCTATCATTACACGAAGAAATCCCGTTTACTACGAAGGCCTCAAAGAGGTCCAAATATCCAGCTGCAGACATTATAAACTGAGTGTTTCCAAAGTGCTCTATGAAAAGAAGTGTTAAACACTGTGAGTTCAATGCACACATCCCAAAGCAGTTTCTGAGAATGATTCCGTCTATTTTTTCTACGAAGATATTTCCTTTTCTGCCGTTGGCCTCAAAGCGCTTGAAATCTCCACTTGCAAATTCCACAAAAAGAGAGTTTCAAATCTGCTCTGTCTAAAGGAAGGTTCAACTCTGTGAGTTGAATACACACCACAAAAAGAAGTTACTGAGAATTCTTCTGTCTAGCATTATATGAAAAATCCCGTTTCCAACGAAGGCCACAAAGAGGTCCAAATATCCACTTGCAGATTCTGCAAAAAGAGTGTTTCCAAACTGCTCTATGAAAAGAAACGTTAAACTCTGTGAGTTGAACGCAAACATCACAAAGTAGTTTCTGAGAATGACTCCGTCTAGTTTTTATACGAAGATATTTCCTTTCCTACCATTCACTTCAAAGCGCTTGAAGTCTCCCCCTGAAAATTCCACAAAAAGTGTTTCCAATCTGCTCCGCCTAAAGGAAGCTTCAACTCTGTGACTTGAATACCCACAACCCAAAGAAGTTACTGAGAATTCTTCTGTCTAGCATTATATGAAGAAATCCCGTTTCCAACGAAGGCCTCAAATACATCCAAATATCCAGTTGCTGACTTTACAAACTGAGTGTTTCCAAACTGCTCTATGAAAAGAAAGGTTAAACACTGTGAGTTGAACACACACGTACCAAAGTAGTTTCTGAGAATGATTCTGTCTAGTTTGCATACGAAGATATTTCCTTTTCTACCATTGGCCTCAAAGCTTTGAAATCTCCACTTGCAAATTCCACAAAAAGAGAGTTTCAAATCTGCTGTTTCTAAAGGAAAGTTCAACTCTGAGAGTTGAATACACACCAGAAAAAGCAGTTACTGAGAAGTCTTCTGTCTAGCATTATATGAAGAAATCCCATTTCCAACGAAGACTTCAAAGAGGTCCAAATATCCACTTGCAGATTCTGCAAAAAGAGTGTTTCGAAACAACTGTATGAAAAGAAAGGTTAAACACTGTGAGTTGAATGCACACATTGCAAAGCAGTTTCTGAGAATGATTCCGTCTAATTATTATACGAAGGTATTTCCTTTTCTATCATTGGTCTCAAAGCGCTTGATACCTCCACCTGAAAATTCCACAAAAAGAGTGTTTCCAATCTACTCTGTCTAAAGGAACGTTCAACTCTGTGAGTTGAATACACACACACAGAAAGAATTCACTGAGAATTCTTCTGTCTGGCATTACATGAAGAAATCCCGTTTTCAACGAAGGCCTCAAAGAGGTCCAAATATCCACTTGCAGATTCTGCAAAAAGAGTGTTTCAAAACCGCTCCATGAAAAGGAATGTTGAACTCTGTGAGTTGAATGCAAACATCACAACTCAGTTTCTGAGAATGCTTCTGACTAGATTTTATGGTAAGATATTTCCTTTTCTACCGTAGGCTTCAATGCCCTCTAAATACACCCTTGCAAATTCTACAAAGAGACTGTTTCATAACTGCTCTATAGGAAGAAAGGTTCAACTCTGTGAGTTGAATGCAGAGATCACAACGTGGTTTCTGCGAATGATTCTTTGTAGTTTTTACATGAAGATATTTCGTTGTCAACCGTAGGCTTCAAAGCACTCAAAGTATTCACTTGGAACTTTTACAAAAAGAGTGTTAGAAAACTGCTCTTTCCAAAGTAAGGTTCAACTCTGTGAGTTGAATGCACACATAACAATCAAGAAGTTTCTGAGAATTCTTCTGTCCTGGTTTATATGAAGAAATCCCGTTTCCAACGAAGGCCTCAAAGACGTTTAAATATCCACTTGCAGACTTCACAAACAGAGGGTTTCCAAACTGCTCTATGAAAAGAAAGGTTAAACTCTGTGAGTTGAACGCACACCTCACAAAGTAGCTTCTGAGAATGATACTGTCTAGTTTTTATACGAAGATATTTCCTTTCTACCATTGGCGTCAAAGCGCTAGAATTCTCCACTTGCAAATTCCACAAAAAGAGTGTTTCCAATCTGCTCTGTCTAAAGGAAGGTTCAACTCTGTGAGTTGAATACACACACACAAAGAAGCTACTGAGAATTCTTTTGTCAAGAATTATAAGAAGAAATCCCGTTTCCAACGAAGGCCTCAAAGAGTTCCAAATATCCACTTGCACACTGCACAAACTAAGTCTTTCCAAACTGCTCTATGCAAAGAAATGTTCAACTCTGTGAGTTTAATACACACATCGCAAAGCAGTTTCTGAGAATGATACTGTCTAGTTTTTATACGAAGATATTTCCTTTTGTACCATTGGCCTCATACTGCTAGAATTTTCCACTTGCAAATTCCACAAAAAGAGTGTTTCCAATCCGCTCTGTCTAAAGGAAGGTTCAACTCTCTGATTTGAATACATACATCCCAAAAGAAGTTACTGAGAATTCTTCTGTCTAGCATTATGTGAAGAAATCCCGTTTCCAACGAAAGCCTCAAAGAGGTCCAAATATCCAGTTGCAGAATTTACAAACTGACTGATTCCAAACTCATCTATGAAAAGAAAGGTTAAACTCTGTGAGTTGAATGCACATATCACAAAGTAGTTCCTGAGAATGATTCTGTCTAGTTTTTATACGAAGATATTTCCTTTTCCACCAATGGCCTCAAAGTGCTTGAAATCTCCCCTTGCAAATTCCACAGACAAGTGTTTCAAATCTGCACTGTCTAAAGGAAGGTTCAACCCTGTGAGTTGAATACACACACACAGAAAAAAATTCACTGAGAATTCTATTGTCTATCATTACACGAAGAAATCCCGTTTACTACGAAGGCCTCAAAGAGGTCCAAATATCCAGCTGCAGACATTACAAACTGAGTGTTTCCAAAGTGCTCTATGAAAAGAAGTGTTAAACACTGTGAGTTCAATGCACACATCCCAAAGCAGTTTCTGAGAATGATTCCGTCTATTTTTTCTACGAAGATATTTCCTTTTCTACCGTTGGCCTCAAAGCGCCTGAAATCTCCACTTGCAAATTCCACGAAAAGAGAGTTTCAAATCTGCTCTGTCTAAAGGAAGGTTCCACTCTGTGAGTTGAATACACACCACAAAAAGAAGTTACTGAGAATTCTTCTGTCTAGCATTATATGAAAAATCCCGTTTCCAACGAAGGCCACAAAGAGGTCCAAATATCCACTTGCAGATTCTGCAAAAAGAGTGTTTCCAAACTGCTCTATGAAAAGAAACGTTAAACTCTGTGAGTTGAACGCAAACATCACAAAGTAGTTTCTGAGAATGACTCCGTCTAGTTTTTATACGAAGATATTTCCTTTTCTACCGTTGGCCTCAAAGCGCTTGAAGTCTCCCCCTGAAAATTCCACAAAAAGTGTTTCCAATCTGCTCCGTCTAAAGGAAGCTTCAACTCTGTGAGTTGAATACCCACAACACAAAGAAGTTACTGAGAATTCTTCTGTCTCGCATTATATGAAGAAATCCCGTTTCCAACGAAGGCCTCAAATACATCCACATATCCAGTTGCTGACTTTACAAACTGAGTGTTTCCAAACTGCTCTATGAAAAGAAAGGTTAAACACTGTGAGTTGAACACACACGTACCAAAGTAGTTTCTGAGAATGATTCTGTCTAGTTTGCATACAAAGATATTTCCTTTTCTACCACTGGCCTCAAAGCTTTGAAATCTCCACTTGCAAATTCCACAAAAAGAGAGTTTCAAATCTGCTGTTTCTAAAGGAAAGTTCAACTCTGAGAGTTGAATACACACCAGAAAAAGCAGTTACTGAGAAGTCTTCTGTCTAGCATTATATGAAGAAATCCCATTTCCAAAGAAGACTTCAAACAGGTCCAAATATCCACTTGCAGATTCCGCAAAAAGAGTGTTTCGAAACAACTGTATGAAAAGAAAGGTTAAACACTGTGAGTTGAACGCACCCATTGCAAAGCATTTTCTGAGAATGATTCCGTCTAATTATTATACGAAGGTATTTCCTTTTCTATCATGGGCCTCAAAGCGCTTGATACCTCCACCTGAAAATTCCACAAAAAGAGTGTTTCCAATCTACTCTGTCTAAAGGAACGTTCAACTCTGTGAGTTGAATACACACACACAGAAAGAATTCACTGAGAATTCTTCTGTCTGGCATTACCTGAAGAAATCCCGTTTCCAACGAAGGCCTCAAAGAGGTCCAAATATCCACTTGCAGATTCTGCAAAAAGAGTGTTTCAAAACCGCTCCATGAAAAGGAATGTTGAACTCTGTGAGTTGAATGCAAACGTCACAACTCAGTTTCTGAGAATGCTTCTGACTAGATTTTATGGTAAGATATTTCCTTTTCTACCGTAGGCTTCAATGCCCTCTAAATACACCCTTGCAAATTCTACAAAGAGACTGTTTAATAACTGCTCTATAGGAAGAAAGGTTGAACTCTGTGAGTTGAATGCAGAGATCACAACGTGGTTTCTGCGAATGATTCTTTGTAGTTTTTACATGAAGATATTTCGTTGTCTACCGTAGGCTTCAAAGCACTCAAAGTATTCACTTGGAACTTTTACAAAAAGAGTGTTAGAAAACTGCTCTTTCCAAAGTAAGGTTCAACTCTGTGAGTTGAATGCACACATAACAAACAAGAAGTTTCTGAGAATCCTTCTGTCCTGGTTTATATGAAAAAATCCCGTTTCCAACGAAGGCCTCAAAGACGTTTAAATATCCACTTGCAGACTTCACAAACAGAGTGTTTCCAAACTGCTCTATGAAAAGAAAGGTTAAACTCTGTGAGTTGAACGCACACATCACAAAGTAGTTTCTGAGAATGATACTGTCTAGTTTTTATACGAAGATATTTCCTTTCTACCATTGGCGTCAAAGCGCTAGAATTCTCCACTTGCAAATTCCACAAAAAGAGTGTTTCCAATCTGCTCTGTCTAAAGGAAGGTTCAACTCTGTGAGTTGAATACACACACACAAAGAAGCTACTGAGAATTCCTTTTTCAAGAATTATAAGAAGAAATCCCGTTTCCAACGAAGGCCTCAAAGAGTTCCAAATATCCACTTGCACACTGCACAAACTAAGTCTTTCCAAACTGCTCTATGCAAAGAAATGTTCAACTCTGTGAGTTTAATACACACATCACAAAGCAGTTTCTGAGAATGATACTGTCTAGTTTTTATACGAAGATATTTCCTTTTGTACCATTGGCCTCATACTGCTAGAATTTTCCACTTGCAAATTCCACAAAAAGAGTGTTTCCAATCCGCTCTGTCTAAAGGAAGGTTCAACTCTGTGAGTTGAATACACACACACAAAGAAGCTACTGAGAATTCTTTTGTCAAGAATTATAAGAAGAAATCCCGTTTCCAACGAAGGCCTCAAAGAGTTCCAAATATCCACTTGCACACTGCACAAACTAAGTCTTTCCAAACTGCTCTATGCAAAGAAATGTTCAACTCTGTGAGTTTAATACACACATCACAAAGCAGTTTCTGAGAATGATACTGTCTAGTTTTTATACGAAGATATTTCCTTTTGTACCATTGGCCTCATACTGCTAGAATTTTCCACTTGCAAATTCCACAAAAAGAGTGTTTCCAATCCGCTCTGTCTAAAGGAAGGTTCAACTCTCTGATTTGAATACATACATCCCAAAAGAAGTTACTGAGAATTCTTCTGTCTAGCATTATGTGAAGAAATCCCGTTTCCAACGAAAGCCTCAAAGAGGTCCAAATATCCAGTTGCAGAATTTACAAACTGACTGTTTCCAAACTCATCTATGAAAAGAAAGGTTAAACTCTGGGAGTTGAATGCACATATCACAAAGTAGTTCCTGAGAATGATTCTGTCTAGTTTTTATACGAAGATATTTCCTTTTCCACCAATGGCCTCAAAGTGCTTGAAATCTCCCCTTGCAAATTCCACAGACAAGTGTTTCAAATCTGCACTGTCTAAAGGAAGGTTCAACCCTGTGAGTTGAATACACACACACAGAAAAAAATTCACTGAGAATTCTATTGTCTATCATTACACGAAGAAATCCCGTTTACTACGAAGGCCTCAAAGAGGTCCAAATATCCAGCTGCAGACATTACAAACTGAGTGTTTCCAAAGTGCTCTATGAAAAGAAGTGTTAAACACTGTGAGTTCAATGCACACATCCCAAAGCAGTTTCTGAGAATGATGCCGTCTATTTTTTCTACGAAGATATTTCCTTTTCTGCCGTTGGCCTCAAAGCGCTTGAAATCTCCACTTGCAAATTCCACAAAAAGAGAGTTTCAAATCTGCTCTGTCTAAAGGAAGGTTCAACTCTGTGAGTTGAATACACACCACAAAAAGAAGTTACTGAGAATTCTTCTGTCTAGCATTATATGAAAAATCCCGTTTCCAACGAAGGCCACAAAGAGGTCCAAATATCCACTTGCAGATTCTGCAAAAAGAGTGTTTCCAAACTGCTCTATGAAAAGAAACGTTAAACTCTGTGAGTTGAACGCAAACATCACAAAGTAGTTTCTGAGAATGACTCCGTCTAGTTTTTATACGAAGATATTTCCTTTCCTACCATTCACTTCAAAGCGCTTGAAGTCTCCCCCTGAAAATTCCACAAAAAGTGTTTCCAATCTGCTCCGCCTAAAGGAAGCTTCAACTCTGTGACTTGAATACCCACAACCCAAAGAAGTTACTGAGAATTCTTCTGTCTAGCATTATATGAAGAAATCCCGTTTCCAACGAAGGCCTCAAATACATCCAAATATCCAGTTGCTGACTTTACAAACTGAGTGTTTCCAAACTGCTCTATGAAAAGAAAGGTTAAACACTGTGAGTTGAACACACACGTACCAAAGTAGTTTCTGAGAATGATTCTGTCTAGTTTGCATACGAAGATATTTCCTTTTCTACCATTGGCCTCAAAGCTCTGAAATCTCCACTTGCAAATTCCACAAAAAGAGAGTTTCAAATCTGCTGTTTCTAAAGGAAAGTTCAACTCTGAGAGTTGAATACACACCAGAAAAAGCAGTTACTGAGAAGTCTTCTGTCTAGCATTATATGAAGAAATCCCATTTCCAACGAAGACTTCAAAGAGGTCCAAATATCCACTTGCAGATTCTGCAAAAAGAGTGTTTCGAAACAACTGTATGAAAAGAAAGGTTAAACACTGTGAGTTGAACGCACACATTGCAAAGCAGTTTCTGAGAATGATTCCGTCTAATTATTATACGAAGGTATTTCCTTTTCTATCATTGGCCTCAAAGCGCTTGATACCTCCACCTGAAAATTCCACAAAAAGAGTGTTTCCAATCTACTCTGTCTAAAGGAACGTTCAACTCTGTGAGTTGAATACACACACACAGAAAGAATTCACTGAGAATTCTTCTGTCTGGCATTACATGAAGAAATCCCGTTTCCAACGAAGGCCTCAAAGAGGTCCAAATATCCACTTGCAGATTCTGCAAAAAGAGTGTTTCAAAACCGCTCCATTAAAAGGAATGTTGAACTCTGTGAGTTGAATGCAAACATCACAACTCAGTTTCTGAGAATGCTTCTGACTAGATTTTATGGTCAGATATTTCCTTTTCTACCGTAGGCTTCTATGCCCTCTAAATACACCCTTGCAAATTCTACAAAGAGACTGTTTAATAACTGCTCTATAGGAAGAAAGGTTGAACTCTGTGAGTTGAATGCAGAGATCACAACGTGGTTTCGGCGAATGATTCTTCGGAGTTTTTACATGAAGATATTTCGTTGTCTACCGTAGGCTTCAAAGCACTCAAAGTATTCACTTGGAACTTTTACAAAAAGAGTGTTAGAAAACTGCTCTTTCCAAAGTAAGGTTCAACTCTGTGAGTTGAATGCACACATAACAAACAAGAAGTTTCTGAGAATTCTTCTGTCCTGGTTTATATGAAAAAATCCCGTTTCCAACGAAGGCCTCAAAGGCGTTTAAATATCCACTTGCAGACTTCACAAACAGAGTGTTTCCAAACTGCTCTATGAAAAGAAAGGTTAAACTCTGTGAGTTGAACGCACACATCACAAAGTAGTTTCTGAGAATGATACTGTCCAGTTTTTATACGAAGATATTTCCTTTCCTACCATTGGCGTCAAAGCGCTAGAATTCTCCACTTGCAAATTCCACAAAAAGAGGGTTTCCAATCTGCTCTGCCTAAAGGCAGGTTCAACTCTGTGAGTTGAATACACACACACAAAGAAGCTACTGAGAATTCTTTTGTCAAGAATTATAAGAAGAAATCCCGTTTCCAACGAAGGCCTCAAAGAGTTCCAAATATCCACTTGCACACTGTACAAACTAAGTCTTTCCAAACTGCTCTATACAAAGAAATGTTCAACCCTGTGAGTTTAATGCACACATCACAAAGCAGTTTCTGAGAATGATTCCCTCTAGTTTTTATACGAAGATAGCCTTTTCTACCATTGGTCTCAAGGCTCTTGGAATCTCCACCTGAAAATTCCGCAAAAAGCATGTTTCCAATGCGCTCTGTCTAAAGGAGGGTTCAACTCTCTGAGTTGAATACATACATCCCAAAGGAAGTTACTGCAAATTCTTCTGTCTAGCATTATGTGAAGAAATCCCGTTTCCAACGAACGCCTCAAAGAGGTCCTAATATCCAGTTGCAGAATTTACAAACTGACTGTTTCCAAACTCATCTATGAAAAGAAAGGTTAAACCCTGTGAGTTGAATGCACGTATCACAAAGTAGTTCCTGAGAATGATTCTGTCTAGTTTTTATACGAAGATATTTCCTTTTCCACCAATGGCCTCAAAGTGCTTGAAATCTCCCCTTGCAAATTCCACAGACAAGTGTTTCAAATCTGCACTGTCTAAAGGGAAGGTTCAACCCTGTGAGTTGAATACACACACACAGAAACAAATTCACTGAGAATTCTATTGTCTATCATTACACGAAGAAATCCCGTTTACTACGAAGGCCTCAAAGAGGTCCAAATATCCAGCTGCAGACATTACAAACTGAGTGTTTCCAAAGTGCTCTATGAAAAGAAGTGTTAAACACTGTGAGTTCAATGCACACATCCCAAAGCAGTTTCTGAGAATGATTCCGTCTATTTTTTCTACGAAGATATTTCCTTTTCTGCCGTTGGCCTCAAAGCGCTTGAAATCTCCACTTGCAAATTCCACAAAAAGAGAGTTTCAAATCTGCTCTGTCTAAAGGAAGGTTCAACTCTGTGAGTTGAATACACACCACAAAAAGAAGTTACTGAGAATTCTTCTGTCTAGCATTATATGAAAAATCCCGTTTCCAACGAAGGCCACAAAGAGGTCCAAATATCCACTTGCAGATTCTGCAAAAAGAGTGTTTCCAAACTGCTCTATGAAAAGAAACGTTAAACTCTGTGAGTTGAACGCAAACATCACAAAGTAGTTTCTGAGAATGACTCCGTCTAGTTTTTATACGAAGATATTTCCTTTCCTACCATTCACTTCAAAGCGCTTGAAGTCTCCCCCTGAAAATTCCACAAAAAGTGTTTCCAATCTGCTCCGCCTAAAGGAAGCTTCAACTCTGTGACTTGAATACCCACAACCCAAAGAAGTTACTGAGAATTCTTCTGTCTAGCATTATATGAAGAAATCCCGTTTCCAACGAAGGCCTCAAATACATCCAAATATCCAGTTGCTGACTTTACAAACTGAGTGTTTCCAAACTGCTCTATGAAAAGAAAGGTTAAACACTGTGAGTTGAACACACACGTACCAAAGTAGTTTCTGAGAATGATTCTGTCTCGTTTGCATACGAAGATATTTCCTTTTCTACCATTGGCCTCAAAGCTCTGAAATCTCCACTTGCAAATTCCACAAAAAGAGAGTTTCAACTCTGCTGTTTCTAAAGGAAAGTTCAACTCTGAGAGTTGAATACACACCAGAAAAAGCAGTTACTGAGAAGTCTTCTGTCTAGCATTATATGAAGAAATCCCATTTCCAACGAAGACTTCAAAGAGGTCCAAATATCCACTTGCAGATTCTGCAAAAAGAGTGTTTCGAAACAACTGTATGAAAAGAAAGGTTAAACACTGTGAGTTGAACGCACACATTGCAAAGCAGTTTCTGAGAATGATTCCGTCTACTTATTATACGAAGGTATTTCCTTTTCTATCATTGGCCTCAAAGCGCTTGATACCTCCACCTGAAAATTCCACAAAAAGAGTGTTTCCAATCTACTCTGTCTAAAGGAACGTTCAACTCTGTGAGTTGAATACACACACACAGAAAGAATTCACTGAGAATTCTTCTGTCTGGCATTACATGAAGAAATCCCGTTTCCAACGAAGGCCTCAAAGAGGTCCAAATATCCACTTGCAGATTCTGCAAAAAGAGTGTTTCAAAACCGCTCCATTAAAAGGAATGTTGAACTCTGTGAGTTGAATGCAAACATCACAACTCAGTTGCTGAGAATGCTTCTGACTAGATTTTATGGTAAGATATTTCCTTTTCTACCGTAGGCTTCAATGCCCTCTAAATACACCCTTGCAAATTCTACAAAGAGACTGTTTCATAACTGCTCTATAGGAAGAAAGGTTCAACTCTGTGAGTTGAATGCAGAGATCACAACGTGGTTTCTGCGAATGATTCTTTGTAGTTTTTACATGAAGATATTTCGTTGTCAACCGTAGGCTTCAAAGCACTCAAAGTATTCACTTGGAACTTTTACAAAAAGAGTGTTAGAAAACTGCTCTTTCCAAAGTAAGGTTCAACTCTGTGAGTTGAATGCACACATAACAATCAAGAAGTTTCTGAGAATTCTTCTGTCCTGGTTTATATGAAAAAATCCCGTTTCCAACGAAGGCCTCAAAGACGTTTAAATATCCACTTGCAGACTTCACAAACAGAGTGTTTCCAAACTGCTCTATGAAAAGAAAGGTTAAACTCTGTGAGTTGAACGCACACATCACAAAGTAGCTTCTGAGAATGATACTGTCTAGTTTTTATACGAAGATATTTCCTTTCTACCATTGGTGTCAAAGCGCTAGAATTCTCCACTTGCAAATTCCACAAAAAGAGTGTTTCCAATCTGCTCTGTCTAAAGGAAGGTTCAACTCTGTGAGTTGAATACACACACACAAAGAAGCTACTGAGAATTCTTTTGTCAAGAATTATAAGAAGAAATCCCGTTTCCAACGAAGGCCTCAAAGAGTTCCAAATATCCACTTGCACACTGCACAAACTAAGTCTTTCCAAACTGCTCTATGCAAAGAAATGTTCAACTCTGTGAGTTTAATACACACATCACAAAGCAGTTTCTGAGAATGATACTGTCTAGTTTTTGTACGAAGATATTTCCTTTTGTACCATTGGCCTCATACTGCTAGAATTTTCCACTTGCAAATTCCACAAAAAGAGTGTTTCCAATCCGCTCTGTCTAAAGGAAGGTTCAACTCTCTGATTTGAATACATACATCCCAAAAGAATTTACTGAGAATTCTTCTGTCTAGCATTATGTGAAGAAATCCCGTTTCCAACGAAAGCCTCAAAGAGGTCCAAATATCCAGTTGCAGAATTTACAAACTGACTGTTTCCAAACTCATCTATGAAAAGAAAGGTTAAACTCTGTGAGTTGAATGCACATATCACAAAGTAGTTCCTGAGAATGATTCTGTCTAGTTTTTATACGAAGATATTTCCTTTTCCACCAATGGCCTCAAAGTGCTTGAAATCTCCCCTTGCAAATTCCACAGACAAGTGTTTCAAATCTGCACTGTCTAAAGGAAGGTTCAACACTGTGAGTTGAATACACACACACAGAAAAAAATTCACTGAGAATTCTATTGTCTATCATTACACGAAGAAATCCCGTTTACTACGAAGGCCTCAAAGAGGTCCAAATATCCAGCTGCAGACATTACAAACTGAGTGTTTCCAAAGTGCTCTATGAAAAGAAGTGTTAAACACTGTGAGTTCAATGCACACATCCCAAAGCAGTTTCTGAGAATGATTCCGTCTATTTTTTCTACGAAGATATTTCCTTTTCTACCGTTGGCCTCAAAGCGCTTGAAATCTCCACTTGCAAATTCCACAAAAAGAGAGTTTCAAATCTGCTCTGTCTAAAGGAAGGTTCAACTCTGTGAGTTGAATACACACCACAAAAAGAAGTTACTGAGAATTCTTCTGTCTAGCATTATATGAAAAATCCCGTTTCCAACGAAGGCCACAAAGAGGTCCAAATATCCACTTGCAGATTCTGCAAAAAGAGTGTTTCCAAACTGCTCTATGAAAAGAAACGTTAAACTCTGTGAGTTGAACGCAAACATCACAAAGTAGTTTCTGAGAATGACTCCGTCTAGTTTTTATACGAAGATATTTCCTTTTCTACCATTCACTTCAAAGCGCTTGAAGTCTCCCCCTGAAAATTCCACAAAAAGTGTTTCCAATCTGCTCCGCCTAAAGGAAGCTTCAACTCTGTGAGTTGAATACCCACAACCCAAAGAAGTTACTGAGAATTCTTCTGTCTAGCACTATATGAAGAAATCCCGTTTCCAACGAAGGCCTCAAATACATCCAAATATCCAGTTGCTGACTTTACAAACTGAGTGTTTCCAAACTGCTCTATGAAAAGAAAGGTTAAACACTGTGAGTTGAACACACACGTACCAAAGTAGTTTCTGAGAATGATTCTGTCTAGTTTGCATACGAAGATATTTCCTTTTCTACCATTGGCCTCAAAGCTTTGAAATCTCCACTTGCAAATTCCACAAAAAGAGAGTTTCAACTCTGCTGTTTCTAAAGGAAAGTTCAACTCTGAGAGTTGAATACACACCAGAAAAAGCAGTTACTGAGAAGTCTTCTGTCTAGCATTATATGAAGAAATCCCATTTCCAACGAAGACTTCAAAGAGGTCCAAATATCCACTTGCAGATTCTGCAAAAAGAGTGTTTCGAAACAACTGTATGAAAAGAAAGGTTAAACACTGTGAGTTGAACGCACACATTGCAAAGCAGTTTCTGAGAATGATTCCGTCTAATTATTATACGAAGGTATTTCCTTTTCTATCATTGGCCTCAAAGCGCTTGATACCTCCACCTGAAAATTCCACAAAAAGAGTGTTTCCAATCTACTCTGTCTAAAGGAACGTTCAACTCCGTGAGTTGAATACACACACACAGAAAGAATTCACTGAGAATTCTTCTGTCTGGCATTACATGAAGAAATCCCGTTTCCAACGAAGGCCTCAAAGAGGTCCAAATATCCACTTGCAGATTCTGCAAAAAGAGTGTTTCAAAACCGCTCCATTAAAAGGAATGTTGAACTCTGTGAGTTGAATGCAAACATCACAACTCAGTTGCTGAGAATGCTTCTGACTAGATTTTATGGTAAGATATTTCCTTTTCTACCGTAGGCTTCAATGCCCTCTAAATACACCCTTGCAAATTCTACAAAGAGACTGTTTCATAACTGCTCTACAGGAAGAAAGGTTCAACTCTGTGAGTTGAATGCAGAGATCACAACGTGGTTTCTGCGAATGATCTTTGTAGTTTTTACATGAAGATATTTCGTTGTCAACCGTAGGCTTCAAAGCACTCAAAGTATTCACTTGGAACTTTTACAAAAAGAGTGTTAGAAAACTGCTCTTTCCAAAGTAAGGTTCAACTCTGTGAGTTGAATGCACACATAACAATCAAGAAGTTTCTGAGAATTCTTTCTGTCCTGGTTTATATGAAAAAATCCCGTTTCCAACGAAGGCCTCAAAGACGTTTAAATATCCACTTGCAGACTTCACAAACAGAGTGTTTCCAAACTGCTCTATGAAAAGAAAGGTTAAACTCTGTGAGTTGAACGCACACATCACAAAGTAGTTTCTGAGAATGATACTGTCTAGTTTTTATACGAAGATATTTCCTTTCTACCATTGGCGTCAAAGCGCTAGAATTCTCCACTTGCAAATTCCACAAAAAGAGTGTTTCCAATCTGCTCTGTCTAAAGGAAGGTTCAACTCTGTGAGTTGAATACACACACACAAAGAAGCTACTGAGAATTCTTTTGTCAAGAATTATAAGAAGAAATCCCGTTTCCAACGAAGGCCTCAAAGAGTTCCAAATATCCACTTGCACACTGCACAAACTAAGTCTTTTCAAACTGCTCTATGCAAAGAAATGTTCAACTCTGTGAGTTTAATACACACATCACAAAGCAGTTTCTGAGAATGATACTGTCTAGTTTTTATACGAAGATATTTCCTTTTGTACCATTGGCCTCATACTGCTAGAATTTTCCACTTGCAAATTCCACAAAAAGAGTGTTTCCAATCCGCTCTGTCTAAAGGAAGGTTCAACCCTCTGATTTGAATACATACATCCCAAAAGAAGTTACTGAGAATTCTTCTGTCTAGCATTATGTGAAGAAATCCCGTTTCCAACGAAAGCCTCAAAGAGGTCCAAATATCCAGTTGCAGAATTTACAAACTGACTGTTTCCAAACTCATCTATGAAAAGAAAGGTTAAACTCTGGGAGTTGAATGCACATATCACAAAGTAGTTCCTGAGAATGATTCTGTCTAGTTTTTATTCGAAGATATTTCCTTTTCCACCAATGGCCTCAAAGTGCTTGAAATCTCCCCTTGCAAATTCCACAGAAAAGTGTTTCAAATCTCCACTGTCTAAAGGAAGGTTCAACCCTGTGAGTTGAATACACACACACAGAAAAAAATTCACTGAGAATTCTATTGTCTATCATTACACGAAGAAATCCCGTTTACTACGAAGGCCTCAAGGAGGTCTAAATATCCAGCTGCAGACATTACAAACTGAGTGTTTCCAAAGTGCTCTATGAAAAGAAGTGTTAAACACTGTGAGTTCAATGCACACATCCCAAAGCAGTTTCTGGGAATGATTCCGTCTATTTTTTCGACGAAGATATTTCCTTTTCTACCGTTGGCCTCAAAGCGCTTGAAATCTCCACTTGCAAATTCCACAAAAAGAGAGTTTCAAATCTGCTCTGTCTAAAGGAAGGTTCAACTCTGTGAGTTGAATACACACCACAAAAAGAAGTTACTGAGAATTCTTCTGACTAGCATTATATGAAAAATCCCGTTTCCAACGAAGGCCACAAAGAGGTCCAAATATCCACTTGCAGATTCTGCAAAAAGAGTGTTTCCAAACTGCTCTATGAAAAGAAACGTTAAACTCTGTGAGTTGAACGCAAACATCACAAAGTAGTTTCTGAGAATGACTCCGTTTAGTTTTTATACGAAGATATTTCCTTTTCTACCGTTGGCCTCAAAGCGCTTGAAGTCTCCCCCTGAAAATTCCACAAAAAGTGTTTCCAATCTGCTCCGCCTAAAGGAAGTTTCAACTCTGTGAGTTGAATACCCACAACTCAAAGAAGTTACTGAGAATTCTTCTGTCTAGCATTATATGTAGAAATCCCGTTTCCAACGAAGGCCTCAAATACATCCAAATATCCAGTTGCTGACTTTACAAACTGAGTGTTTCCAAACTGCTCTATGAAAAGAAAGGTTAAACACTTTGAGTTGAACACACACGTACCAAAGTAGTTTCTGAGAATGATTCTGTCTAGTTTGCATACGAAGATATTTCCTTTTCTACCATTGGCCTCAAAGCTCTGAAATCTCCACTTGCAAATTCCACAAAAAGAGAGTTTCAAATCTGCTGTTTCTAAAGGAAAGTTCAACTCTGAGAGTTGAATACACACCAGAAAAAGCAGTTACTGAGAAGTCTTCTGTCTAGCATTATATGAAGAAATCCCATTTCCAACGAAGACTTCAAAGAGGTCCAAATATCCACTTGCAGATTCTGCAAAAAGAGTGTTTCGAAACAACTGTATGAAAAGAAAGGTTAAACACTGTGAGTTGAACGCACACATTGCAAAGCAGTTTCTGAGAATGATTCCGTCTAATTATTATACGAAGGTATTTCCTTTTCTATCATTGGCCTCAAAGCGCTTGATACCTCCACCTGAAAATTCCACAAAAAGAGTGTTTCCAATCTACTCTGTCTAAAGGAACGTTCAACTCTGTGAGTTGAATACACACACACAGAAAGAATTCACTGAGAATTCTTCTGTCTGGCATTACATGAAGAAATCCCGTTTCCAACGAAGGCCTCAAAGAGGTCCAAATATCCACTTGCAGATTCTGCAAAAAGAGTGTTTCAAAACCGCTCCATTAAAAGGAATGTTGAACTCTGTGAGTTGAATGCAAACATCACAACTCAGTTTCTGAGAATGCTTCTGACTAGATTTTATGGTAAGATATTTCCTTTTCTACCGTAGGCTTCAATGCCCTCTAAATACACCCTTGCAAATTCTACAAAGAGACTGTTTCATAACTGCTCTATAGGAAGAAAGGTTCAACTCTGTGAGTTGAATGCAGAGATCACAACGTGGTTTCTGCGAATGATTCTTTGTAGTTTTTACATGAAGATATTTCGTTGTCAACCGTAGGCTTCAAAGCACTCAAAGTATTCACTTGGAACTTTTACAAAAAGAGTGTTAGAAAACTGCTCTTTCCAAAGTAAGGTTCAACTCTGTGAGTTGAATGCACACATAACAATCAAGAAGTTTCTGAGAATTCTTCTGTCCTGGTTTATATGAAGAAATCCCGTTTCCAACGAAGGCCTCAAAGACGTTTAAATATCCACTTGCAGACTTCACAAACAGAGTGTTTCCAAACTGCTCTATGAAAAGAAAGGTTAAACTACTGTGAGTTGAACGCACACATCACAAAGTAGTTTACTGAGAATGATAACTGTCTAGTTTTTATACGAAGATATTTCCTTTTGTACCATTGGCGTCAAAGCGCTAGAATTCTCCACTTGCAAATTCCACAAAAAGAGTGTTTCCAATCTGCTCTGTCTAAAGGAAGGTTCAACTCTGTGAGTTGAATACACACACACAAAGAAGCTACTGAGAATTCTTTTGTCAAGAATTATAAGAAGAAATCCCGTTTCCAACGAAGGCCTCAAAGAGTTCCAAATATCCACTTGCACACTGCACAAACTAAGTCTTTCCAAACTGCTCTATGCAAAGAAATGTTCAACTCTGTGAGTTTAATACACACATCACAAAGCAGTTTCTGAGAATGATACTGTCTAGTTTTTATACGAAGATATTTCCTTTTGTACCATTGGCCTCATACTGCTAGAATTTTCCACTTGCAAATTCCACAAAAAGAGTGTTTCCAATCCGCTCTGTCTAAAGGAAGGTTCAACTCTCTGATTTGAATACATACATCCCAAAAGAAGTTACTGAGAATTCTTCTGTCTAGCATTATGTGAAGAAATCCCGTTTCCAACGAAAGCCTCAAAGAGGTCCAAATATCCAGTTGCAGAATTTACAAACTGACTGTTTCCAAACTCATCTATGAAAAGAAAGGTTAAACTCTGTGAGTTGAATGCACATATCACAAAGTAGTTCCTGAGAATGATTCTGTCTAGTTTTCATACGAAGATATTTCCTTTTCCACCAATGGCCTCAAAGTGCTTGAAATCTCCCCTTGCAAATTCCACAGACAAGTGTTTCAAATCTGCACTGTCTAAAGGAAGGTTCAACCCTGTGAGTTGAATACACACACACAGAAACAAATTCACTGAGAATTCTATTGTCTATCATTACACGAAGAAATCCCGTTTACTACGAAGGCCTCAAAGAGGTCCAAATATCCAGCTGCAGACATTACAAACTGAGTGTTTCCAAAGTGCTCTATGAAAAGAAGTGTTAAACACTGTGAGTTCAATGCACACATCCCAAAGCAGTTTCTGAGAATGATTCCGTCTATTTTTTCTACGAAGATATTTCCTTTTCTACCGTTGGCCTCAAAGCGCTTGAAATCTCCACTTGCAAATTCCACAAAAAGAGAGTTTCAAATCTGCTCTGTCTAAAGGAAGGTTCAACTCTGTGAGTTGAATACACACCACAAAAAGAAGTTACTGAGAATTCTTCTGTCTAGCATTATATGAAAAATCCCGTTTCCAACGAAGGCCACAAAGAGGTCCAAATATCCACTTGCAGATTCTGCAAAAAGAGTGTTTCCAAACTGCTCTATGAAAAGAAACGTTAAACTCTGTGAGTTGAACGCAAACATCACAAAGTAGTTTCTGGGAATGACTCCGTCTAGTTTTTATACGAAGATATTTCCTTTCCTACCATTCACTTCAAAGCGCTTGAAGTCTCCCCCTGAAAATTCCACAAAAAGTGTTTCCAATCTGCTCCGCCTAAAGGAAGCTTCAACTCTGTGACTTGAATACCCACAACCCAAAGAAGTTACTGAGAATTCTTCTGTCTAGCATTATATGAAGAAATCCCGTTTCCAACGAAGGCCTCAAATACATCCAAATATCCAGTTGCTGACTTTACAAACTGAGTGTTTCCAAACTGCTCTATGAAAAGAAAGGTTAAACACTGTGAGTTGAACACACACGTACCAAAGTAGTTTCTGAGAATGATTCTGTCTAGTTTGCATACGAAGATATTTCCTTTTCTACCATTGGCCTCAAAGCTCTGAAATCTCCACTTGCAAATTCCACAAAAAGAGAGTTTCAAATCTGCTGTTTCTAAAGGAAAGTTCAACTCTGAGAGTTGAATACACACCAGAAAAAGCAGTTACTGAGAAGTCTTCTGTCTAGCATTATATGAAGAAATCCCATTTCCAACGAAGACTTCAAAGAGGTCCAAATATCCACTTGCAGATTCTGCAAAAAGAGTGTTTCGAAACAACTGTATGAAAAGAAAGGTTAAACACTGTGAGTTGAACGCACACATTGCAAAGCAGTTTCTGAGAATGATTCCGTCTAATTATTATACGAAGGTATTTCCTTTTCTATCATTGGCCTCAAAGCGCTTGATACCTCCACCTGAAAATTCCACAAAAAGAGTGTTTCCAATCTACTCTGTCTAAAGGAACGTTCAACTCTGTGAGTTGAATACACACACACAGAAAGAATTCACTGAGAATCTTCTGTCTGGCATTACATGAAGAAATCCCGTTTCCAACGAAGGCCTCAAAGAGGTCCAAATATCCACTTGCAGATTCTGCAAAAAGAGTGTTTCAAAACCGCTCCATTAAAAGGAATGTTGAACTCTGTGAGTTGAATGCAAACATCACAACTCA
This sequence comes from Homo sapiens, assembly GCF_000001405.40. NCBI lineage: Eukaryota > Metazoa > Chordata > Mammalia > Primates > Hominidae > Homo > Homo sapiens. The sequence goes on along the minus strand of NC_000003.12, from coordinate 91,977,091 downwards.
GTTGCTGAGAATGCTTCTGACTAGATTTTATGGTAAGATATTTCCTTTTCTACCGTAGGCTTCAATGCCCTCTAAATACACCCTTGCAAATTCTACAAAGAGACTGTTTCATAACTGCTCTATAGGAAGAAAGGTTCAACTCTGTGAGTTGAATGCAGAGATCACAACGTGGTTTCTGCGAATGATTCTTTGTAGTTTTTACAGGAAGATATTTCGTTGTCAACCGTAGGCTTCAAAGCACTCAAAGTATTCACTTGGAACTTTTACAAAAAGAGTGTTAGAAAACTGCTCTTTCCAAAGTAAGGTTCAACTCTGTGAGTTGAATGCACACATAACAATCAAGAAGTTTCTGAGAATTCTTCTGTCCTGGTTTATATGAAAAAATCCCGTTTCCAACGAAGGCCTCAGAGACGTTTAAATATCCACTTGCAGACTTCACAAACAGAGTGTTTCCAAACTGCTCTATGAAAAGAAAGGTTAAACTCTGTGAGTTGAACGCACACATCACAAAGTTGTTTCTGAGAAAGATACTGTCTAGTTTTTATACGAAGATATTTCCTTTCTACCATTGGCGTCAAAGCGTTAGAATTCTCCACTTGCAAATTCCACAAAAAGAGTGTTTCCAATCTGCTCTGTCTAAAGGAAGGTTCAACTCTGTGAGTTGAATACACACACACAAAGAAGCTACTGAGAATTCTTTTGTCAAGAATTATAAGAAGAAATCCCGTTTCCAACGAAGGCCTCAAAGAGTTCCAAATATCCACTTGCACACTGCAAAAACTAAGTCTTTCCAAACTGCTCTATGCAAAGAAATGTTCAACTCTGTGAGTTTAATTCACACATCACAAAGCAGTTTCTGAGAATGATAACTGTCTAGTTTTTATACGAAGATATTTCCTTTTGTACCATTGGCCTCATACTGCTAGAATTTTCCACTTGCAAATTCCACAAAAAGAGTGTTTCCAATCCGCTCTGTCTAAAGGAAGGTTCGACTCTCTGATTTGAATACATACATCCCAAAAGAAGTTACTGAGAATTCTTCTGTCTAGCATTATGTGAAGAAATCCCGTTTCCAAAGAAAGCCTCAAAGAGGTCCAAACATCCAGTTGCAGAATTTACAAACTGACTGTTTCCAAACTCATCTATGAAAAGAAAGGTTAAACTCTGGGAGTTGAATGCACATATCACAAAGTAGTTCCTGAGAATGATTCTGTCTAGTTTTCATACGAAGATATTTCCTTTTCCACCAATGGCCTCAAAGTGCTTGAAATCTCCCCTTGCAAATTCCACAGACAAGTGTTTCAAATCTGCACTGTCTAAAGGAAGGTTCAACCCTGTGAGTTGAATACACACACACAGAAAAAAATTCACTGAGAATTCTATTGTCTATCATTACACCGAAGAAATCCCGTTTACTACGAAGGCCTCAAAGAGGTCCAAATATCCAGCTGCAGACATTACAAACTGAGTGTTTCCAAAGTGCTCTATGAAAAGAAGTGTTAAACACTGTGAGTTCAATGCACACATCCCAAAGCAGTTTCTGAGAATGATTCCGTCTATTTTTTCTACGAAGATATTTCCTTTTCTGCCGTTGGCCTCAAAGCGCTTGAAATCTCCACTTGCAAATTCCACAAAAAGAGAGTTTCAAATCTGCTCTGTCTAAAGGAAGGTTCAACTCTGTGAGTTGAATACACACCACAAAAAGAAGTTACTGAGAAGTCTTCTGTCTAGCATTATATGAAAAATCCCGTTTCCAACGAAGGCCACAAAGAGGTCCAAATATCCACTTGCAGATTCTGCAAAAAGAGTGTTTCCAAACTGCTCTATGAAAAGAAACGTTAAACTCTGTGAGTTGAACGCAAACATCACAAAGTAGTTTCTGAGAATGACTCCGTCTAGTTTTTATACGAAGATATTTCCTTTCCTACCATTCACTTCAAAGCGCTTGAAGTCTCCCCCTGAAAATTCCACAAAAAGTGTTTCCAATCTGCTCCGCCTAAAGGAAGCTTCAACTCTGTGACTTGAATACCCACAACCCAAAGAAGTTACTGAGAATTCTTCTGTCTAGCATTATATGAAGAAATCCCGTTTCCAACGAAGGCCTCAAATACATCCAAATATCCAGTTGCTGACTTTACAAACTGAGTGTTTCCAAACTGCTCTATGAAAAGAAAGGTTAAACACTGTGAGTTGAACACACACGTACCAAAGTAGTTTCTGAGAATGATTCTGTCTAGTTTGCATACGAAGATATTTCCTTTTCTACCATTGGCCTCAAAGCTCTGAAATCTCCACTTGCAAATTCCACAAAAAGAGAGTTTCAACTCTGCTGTTTCTAAAGGAAAGTTCAACTCTGAGAGTTGAATACACACCAGAAAAAGCAGTTACTGAGAAGTCTTCTGTCTAGCATTATATGAAGAAATCCCATTTCCAACGAAGACTTCAAAGAGGTCCAAATATCCACTTGCAGATTCTGCAAAAAGAGTGTTTCGAAACAACTGTATGAAAAGAAAGGTTAAACACTGTGAGTTGAACGCACACATTGCAAAGCAGTTTCTGAGAATGATTCCGTCTAATTATTATACGAAGGTATTTCCTTTTCTATCATTGGCCTCAAAGCGCTTGATACCTCCACCTGAAAATTCCACAAAAAGAGTGTTTCCAATCTACTCTGTCTAAAGGAACGTTCAACTCTGTGAGTTGAATACACACACACAGAAAGAATTCACTGAGAATTCTTCTGTCTGGCATTACATGAAGAAATCCCGTTTCCAACGAAGGCCTCAAAGAGGTCCAAATATCCACTTGCAGATTCTGCAAAAAGAGTGTTTCAAAACCGCTCCATTAAAAGGAATGTTGAACTCTGTGAGTTGAATGCAAACATCACAACTCAGTTTCTGAGAATGCTTCTGACTAGATTTTATGGTAAGATATTTCCTTTTCTACCGTAGGCTTCAATGCCCTCTAAATACACCCTTGCAAATTCTACAAAGAGACTGTTTCATAACTGCTCTATAGGAAGAAAGGTTGAACTCTGTGAGTTGAATGCAGAGATCACAACGTGGTTTCTGCGAATGATTCTTTGTAGTTTTTACATGAAGATATTTCGTTGTTAACCGTAGGCTTCAAAGCACTCAAAGTATTCACTTGGAACTTTTACAAAAAGAGTGTTAGAAAACTGCTCTTTCCAAAGTAAGGTTCAACTCTGTGAGTTGAATGCACACATAACAATCAAGAAGTTTCTGAGAATTCTTCTGTCCTGGTTTATAGGAACAAATCCCGTTTCCAACAAAGGCCTCAAAGACGTTTAAATATCCACTTGCAGACTTCACAAACAGAGGGTTTCCAAACTGCTCTATGAAAAGAAAGGTTAAACTCTGTGAGTTGAACGCACACATCACAAAGTAGCTTCTGAGAATGATACTGTCTAGTTTTTATACGAAGATATTTCCTTTCTACCATTGGCGTCAAAGCGCTAGAATTCTCCACTTGCAACTTCCACAAAAAGAGTGTTTCCAATCTGCTCTGTCTAAAGGAAGGTTCAACTCTGTGAGTTGAATACACACACACAAAGAAGCTACTGAGAATTCTTTTGTCAAGAATTATAAGAAGAAATCCCGTTTCCAACGAAGGCCTCAAAGAGTTCCAAATATCCACTTGCACACTGCACAAACTAAGTCTTTCCAAACTGCTCTATGCAAAGAAATGTTCAACTCTGTGAGTTTAATACACACATCACAAAGCAGTTTCTGAGAATGATACTGTCTAGTTTTTATACGAAGATATTTCCTTTTGTACCATTGGCCTCATACTGCTAGAATTTTCCACTTGCAAATTCCACAAAAAGAGTGTTTCCAATCCGCTCTGTCTAAAGGAAGGTTCAACCCTCTGATTTGAATACATACATCCCAAAAGAAGTTACTGAGAATTCTTCTGTCTAGCATTATGTGAAGAAATCCCGTTTCCAACGAAAGCCTCAAAGAGGTCCAAATATCCAGTTGCAGAATTTACAAACTGACTGTTTCCAAACTCATCTATGAAAAGAAAGGTTAAACTCTGTGAGTTGAATGCACATATCACAAAGTAGTTCCTGAGAATGATTCTGTCTAGTTTTCATACGAAGATATTTCCTTTTCCACCAATGGCCTCAAAGTGCTTGAAATCTCCCCTTGCAAATTCCACAGACAAGTGTTTCAAATCTGCACTGTCTAAAGGAAGGTTCAACCCTGTGAGTTGAATACACACACACAGAAAAAAATTCACTGAGAATTCTATTGTCTATCATTACACGAAGAAATCCCGTTTACTACGAAGGCCTCAAAGAGGTCCAAATATCCAGCTGCAGACATTACAAACTGAGTGTTTCCAAAGTGCTCTATGAAAAGAAGTGTTAAACACTGTGAGTTCAATGCACACATCCCAAAGCAGTTTCTGAGAATGATTCCGTCTATTTTCTCTACGAAGATATTTCCTTTTCTGCCGTTGGCCTCAAAGCGCTTGAAATCTCCACTTGCAAATTCCACAAAAAGAGAGTTTCAAATCTGCTCTGTCTAAAGGAAGGTTCAACTCTGTGAGTTGAATACACACCACAAAAAGAAGTTACTGAGAATTCTTCTGTCTAGCATTATATGAAAAATCCCGTTTCCAACGAAGGCCACAAAGAGGTCCAAATATCCACTTGCAGATTCTGCAAAAAGAGTGTTTCCAAACTGCTCTATGAAAACAAACGTTAAACTCTGTGAGTTGAACGCAAACATCACAAAGTAGTTTCTGAGAATGACTCCGTCTAGTTTTTATACGAAGATATTTCCTTTCCTACCATTCACTTCAAAGCGCTTGAAGTCTCCCCCTGAAAATTCCACAAAAAGTGTTTCCAATCTGCTCCGCCTAAAGGAAGCTTCAACTCTGTGACTTGAATACCCACAACCCAAAGAAGTTACTGAGAATTCTTCTGTCTAGCATTATATGAAGAAATCCCGTTTCCAACGAAGGCCTCAAATACATCCAAATATCCAGTTGCTGACTTTACAAACTGAGTGTTTCCAAACTGCTCTATGAAAAGAAAGGTTAAACACTGTGAGTTGAACACACACGTACCAAAGTAGTTTCTGAGAATGATTCTGTCTAGTTTGCATACGAAGATATTTCCTTTTCTACCATTGGCCTCAAAGCTCTGAAATCTCCACTTGCAAATTCCACAAAAAGAGAGTTTCAAATCTGCTGTTTCTAAAGGAAAGTTCAACTCTGAGAGTTGAATACACACCAGAAAAAGCAGTTACTGAGAAGTCTTCTGTCTAGCATTATATGAAGAAATCCCATTTCCAACGAAGACTTCAAAGAGGTCCAAATATCCACTTGCAGATTCTGCAAAAAGAGTGTTTCGAAACAACTGTATGAAAAGAAAGGTTAAACACTGTGAGTTGAACGCACACATTGCAAAGCGGTTTCTGAGAATGATTCCGTCTAATTATTATACGAAGGTATTTCCTTTTCTATCATTGGCCTCAAAGCGCTTGATACCTCCACCTGAAAATTCCACAAAAAGAGTGTTTCCAATCTACTCTGTCTAAAGGAACGTTCAACTCTGTGAGTTGAATACACACACACAGAAAGAATTCACTGAGAATTCTTCTGTCTGGCATTACATGAAGAAATCCCGTTTCCAACGAAGACCTCAAAGAGGTCCAAATATCCACTTGCAGATTCTGCAAAAAGAGTGTTTCAAAACCGCTCCATTAAAAGGAATGTTGAACTCTGTGAGTTGAATGCAAACATCACAACTCAGTTGCTGAGAATGCTTCTGACTAGATTTTATGGTAAGATATTTCCTTTTCTACCGTAGGCTTCAATGCCCTCTAAATACACCCTTGCAAATTCTACAAAGAGACTGTTTCATAACTGCTCTATAGGAAGAAAGGTTGAACTCTGTGAGTTGAATGCAGAGATCACAACGTGGTTTCTGCGAATGATTCTTTGTAGTTTTTACATGAAGATATTTCGTTGTCAACCGTAGGCTTCAAAGCACTCAAAGTATTCACTTGGAACTTTTACAAAAAGAGTATTAGAAAACTGCTCTTTCCAAAGTAAGGTTCAACTCTGTGAGTTGAATGCACACATAACAATCAAGACGTTTCTGAGAATTCTTCTGTCCTGGTTTATATGAAAAAATCCCGTTTCCAACGAAGGCCTCAAAGACGTTTAAATATCCACTTGCAGACTTCACAAACAGAGGGTTTCCAAACTGCTCTATGAAAAGAAAGGTTAAACTCTGTGAGTTGAACGCACACATCACAAAGTAGCTTCTGAGAATGATACTGTCTAGTTTTTATACGAAGATATTTCCTTTCTACCATTGGCGTCAAAGCGCTAGAATTCTCCACTTGCAAATTCCACAAAAAGAGTGTTTCCAATCTGCTCTGTCTAAAGGAAGGTTCAACTCTGTGAGTTGAATACACACACACAAAGAAGCTACTGAGAATTCTTTTTTCAAGAAATTATAAGAAGAAATCCCGTTTCCAACGAAGGCCTCAAAGAGTTCCAAATATCCACTTGCACACTGCACAAACTAAGTCTTTCCAAACTGCTCTATGCAAAGAAATGTTCAACTCTGTGAGTTTAATACACACATCACAAAGCAGTTTCTGAGAATGATACTGTCTAGTTTTTATACGAAGATATTTCCTTTTGTACCATTGGCCTCATACTGCTAGAATTTTCCACTTGCAAATTCCACAAAAAGAGTGTTTCCAATCCGCTCTGTCTAAAGGAAGGTTCAACTCTCTGATTTGAATACATACATCCCAAAAGAAGTTACTGAGAATTCTTCTGTCTAGCATTATGTGAAGAAATCCCGTTTCCAACGAAAGCCTCAAAGAGGTCCAAATATCCAGTGGCAGAATTTACAAACTGACTGTTTCCAAACTCATCTATGAAAAGAAAGGTTAAACTCTGGGAGTTGAATGCACATATCACAAAGTAGTTCCTGAGAATGATTCTGTCTAGTTTTTATACGAAGATATTTCCTTTTCCACCAATGGCCTCAAAGTGCTTGAAATCTCCCCTTGCAAATTCCACAGACAAGTGTTTCAAATCTGCACTGTCTAAAGGAAGGTTCAACCCTGTGAGTTGAATACACACACACAGAAAAAAATTCACTGAGAATTCTATTGTCTATCATTACACGAAGAAATCCCGTTTACTACGAAGGCCTCAAAGAGGTCCAAATATCCAGCTGCAGACATTACAAACTGAGTGTTTCCAAAGTGCTCTATGAAAAGAAGTGTTAAACACTGTGAGTTCAATGCACACATCCCAAAGCAGTTTCTGAGAATGATTCCGTCTATTTTTTCTACGAAGATATTTCCTTTTCTGCCGTTGGCCTCAAAGCGCTTGAAATCTCCACTTGCAAATTCCACAAAAAGAGAGTTTCAAATCTGCTCTGTCTAAAGGAAGGTTCAACTCTGTGAGTTGAATACACACCACAAAAAGAAGTTACTGAGAATTCTTCTGTCTAGCATTATATGAAAAATCCCGTTTCCAACGAAGGCCACAAAGAGGTCCAAATATCCACTTGCAGATTCTGCAAAAAGAGTGTTTCCAAACTGCTCTATGAAAAGAAACGTTAAACTCTGTGAGTTGAACGCAAACATCACAAAGTAGTTTCTGAGAATGACTCCGTCTAGTTTTTATACGAAGATATTTCCTTTCCTACCATTCACTTCAAAGCGCTTGAAGTCTCCCCCTGAAAATTCCACAAAAAGTGTTTCCAATCTGCTCCGCCTAAAGGAAGCTTCAACTCTGTGAGTTGAATACCCACAACCCAAAGAAGTTACTGAGAATTCTTCTGTCTAGCATTATATGAAGAAATCCCGTTTCCAACGAAGGCCTCAAATACATCCAAATATCCAGTTGCTGACTTTACAAACAGTGTTTCCAAACTGCTCTATGAAAAGAAAGGTTAAACACTGTGAGTTGAACACACACGTACCAAAGTAGTTTCTGAGAATGATTCTGTCTAGTTTGCATACGAAGATATTTCCTTTTCTACCATTGGCCTCAAAGCTCTGAAATCTCCACTTGCAAATTCCACAAAAAGAGAGTTTCAAATCTGCTGTTTCTAAAGGAAAGTTCAACTCTGAGAGTTGAATACACACCAGAAAAAGCAGTTACTGAGAAGTCTTCTGTCTAGCATTATATGAAGAAATCCCATTTCCAACGAAGACTTCAAAGAGGTCCAAATATCCACTTGCAGATTCTGCAAAAAGAGTGTTTCGAAACAACTGTATGAAAAGAAAGGTTAAACACTGTGAGTTGAATGCACACATTGCAAAGCAGTTTCTGAGAATGATTCCGTCTAATTATTATACGAAGGTATTTCCTTTTCTATCATTGGCCTCAAAGCGCTTGATACCTCCACCTGAAAATTCCACAAAAAGAGTGTTTCCAATCTACTCTGTCTAAAGGAACGTTCAACTCTGTGAGTTGAATACACACACACAGAAAGAATTCACTGAGAATTCTTCTGTCTGGCATTACATGAAGAAATCCCGTTTCCAACGAAGGCCTCAAAGAGGTCCAAATATCCACTTGCAGATTCTGCAAAAAGAGTGTTTCAAAACCGCTCCATTAAAAGGAATGTTGAACTCTGTGAGTTGAATGCAAACATCACAACTCAGTTGCTGAGAATGCTTCTGACTAGATTTTATGGTAAGATATTTCCTTTTCTACCGTAGGCTTCAATGCCCTCTAAATACACCCTTGCAAATTCTACAAAGAGACTGTTTCATAACTGCTCTATAGGAAGAAAGGTTGAACTCTGTGAGTTGAATGCAGAGATCACAACGTGGTTTCTGCGAATGATTCTTTGTAGTTTTTACATGAAGATATTTCGTTGTCAACCGTAGGCTTCAAAGCACTCAAAGTATTCACTTGGAACTTTTACAAAAAGAGTGTTAGAAAACTGCTCTTTCCAAAGTAAGGTTCAACTCTGTGAGTTGAATGCACACATAACAATCAAGACGTTTCTGAGAATTCTTCTGTCCTGGTTTATATGAAAAAATCCCGTTTCCAACGAAGGCCTCAAAGACGTTTAAATATCCACTTGCAGACTTCACAAACAGAGTGTTTCCAAACTGCTCTATGAAAAGAAAGGTTAAACTCTGTGAGTTGAACGCACACATCACAAAGTAGCTTCTGAGAATGATACTGTCTAGTTTTTATACGAAGATATTTCCTTTCTACCATTGGCGTCAAAGCGCTAGAATTCTCCACTTGCAAATTCCACAAAAAGAGTGTTTCCAATCTGCTCTGTCTAAAGGAAGGTTCAACTCTGTGAGTTGAATACACACACACAAAGAAGCTACTGAGAATTCTTTTGTCAAGAATTATAAGAAGAAATCCCGTTTCCAACGAAGGCCTCAAAGAGTTCCAAATATCCACTTGCACACTGCACAAACTAAGTCTTTCCAAACTGCTCTATGCAAAGAAATGTTCAACTCTGTGAGTTTAATACACACATCACAAAGCAGTTTCTGAGAATGATACTGTCTAGTTTTTATACGAAGATATTTCCTTTTGTACCATTGGCCTCATACTGCTAGAATTTTCCACTTGCAAATTCCACAAAAAGAGTGTTTCCAATCCGCTCTGTCTAAAGGAAGGTTCAACTCTCTGATTTGAATACATACATCCCAAAAGAATTTACTGAGAATTCTTCTGTCTAGCATTATGTGAAGAAATCCCGTTTCCAACGAAAGCCTCAAAGAGGTCCAAATATCCAGTTGCAGAATTTACAAACTGACTGTTTCCAAACTCATCTATGAAAAGAAAGGTTAAACTCTGTGAGTTGAATGCACATATCACAAAGTAGTTCCTGAGAATGATTCTGTCTAGTTTTTATACGAAGATATTTCCTTTTCCACCAATGGCCTCAAAGTGCTTGAAATCTCCCCTTTCAAATTCCACAGACAAGTGTTTCAAATCTGCACTGTCTAAAGGAAGGTTCAACCCTGTGAGTTGAATACACACACACAGAAAAAAATTCACTGAGAATTCTATTGTCTATCATTACACGAAGAAATCCCGTTTACTACGAAGGCCTCAAAGAGGTCCAAATATCCAGCTGCAGACATTACAAACTGAGTGTTTCCAAAGTGCTCTATGAAAAGAAGTGTTAAACACTGTGAGTTCAATGCACACATCCCAAAGCAGTTTCTGAGAATGATTCCGTCTATTTTTTCTACGAAGATATTTCCTTTTCTACCGTTGGCCTCAAAGCGCTTGAAATCTCCACTTGCAAATTCCACAAAAAGAGAGTTTCAAATCTGCTCTGTCTAAAGGAAGGTTCAACTCTGTGAGTTGAATACACACCACAAAAAGAAGTTACTGAGAATTCTTCTGTCTAGCATTATATGAAAAATCCCGTTTCCAACGAAGGCCACAAAGAGGTCCAAATATCCACTTGCAGATTCTGCAAAAAGAGTGTTTCCAAACTGCTCTATGAAAAGAAACGTTAAACTCTGTGAGTTGAACGCAAACATCACAAAGTAGTTTCTGAGAATGACTCCGTCTAGTTTTTATACGAAGATATTTCCTTTTCTACCATTCACTTCAAAGCGCTTGAAGTCTCCCCCTGAAAATTCCACAAAAAGTGTTTCCAATCTGCTCCGCCTAAAGGAAGCTTCAACTCTGTGAGTTGAATACCCACAACCCAAAGAAGTTACTGAGAATTCTTCTGTCTAGCACTATATGAAGAAATCCCGTTTCCAACGAAGGCCTCAAATACATCCAAATATCCAGTTGCTGACTTTACAAACTGGGTGTTTCCAAACTGCTCTATGAAAAGAAAGGTTAAACACTGTGAGTTGAACACACACGTACCAAAGTAGTTTCTGAGAATGATTCTGTCTAGTTTGCATACGAAGATATTTCCTTTTCTACCATTGGCCTCAAAGCTTTGAAATCTCCACTTGCAAATTCCACAAAAAGAGAGTTTCAACTCTGCTGTTTCTAAAGGAAAGTTCAACTCTGAGAGTTGAATACACACCAGAAAAAGCAGTTACTGAGAAGTCTTCTGTCTAGCATTATATGAAGAAATCCCATTTCCAACGAAGACTTCAAAGAGGTCCAAATATCCACTTGCAGATTCTGCAAAAAGAGTGTTTCGAAACAAAACTGTATGAAAAGAAAGGTTAAACACTGTGAGTTGAACGCACACATTGCAAAGCAGTTTCTGAGAATGATTCCGTCTAATTATTATACGAAGGTACTTCCTTTTCTATCATTGGCCTCAAAGCGCTTGATACCTCCACCTGAAAATTCCACAAAAAGAGTGTTTCCAATCTACTCTGTCTAAAGGAACGTTCAACTCCGTGAGTTGAATACACACACACAGAAAGAATTCACTGAGAATTCTTCTGTCTGGCATTACATGAAGAAATCCCGTTTCCAACGAAGGCCTCAAAGAGGTCCAAATATCCACTTGCAGATTCTGCAAAAAGAGTGTTTCAAAACCGCTCCATTAAAAGGAATGTTGAACTCTGTGAGTTGAATGCAAACATCACAACTCAGTTTCTGAGAATGCTTCTGACTAGATTTTATGGTAAGATATTTCCTTTTCTACCGTAGGCTTCAATGCCCTGTAAATACACCCTTGCAAATTCTACAAAGAGACTGTTTCATAACTGCTCTATAGGAGGAAAGGTTCAACTCTGTGAGTTGAATGCAGAGATCACAACGTGGTTTCTGCGAATGATTCTTTGTAGTTTTTACATGAAGATATTTCGTTGTCTACCGTAGGCTTCAAAGCACTCAAAGTATTCACTTGGAACTTTTTCAAAAAGAGTGTTAGAAAACTGCTCTTTCCAAAGTAAGGTTCAACTCTGTGAGTTGAATGCACACATAACAAACAAGAAGTTTCTGAGAATTCTTCTGTCCTGGTTTATATGAAGAAATCCCGTTTCCAACGAAGGCCTCAAAGACGTTTAAATATCCACTTGCAGACTTCACAAACAGAGTGTTTCCAAACTGCTCTATGAAAAGAAAGGGTAAACACTGTGAGTTGAACGCACACCTCACAAAGTAGTTTCTGAGAATGATACTGTCTAGTTTTTATACGAAGATATTTCCTTTTGTACCATTGGCCTCATACTGCTAGAATTTTCCACTTGCAAATTCCACAAAAAGAGTGTTTCCAATCTGCTCTGTCTAAAGGAAGGTTCAACTCTGTGAGTTGAGTACACACACACAAAGAAGCTACTGAGAATTCTTTTGTCAAGAATTATAAGAAGAAATCCCGTTTCCAACCAAGGCCTCAAAGAGTTCCAAATATCCACTTGCACACTGCACAAACTAAGTCTTTCCATACTGCTCTATGCAAAGAAATGTTCAACTCTGTGAGTTTAATACACACATCACAAAGCAGTTTCTGAGAATGATACTGTCTAGTTTTTATACGAAGATATTTCCTTTTGTACCATTGGCCTCATACTGCTAGAATTTTCCACTTGCAAATTCCACAAAAAGAGTGTTTCCAATCCACTCTGTCTAAAGGAAGGTTCAACTCTCTGATTTGAATACATACATCCCAAAAGAAGTTACTGAGAATTCTTCTGTCTAGCATTATGTGAAGAAATCCCGTTTCCAACGAAAGCCTCAAAGAGGCCCAAATATCCAGTTGCAGCATTTACAAACTGACTGTTTCCAAACTCATCTATGAAAAGAAGGGTTAAACTCTGTGAGTTGAATGCACATATCACAAAGTAGTTCCTGAGAATGATTCTGTCTAGTTTTTATACGAAGATATTTCCTTTTCCACCAATGGCCTCAAAGTGCTTGAAATCTCCCCTTGCAAATTCCACAGACAAGTGTCTCAAATCTGCACTGTCTAAAGGAAGGTTCAACCCTGTGAGTTGAATACACACACACAGAAAAAAATTCACTGAGAATTCTATTGTCTATCATTACACGAAGAAATCCCGTTTACTACGAAGGCCTCAAAGAGGTCCAAATATCCAGCTGCAGACATTACAAACTGAGTGTTTCCAAAGTGCTCTATGAAAAGAAGTGTTAAACACTGTGAGTTCAATGCACACATCCCAAAGCAGTTTCTGAGAATGATTCCGTCTATTTTTTCTACGAAGATATTTCCTTTTCTGCCGTTGGCCTCAAAGCGCTTGAAATCTCCACTTGCAAATTCCACAAAAAGAGAGTTTCAAATCTGCTCTGTCTAAAGGAAGGTTCAACTCTGTGAGTTGAATACACACCACAAAAAGAAGTTACTGAGAATTCTTCTGTCTAGCATTATATGAAAAATCCCGTTTCCAACGAAGGCCACAAAGAGGTCCAAATATCCACTTGCAGATTCTGCAAAAAGAGTGTTTCCAAACTGCTCTATGAAAAGAAACGTTAAACTCTGTGAGTTGAACGCAAACATCACAAAGTAGTTTCTGAGAATGACTCCGTCTAGTTTTTATACGAAGATATTTCCTTTCCTACCATTCACTTCAAAGCGCTTGAAGTCTCCCCCTGAAAATTCCACAAAAAGTGTTTCCAATCTGCTCCGCCTAAAGGAAGCTTCAACTCTGTGACTTGAATACCCACAACCCAAAGAAGTTACTGAGAATTCTTCTGTCTAGCATTATATGAAGAAATCCCGTTTCCAACGAAGGCCTCAAATACATCCAAATATCCAGTTGCTGACTTTACAAACTGAGTGTTTCCAAACTGCTCTATGAAAAGAAAGGTTAAACACTGTGAGTTGAACACACACGTACCAAAGTAGTTTCTGAGAATGATTCTGTCTAGTTTGCATACGAAGATATTTCCTTTTCTACCATTGGCCTCAAAGCTCTGAAATCTCCACTTGCAAATTCCACAAAAAGAGAGTTTCAAATCTGCTGTTTCTAAAGGAAAGTTCAACTCTGAGAGTTGAATACACACCAGAAAAAGCAGTTACTGAGAAGTCTTCTGTCTAGCATTATATGAAGAAATCCCATTTCCAACGAAGACTTCAAAGAGGTCCAAATATCCACTTGCAGATTCTGCAAAAAGAGTGTTTCGAAACAACTGTATGAAAAGAAAGGTTAAACACTGTGAGTTGAACGCACACATTGCAAAGCAGTTTCTGAGAATGATTCCGTCTAATTATTATACGAAGGTATTTCCTTTTCTATCATTGGCCTCAAAGCGCTTGATACCTCCACCTGAAAATTCCACAAAAAGAGTGTTTCCAATCTACTCTGTCTAAAGGAACGTTCAACTCTGTGAGTTGAATACACACACACAGAAAGAATTCACTGAGAATTCTTCTGTCTGGCATTACATGAAGAAATCCCGTTTCCAACGAAGGCCTCAAAGAGGTCCAAATATCCACTTGCAGATTCTGCAAAAAGAGTGTTTCAAAACCGCTCCATTAAAAGGAATGTTGAACTCTGTGAGTTGAATGCAAACATCACAACTCAGTTTCTGAGAATGCTTCTGACTAGATTTTATGGTAAGATATTTCCTTTTCTACCGTAGGCTTCAATGCCCTCTAAATACACCCTTGCAAATTCTACAAAGAGACTGTTTCATAACTGCTCTATAGGAAGAAAGGTTGAACGCTGTGAGTTGAATGCAGAGATCACAACGTGGTTTCTGCGAATGATTCTTTGTAGTTTTTACATGAAGATATTTCGTTGTCAACCGTAGGCTTCAAAGCACTCAAAGTATTCACTTGGAACTTTTACAAAACGAGTGTTAGGAAACTGCTCTTTCCAAAGTAAGGTTCAACTCTGTGAGTTGAATGCACACATAACAATCAAGAAGTTTCTGAGAATTCCTCTGTCCTGGTTTATATGAAAAAATCCCGTTTCCAACGAAGGCCTCAAAGACGTTTAAATATCCACTTGCAGACTTCACAAACAGAGTGTTTCCAAACTGCTCTATGAAAAGAAAGGTTAAACTCTGTGAGTTGAACGCACACATCACAAAGTAGCTTCTGAGAATGATACTGTCTAGTTTTTATACGAAGATATTTCCTTTCTACCATTGGTGTCAAAGCGCTAGAATTCTCCACTTGCAAATTCCACAAAAAGAGTGTTTCCAATCTGCTCTGTCTAAAGGAAGGTTCAACTCTGTGAGTTGAATACACACACACAAAGAAGCTACTGAGAATTCCTTTTGTCAAGAATTATAAGAAGAAATCCCGTTTCCAACGAAGGCCTCAAAGAGTTCCAAATATCCACTTGCACACTGCACAAACTAAGTCTTTCCAAACTGCTCTATGCAAAGAAATGTTCAACTCTGTGAGTTTAATACACACATCACAAAGCAGTTTCTGAGAATGATACTGTCTAGTTTTTATACGAAGATATTTCCTTTTGTACCATTGGCCTCATACTGCTAGAATTTTCCACTTGCAAATTCCACAAAAAGAGTGTTTCCAATCCGCTCTGTCTAAAGGAAGGTTCAACTCTCTGATTTGAATACATACATCCCAAAAGAAGTTCCTGAGAATTCTTCTGTCTAGCATTATGTGAAGAAATCCCGTTTCCAACGAAAGCCTCAAAGAGGTCCAAATATCCAGTTGCAGAATTTACAAACTGACTGTTTCCAGACTCATCTATGAAAAGAAAGGTTAAACTCTGGGAGTTGAATGCACATATCACAAAGTAGTTCCTGAGAATGATTCTGTCTAGTTTTTATACGGAAGATATTTCCTTTTCCACCAATGGCCTCAAAGTGCTTGAAATCTCCCCTTGCAAATTCCACAGACAAGTGTTTCAAATCTGCACTGTCTAAAGGAAGGTTCAACCCTGTGAGTTGAATACACACACACAGAAAAAAATTCACTGAGAATTCTATTGTCTATCATTACACGAAGAAATCCCGTTTACTACGAAGGCCTCAAAGAGGTCCAAATATCCAGCTGCAGACATTACAAACTGAGTGTTTCCAAAGTGCTCTATGAAAAGAAGTGTTAAACACTGTGAGTTCAATGCACGCATCCCAAAGCAGTTTCTGAGAATGATTCCGTCTATTTTTTCTACGAAGATATTTCCTTTTCTACCGTTGGCCTCAAAGCGCTTGAAATCTCCACTTGCAAATTCCACAAAAAGAGAGTTTCAAATCTGCTCTGTCTAAAGGAAGGTTCAACTCTGTGAGTTGAATACACACCACAAAAAGAAGTTACTGAGAATTCTTCTGTCTAGCATTATATGAAAAATCCCGTTTCCAACGAAGGCCACAAAGAGGTCCAAATATCCACTTGCAGATTCTGCAAAAAGAGTGTCTCCAAACTGCTCTATGAAAAGAAACGTTAAACTCTGTGAGTTGAATGCAAACATCACAAAGTAGTTTCTGAGAATGACTCCGTCTAGTTTTTATACGAAGATATTTCCTTTTCTACCGTTGGCCTCAAAGCGCTTGAAGTCTCCCCCTGAAAATTCCACAAAAAGTGTTTCCAATCTGCTCCGCCTAAAGGAAGCTTCAACTCTGTGAGTTGAATACCCACAACACAAAGAAGTTACTGAGAATTCTTCTGTCTAGCATTATATGAAGAAATCCCGTTTCCAACGAAGGCCTCAAATACATCCAAATATCCAGTGGCTGACTTTACAAACTGAGTGTTTCCAAACTGCTCTATGAAAGGAAAGGTTAAACACTGTGAGTTGAACACACACGTACCAAAGTAGTTTCTGAGAATGATTCTGTCTAGTTGGCATACGAAGATATTTCCTTTTCTACCATTGGCCTCAATGCTTTGAAATCTCCACTTGCAAATTCCACAAAAAGAGAGTTTCATATCTGCTGTTTCTAAAGGAAAGTTCAACTCTGAGAGTTGAATACACACCAGAAAAACCAGTTACTGAGAAGTCTTCTGTCTAGCATTATATGAAGAAATCCCATTTCCAACGAAGACTTCAAAGAGGTCCAAATATCCACTTCCAGATTCCGCAAAAAGGGTGTTTCGAAACAACTGTATGAAAAGAAAGGTTAAACACTGTGAGTTGAAGGCACACATTGCAAAGCAGTTTCTGAGAATGATTCCATCTAATTATTATACGAAGGTATTTCCTTTTCTATCATGGGCCTCAAAGCGCTTGATACCTCCACGTGAACATTCCACAAAAAGAGTGTTTCCAATCTACTCTGTCTAAGGGAACGTTCAACTCTGTGAGTTGAGTACACACACACAGAAAGAATTCACTGAGAGTTCTTCTGTCTGGGATTACATGAAGAAATCCCGTTTCCAACGAAGGCCTCAAAGAGGTCCAAATATCCACTTGCAGATTCTGGAAAAAGAGTGTTTCAAAACCGCTCTATGAAAAGGAATGTTGAACTCTGTGAGTTGAATGCAAACATCACAACTCAGTTTCTGAGAATGCTTCTGACTAGATTTTATGGTCAGATATTTCCTTTTCTACCGTAGGCCTCAATGCCCTCTAAATACACCCTTGCAAATTCTACAAAGAGACTGTTTAATAACTGCTCTATAGGAAGAAAGGTTGAACTCTGTGAGTTGAATGCAGAGATCACAACGTGGTTTCGGCGAATGATTCTTTGCAGTTTTTGCATGAAGATATTTCGTTGTCTACCGTAGGCTTCAAAGCACTCAAAGTATTCACTTGGAACTTTTACAAAAAGAGTGTTAGAAAACTGCTCTTTCCGAAGTAAGGTTCAACTCTGTGAGTTGAATGCACACATAACAAACAAGAAGTTTCTGAGAATTCTTCTGTCCTGGTTTATATGAAAAAATCCCGTTTCCAACGAAGGCCTCAAAGACGTTTAAATATCCTCTTGCAGACTTCACAAACAGAGTGTTTCCAAACTGCTCTATGAAAAGAAAGGTTAAACTCTGTGAGTTGAACGCACACATCACAAAGTAGTTTCTGAGAATGATACTGTCTAGTTTTTATACGGAGATATTTCCTTTCCTACCATTGGCGTCAAAGCGCTAGAATTCTCCACTTGCAAATTCCACAAAAAGTGGGTTTCCAATCTGCTCTGCCTAAAGGAAGGTTCAACTCTGTGAGTTGAATACACACACACAAAGAAGCTACTGAGAATTCTTTTGTCAAGAATTATAAGAAGAAATCCCGTTTCCAACGAAGGCCTCAAAGAGTTCCAAATATCCACTTGCACACTGTACAAACTAAGTCTTTCCAAACTGCTCTATGCAAAGAAATGTTCAACTCTGTGAGTTTAATGCACACATCACAAAGCAGTTTCTGAGAATGATTCCCTCTAGTTTTTATACGAAGATAGCCTTTTCTACCATTGGCCTCAAGGCTCTTGGAATCTCCACCTGAAAATTCCGCAAAAAGCGTGTTTCCAATCCGCTCTGTCTAAAGGAAGGTTCAACTCTCTGAGTTGAATACATACATCCCAAAAGAAGTTACTGAGAATTCTTCTGTCTAGCATTATGTGAAGAAATCCCGTTTCCAACGAAAGCCTCAAAGAGGTCCAAATATCCAGTTGCAGAATTTACAAACTGACTGTTTCCAAACTCATCTATGAAAAGAAAGGTTAAACTCTGTGAGTTGAATGCACATATCACAAAGTAGTTCCTGACAATGACTCTGTCTAGTTTTTATACGAAGATATTCCCTTTTCCACCAATGGCCACAAAGTGCTTGAAATCTCCCCTTGCAAATTCCACAGAAAAGTGTTTCAAATCTGTACTGTCTGAAGGAAGGTTCAACCCTGTGAGTTGAATACACACACACAGAAAAAAATTCACTGAGAATTCTATTGTCTATCATTACCCGAAGAAATCCCGTTTACTACGAAGGCCTCAAAGAGGTCCAAATATCCAGCTGCAGACATTCCAAACTGACTGTTTCCAAAGTGCTCTATGAAAAGAAGTGTTAAACACTGTGAGTTCAATGCACACATCCCAAAGCAGTTTCTGAGAATGATGCCGTCTATTTTTTCTACGAAGATATTTCCTTTTCTACCGTTGGCCTCAAAGCGCTTGAAATCTCCACTTGCAAATTCCACAAAAAGAGAGTTTCAAATCTGCTCTGTCTAAAGGAAGGTTCAACTCTGTGAGTTGAATACACACCACAAAAAGAAGTTACTGAGAATTCTTCTGTCTAGCATTATATGAAAAATCCCGTTTCCAACGAAGGCCACAAAAGGTCCAAATATCCACTTGCAGATTCTGCAAAAAGAGTGTTTCCAAACTGCTCTATGAAAAGAAACGTTAAACTCTGTGAGTTGAACGCAAACATCACAAAGTAGTTTCTGAGAATGACTCCGTCTAGTTTTTATACGAAGATATTTCCTTTCCTACCATTCACTTCAAAGCGCTTGAAGTCTCCCCCTGAAAATTCCACAAAAAGTGTTTCCAATCTGCTCCGCCTAAAGGAAGCTTCAACTCTGTGACTTGAATACCCACAACCCAAAGAAGTTACTGAGAATTCTTCTGTCTAGCATTATATGAAGAAATCCCGTTTCCAACGAAGGCCTCAAATACATCCAAATATCCAGTTGCTGACTTTACAAACTGAGTGTTTCCAAACTGCTCTATGAAAAGAAAGGTTAAACACTGTGAGTTGAACACACACGTACCAAAGTAGTTTCTGAGAATGATTCTGTCTAGTTTGCATACGAAGATATTTCCTTTTCTACCATTGGCCTCAAAGCTCTGAAATCTCCACTTGCAAATTCCACAAAAAGAGAGTTTCAAATCTGCTGTTTCTAAAGGAAAGTTCAACTCTGAGAGTTGAATACACACCAGAAAAAGCAGTTACTGAGAAGTCTTCTGTCTAGCATTATATGAAGAAATCCCATTTCCAACGAAGACTTCAAAGAGGTCCAAATATCCACTTGCAGATTCTGCAAAAAGAGTGTTTCGAAACAACTGTATGAAAAGAAAGGTTAAACACTGTGAGTTGAACGCACACATTGCAAAGCGGTTTCTGAGAATGATTCCGTCTAATTATTATACGAAGGTATTTCCTTTTCTATCATTGGCCTCAAAGCGCTTGATACCTCCACCTGAAAATTCCACAAAAAGAGTGTTTCCAATCTACTCTGTCTAAAGGAACGTTCAACTCTGTGAGTTGAATACACACACACAGAAAGAATTCACTGAGAATTCTTCTGTCTGGCATTACATGAAGAAATCCCGTTTCCAACGAAGGCCTCAAAGAGGTCCAAATATCCACTTGCAGATTCTGCAAAAAGAGTGTTTCAAAACCGCTCCATTAAAAGGAATGTTGAACTCTGTGAGTTGAATGCAAACATCACAACTCAGTTTCTGAGAATGCTTCTGACTAGATTTTATGGTAAGATATTTCCTTTTCTACCGTAGGCTTCAATGCCCTCTAAATACACCCTTGCAAATTCTACAAAGAGACTGTTTCATAACTGCTCTATAGGAAGAAAGGTTCAACTCTGTGAGTTGAATGCAGAGATCACAACGTGGTTTCTGCGAATGATTCTTTGTAGTTTTTACATGAAGATATTTCGTTGTCAACCGTAGGCTTCAAAGCACTCAAAGTATTCACTTGGAACTTTTACAAAAAGAGTGTTAGAAAACTGCTCTTTCCAAAGTAAGGTTCAACTCTGTGAGTTGAATGCACACATAACAATCAAGAAGTTTCTGAGAATTCTTCTGTCCTGGTTTATATGAAAAAATCCCGTTTCCAACGAAGGCCTCAAAGACGTTTAAATATCCACTTGCAGACTTCACAAACAGAGTGTTTCCAAACTGCTCTATGAAAAGAAAGGTTAAACTCTGTGAGTTGAACGCACACATCACAAAGTAGTTTCTGAGAATGATACTGTCCAGTTTTTATACGAAGATATTTCCTTTCCTACCATTGGCGTCAAAGCGCTAGAATTCTCCACTTGCAAATTCCACAAAAAGA
The DNA here is from genome assembly GCF_000001405.40 of Homo sapiens. Lineage (NCBI taxonomy): Eukaryota > Metazoa > Chordata > Mammalia > Primates > Hominidae > Homo > Homo sapiens. The sequence goes on along the minus strand of NC_000003.12, from coordinate 91,956,233 downwards.
GGGTTTCCAATCTGCTCTGCCTAAAGGCAGGTTCAACTCTGCGAGTTGAATACACACACACAAGGAAGCTACTGAGAATTCTTTTGTCAAGAATTATAAGAAGAAATCCCGTTTCAAACGAAGGCCTCAAAGAGTTCCAAATATCCACTTGCACACTGCACAAACTAAGTCTTTCCAAACTGCTCTATGCAAAGAAATGTTCAAATCTGTGAGTTTAATACACACATCACAAAGCAGTTTCTGAGAATGATACTGTCTAGTTTTTATACGAAGATATTTCCTTTTGTACCATTGGCCTCATACTGCTAGAATTTTCCACTTGCAAATTCCACAAAAAGAGTGTTTCCAATCCGCTCTGTCTAAAGGAAGGTTCAACTCTCTGATTTGAATACATACATCCCAAAAGAAGTTACTGAGAATTCTTCTGTCTAGCATTATGTGAAGAAATCCCGTTTCCAACGAAAGCCTCAAAGAGGTCCAAATATCCAGTTGCAGAATTTACAAACTGACTGTTTCCAAACTCATCTATGAAAAGAAAGGTTAAACTCTGGGAGTTGAATGCACATATCACAAAGTAGTTCCTGAGAATGATTCTGTCTAGTTTTTATACGAAGATATTTCCTTTTCCACCAATGGCCTCAAAGTGCTTGAAATCTCCCCTTGCAAATTCCACAGACAAGTGTCTCAAATCTGCACTGTCTAAAGGAAGGTTCAACCCTGTGAGTTGAATACACACACACAGAAAAAAATTCACTGAGAATTCTATTGTCTATCATTACACGAAGAAATCCCGTTTACCACGAAGGCCTCAAAGAGGTCCAAATATCCAGCTGCAGACATTACAACCTGAGTGTTTCCAAAGTGCTCTATGAAAAGAAGTGTTAAACACTGTGAGTTCAATGCACACATCCCAAAGCAGTTTCTGAGAATGATTCCGTCTATTTTTTCTACGAAGATATTTCCTTTTCTGCCGTTGGCCTCAAAGCGCTTGAAATCTCCACTTGCAAATTCCACAAAAAGAGAGTTTCAAATCTGCTCTGTCTAAAAGAAGGTTCAACTCTGTGAGTTGAATACACACCACAAAAAGAAATTACTGAGAATTCTTCTGTCTAGCATTATATGAAAAATCCCGTTTCCAACGAAGGCCACAAAGAGGTCCAAATATCCACTTGCAGATTCTGCAAAAAGAGTGTTTCCAAACTGCTCTATGAAAAGAAACGTTAAACTCTGTGAGTTGAACGCAAACATCACAAAGTAGTTTCTGAGAATGACTCCGTCTAGTTTTTATACGAAGATATTTCCTTTCCTACCATTCACTTCAAAGCGCTTGAAGTCTCCCCCTGAAAATTCCACAAAAAGTGTTTCCAATCTGCTCCGCCTAAAGGAAGCTTCAACTCTGTGACTTGAATACCCACAACCCAAAGAAGTTACTGAGAATTCTTCTGTCTAGCATTATATGAAGAAATCCCGTTTCCAACGAAGGCCTCAAATACATCCAAATATCCAGTTGCTGACTTTACAAACTGAGTGTTTCCAAACTGCTCTATGAAAAGAAAGGTTAAACACTGTGAGTTGAACACACACGTACCAAAGTAGTTTCTGAGAATGATTCTGTCTAGTTTGCATACGAAGATATTTCCTTTTCTACCATTGGCCTCAAAGCTCTGAAATCTCCACTTGCAAATTCCACAAAAAGAGAGTTTCAAATCTGCTGTTTCTAAAGGAAAGTTCAACTCTGAGAGTTGAATACACACCAGAAAAAGCAGTTACTGAGAAGTCTTCTGTCTAGCATTATATGAAGAAATCCCATTTCCAACGAAGACTTCAAAGAGGTCCAAATATCCACTTGCAGATTCTGCAAAAAGAGTGTTTCGAAACAACTGTATGAAAAGAAAGGTTAAACACTGTGAGTTGAACGCACACATTGCAAAGCAGTTTCTGAGAATGATTCCGTCTAATTATTATACGAAGGTATTTCCTTTTCTATCATTGGCCTCAAAGCGCTTGATACCTCCACCTGAAAATTCCACAAAAAGAGTGTTTCCAATCTACTCTGTCTAAAGGAACGTTCAACTCTGTGAGTTGAATACACACACACAGAAAGAATTCACTGAGAATTCTTCTGTCTGGCATTACATGAAGAAATCCCGTTTCCAACGAAGGCCTCAAAGAGGTCCAAATATCCACTTGCAGATTCTGCAAAAAGAGTGTTTCAAAACCGCTCCATTAAAAGGAATGTTGAACTCTGTGAGTTGAATGCAAACATCACAACTCAGTTGCTGAGAATGCTTCTGACTAGATTTTATGGTAAGATATTTCCTTTTCTACCGTAGGCTTCAATGCCCTCTAAATACACCCTTGCAAATTCTACAAAGAGACTGTTTCATAACTGCTCTATAGGAAGAAAGGTTGAACTCTGTGAGTTGAATGCAGAGATCACAACGTGGTTTCTGCGAATGATTCTTTGTAGTTTTTACATGAAGATATTTCGTTGTCAACCGTAGGCTTCAAAGCACTCAAAGTATTCACTTGGAACTTTTACAAAAAGAGTGTTAGAAAACTGCTCTTTCCAAAGTAAGGTTCAACTCTGTGAGTTGAATGCACACATAACAATCAAGAAGTTTCTGAGAATTCTTCTGTCCTGGTTTATATGAAAAAATCCCGTTTCCAACGAAGGCCTCAAAGACGTTTAAATATCCACTTGCAGACTTCACAAACAGAGGGTTTCCAAACTGCTCTATGAAAAGAAAGGTTAAACTCTGTGAGTTGAATGCACACATCACAAAGTAGCTTCTGAGAATGATACTGTCTAGTTTTTATACGAAGATATTTCCTTTCTACCATTGGCGTCAAAGCGCTAGAATTCTCCACTTGCAAATTCCACAAAAAGAGTGTTTCCAATCTGCTCTGTCTAAAGGAAGGTTCAACTCTGTGAGTTGAATACACACACACAAAGAAGCTACTGAGAATTCTTTTGTCAAGAATTATAAGAAGAAATCCCGTTTCCAACGAAGGCCTCAAAGAGTTCCAAATATCCACTTGCACACTGCACAAACTAAGTCTTTCCAAACTGCTCTATGCAAAGAAATGTTCAACTCTGTGAGTTTAATACACACATCACAAAGCAGTTTCTGAGAATGATACTGTCTAGTTTTTGTACGAAGATATTTCCTTTTGTACCATTGGCCTCATACTGCTAGAATTTTCCACTTGCAAATTCCACAAAAAGAGTGTTTCCAATCCGCTCTGTCTAAAGGAAGGTTCAACTCTCTGATTTGAATACATACATCCCAAAAGAATTTACTGAGAATTCTTCTGTCTAGCATTATGTGAAGAAATCCCGTTTCCAACGAAAGCCTCAAAGAGGTCCAAATATCCAGTTGCAGAATTTACAAACTGACTGTTTCCAAACTCATCTATGAAAAGAAAGGTTAAACTCTGTGAGTTGAATGCACATATCACAAAGTAGTTCCTGAGAATGATTCTGTCTAGTTTTTATACGAAGATATTTCCTTTTCCACCAATGGCCTCAAAGTGCTTGAAATCTCCCCTTGCAAATTCCACAGACAAGTGTTTCAAATCTGCACTGTCTAAAGGAAGGTTCAACACTGTGAGTTGAATACACACACACAGAAAAAAATTCACTGAGAATTCTATTGTCTATCATTACACGAAGAAATCCCGTTTACTACGAAGGCCTCAAAGAGGTCCAAATATCCAGCTGCAGACATTACAAACTGAGTGTTTCCAAAGTGCTCTATGAAAAGAAGTGTTAAACACTGTGAGTTCAATGCACACATCCCAAAGCAGTTTCTGAGAATGATTCCGTCTATTTTTTCTACGAAGATATTTCCTTTTCTGCCGTTGGCCTCAAAGCGCTTGAAATCTCCACTTGCAAATTCCACAAAAAGAGAGTTTCAAATCTGCTCTGTCTAAAGGAAGGTTCAACTCTGTGAGTTGAATACACACCACAAAAAGAAGTTACTGAGAATTCTTCTGTCTAGCATTATATGAAAAATCCCGTTTCCAACGAAGGCCACAAAGGAGGTCCAAATATCCACTTGCAGATTCTGCAAAAAGAGTGTTTCCAAACTGCTCTATGAAAAGAAACGTTAAACTCTGTGAGTTGAACGCAAACATCACAAAGTAGTTTCTGAGAATGACTCCGTCTAGTTTTTATACGAAGATATTTCCTTTCCTACCATTCACTTCAAAGCGCTTGAAGTCTCCCCCTGAAAATTCCACAAAAAGTGTTTCCAATCTGCTCCGCCTAAAGGAAGCTTCAACTCTGTGAGTTGAATACCCACAACCCAAAGAAGTTACTGAGAATTCTTCTGTCTAGCATTATATGAAGAAATCCCGTTTCCAACGAAGGCCTCAAATACATCCAAATATCCAGTTGCTGACTTTACAAACAGTGTTTCCAAACTGCTCTATGAAAAGAAAGGTTAAACACTGTGAGTTGAACACACACGTACCAAAGTAGTTTCTGAGAATGATTCTGTCTAGTTTGCATACGAAGATATTTCCTTTTCTACCATTGGCCTCAAAGCTCTGAAATCTCCACTTGCAAATTCCACAAAAAGAGAGTTTCAAATCTGCTGTTTCTAAAGGAAAGTTCAACTCTGAGAGTTGAATACACACCAGAAAAAGCAGTTACTGAGAAGTCTTCTGTCTAGCATTATATGAAGAAATCCCATTTCCAACGAAGACTTCAAAGAGGTCCAAATATCCACTTGCAGATTCTGCAAAAAGAGTGTTTCGAAACAACTGTATGAAAAGAAAGGTTAAACACTGTGAGTTGAACGCACACATTGCAAAGCAGTTTCTGAGAATGATTCCGTCTAATTATTATACGAAGGTATTTCCTTTTCTATCATTGGCCTCAAAGCGCTTGATACATCCACCTGAAAATTCCACAAAAAGAGTGTTTCCAATCTACTCTGTCTAAAGGAACGTTCAACTCTGTGAGTTGAATACACACACACAGAAAGAATTCACTGAGAATTCTTCTGTCTGGCATTACATGAAGAAATCCCGTTTCCAACGAAGGCCTCAAAGAGGTCCAAATATCCACTTGCAGATTCTGCAAAAAGAGTGTTTCAAAACCGCTCCATTAAAAGGAATGTTGAACTCTGTGAGTTGAATGCAAACATCACAACTCAGTTGCTGAGAATGCTTCTGACTAGATTTTATGGTAAGATATTTCCTTTTCTACCGTAGGCTTCAATGCCCTCTAAATACACCCTTGCAAATTCTACAAAGAGACTGTTTCATAACTGCTCTATAGGAAGAAAGGTTGAACTCTGTGAGTTGAATGCAGAGATCACAACGTGGTTTCTGCGAATGATTCTTTGTAGTTTTTACATGAAGATATTTCGTTGTCAACCGTAGGCTTCAAAGCACTCAAAGTATTCACTTGGAACTTTTACAAAAAGAGTGTTAGAAAACTGCTCTTTCCAAAGTAAGGTTCAACTCTGTGAGTTGAATGCACACATAACAATCAAGAAGTTTCTGAGAATTCTTCTGTCCTGGTTTATATGAAGAAATCCCGTTTCCAACGAAGGCCTCAAAGACGTTTAAATATCCACTTGCAGACTTCACAAACAGAGGGTTTCCAAACTGCTCTATGAAAAGAAAGGTTAAACTCTGTGAGTTGAACGCACACATCACAAAGTAGCTTCTGAGAATGATACTGTCTAGTTTTTATACGAAGATATTTCCTTTCTACCATTGGCGTCAAAGCGCTAGAATTCTCCACTTGCAAATTCCACAAAAAGAGTGTTTCCAATCTGCTCTGTCTAAAGGAAGGTTCAACTCTGTGAGTTGAATACACACACACAAAGAAGCTACTGAGAATTCTTTTGTCAAGAATTATAAGAAGAAATCCCGTTTCCAACGAAGGCCTCAAAGAGTTCCAAATATCCACTTGCACACTGCACAAACTAAGTCTTTCCAAACTGCTCTATGCAAAGAAATGTTCAACTCTGTGAGTTTAATACACACATCACAAAGCAGTTTCTGAGAATGATACTGTCTAGTTTTTATACGAAGATATTTCCTTTTGTACCATTGGCCTCATACTGCTAGAATTTTCCACTTGCAAATTCCACAAAAAGAGTGTTTCCAATCCGCTCTGTCTAAAGGAAGGTTCAACTCTCTGATTTGAATACATACATCCCAAAAGAAGTTACTGAGAATTCTTCTGTCTAGCATTATGTGAAGAAATCCCGTTTCCAACGAAAGCCTCAAAGAGGTCCAAATATCCAGTTGCAGAATTTACAAACTGACTGTTTCCAAACTCATCTATGAAAAGAAAGGTTAAACTCTGTGAGTTGAATGCACATATCACAAAGTAGTTCCTGAGAATGATTCTGTCTAGTTTTCATACGAAGATATTTCCTTTTCCACCAACGGCCTCAAAGTGCTTGAAATCTCCCCTTGCAAATTCCACAGACAAGTGTTTCAAATCTGCACTGTCTAAAGGAAGGTTCAACCCTGTGAGTTGAATACACACACACAGAAAAAAATTCACTGAGAATTCTATTGTCTATCATTACACGAAGAAATCCCGTTTACTACGAAGGCCTCAAAGAGGTCCAAATATCCAGCTGCAGACATTACAAACTGAGTGTTTCCAAAGTGCTCTATGAAAAGAAGTGTTAAACACTGTGAGTTCAATGCACACATCCCAAAGCAGTTTCTGAGAATGATTCCGTCTATTTTTTCTACGAAGATATTTCCTTTTCTGCCGTTGGCCTCAAAGCGCTTGAAATCTCCACTTGCAAATTCCACAAAAAGAGAGTTTCAAATCTGCTCTGTCTAAAGGAAGGTTCAACTCTGTGAGTTGAATACACACCACAAAAAGAAGTTACTGAGAATTCTTCTGTCTAGCATTATATGAAAAATCCCGTTTCCAACGAAGGCCACAAAGAGGTCCAAATATCCACTTGCAGATTCTGCAAAAAGAGTGTTTCCAAACTGCTCTATGAAAAGAAACGTTAAACTCTGTGAGTTGAACGCAAACATCACAAAGTAGTTTCTGAGAATGACTCCGTCTAGTTTTTATACGACGATATTTCCTTTCCTACCATTCACTTCAAAGCGCTTGAAGTCTCCCCCTGAAAATTCCACAAAAAGTGTTTCCAATCTGCTCCGCCTAAAGGAAGCTTCAACTCTGTGACTTGAATACCCACAACCCAAAGAAGTTACTGAGAATTCTTCTGTGTAGCATTATATGAAGAAATCCCGTTTCCAACGAAGGCCTCAAATACATCCAAATATCCAGTTGCTGACTTTACAAACTGAGTGTTTCCAAACTGCTCTATGAAAAGAAAGGTTAAACACTGTGAGTTGAACACACACGTACCAAAGTAGTTTCTGAGAATGATTCTGTCTAGTTTGCATACGAAGATATTTCCTTTTCTACCATTGGCCTCAAAGCTCTGAAATCTCCACTTGCAAATTCCACAAAAAGAGAGTTTCAAATCTGCTGTTTCTAAAGGAAAGTTCAACTCTGAGAGTTGAATACACACCAGAAAAAGCAGTTACTGAGAAGTCTTCTGTCTAGCATTATATGAAGAAATCCCATTTCCAACGAAGACTTCAAAGAGGTCCAAATATCCACTTGCAGATTCTGCAAAAAGAGTGTTTCGAAACAACTGTATGAAAAGAAAGGTTAAACACTGTGAGTTGAACGCACACATTGCAAAGCAGTTTCTGAGAATGATTCCGTCTAATTATTATACGAAGGTATTTCCTTTTCTATCATTGGTCTCAAAGCGCTTGATACCTCCACCTGAAAATTCCACAAAAAGAGTGTTTCCAATCTACTCTGTCTAAAGGAACGTTCAACTCTGTGAGTTGAATACACACACACAGAAAGAATTCACTGAGAATTCTTCTCTCTGGCATTTACATGAAGCAAATCCCGTTTCCAACGAAGGCCTCAAAGAGGTCCAAATATCCACTTGCAGATTCTGCAAATAGAGTGTTTCAAAACCGCTCTATTAAAAGGAATGTTGAACTCTGTGAGTTGAACGCAAACATCACAACTCAGTTTCTGAGAATGCTTCTGTCTAGTTTTTATGGTCAGATATTTCCTTTTCTACCGTAGGCTTCAATGCCCTCTAAATACACCCTTGCAAGTTCTACAAAGAGAGTGTTTCATAACTGCTCTATAGAAAGAAAGGTTGAACTCTGTGAGTTGAATGCACAGATCACAACGTGATTTCTGCGAATGATTCTTTGTAGTTTTTACATGAAGATATTTCGTTGTCTACCGTAGGCTTCAAAGCACTCAAAGTATGCACTTGGAAGTTTTACAAAAAGAGTGTTAGAAAACTGCTCTTTCCAAAGTAAGGTTCAACTCTGTGAGTTGAATGCACACATAACAAACAAGAAGTTTCTGAGAATTCTTCTGTCCTGGTTTATATGAAGAAATCCCGTTTCCAACGAAGGCCTCAAAGACGTTTAAATATCCACTTGCAGACTTCACAAACAGAGTGTTTCCAAACTGCTCTATGAAAAGAAAGGGTAAACACTGTGAGATGAACGCACACATCACAAAGTAGTTTCTGAGAATGATACTGTCTAGTTTTTATACGAAGATATTTCCTTTTGTACCATTGGCCTCATACTGCTAGAAATTTCCACTTGCAAATTCCACAAAAAGAGTGTTTCCAATCTGCTCTGTCTAAAGGAAGGTTCAACTCTGTGAGTTGAGTACACACACACAAAGAAGCTACTGAGAATTCTTTTGTCAAGAATTATAAGAAGAAATCCCGTTTCCAACCAAGGCCTCAAAGAGTTCCAAATATCCACTTGCACACTGCACAAACTAAGTCTTTCCATACTGCTCTATGCAAAGAAATGTTCAACTCTGTGAGTTTAATACACACATCACAAAGCAGTTTCTGAGAATGATACTGTCTAGTTTTTATACGAAGATATTTCCTTTTGTACCATTGGCCTCATACTGCTAGAATTTTCCACTTGCAAATTCCACAAAAAGAGTGTTTCCAATCCGCTCTGTCTAAAGGAAGGTTCAACTCTCTGATTTGAATACATACATCCCAAAAGAAGTTACTGAGAATTCTTCTGTCTAGCATTATGTGAAGAAATCCCGTTTCCAACGAAAGCCTCAAAGAGGTCCAAATATCCAGTTGCAGAATTTACAAACTGACTGTTTCCAAACTCATCTATGAAAAGAAAGGTTGAACTCTGTGAGTTGAATGCACATATCACAAAGTAGTTCCTGAGAATGATTCTGTCTAGTTTTCATACGAAGATATTTTCTTTTCCACCAATGGCCTCAAAGTGCTTGAAATCTCCCCTTGCAAATTCCACAGACAAGTGTTTCAAATCTGCACTGTCTAAAGGAAGGTTCAACCCTGTGAGTTGAATACACACACACAGAAAAAAATTCACTGAGAATTCTATTGTCTATCATTACACGAAGAAATCCCGTTTACTACGAAGGCCTCAAAGAGGTCCAAATATCCAGCTGCAGACATTACAAACTGAGTGTTTCCAAAGTGCTCTATGAAAAGAAGTGTTAAACACTGTGAGTTCAATGCACACATCCCAAAGCAGTTTCTGAGAATGATTCCGTCTATTTTTTCTACGAAGATATTTCCTTTTCTGCCGTTGGCCTCAAAGCGCTTGAAATCTCCACTTGCAAATTCCACAAAAAGAGAGTTTCAAATCTGCTCTGTCTTAAGGAAGGTTCAACTCTGTGAGTTGAATACACACCACAAAAAGAAGTTACTGAGAATTCTTCTGTCTAGCATTATATGAAAAATCCCGTTTCCAACGAAGGCCACAAAGAGGTCCAAATATCCACTTGCAGATTCTGCAAAAAGAGTGTTTCCAAACTGCTCTATGAAAAGAAACGTTAAACTCTGTGAGTTGAACGCAAACATCACAAAGTAGTTTCTGAGAATGACTCCGTCTAGTTTTTATACGAAGATATTTCCTTTCCTACCATTCACTTCAAAGCGCTTGAAGTCTCCCCCTGAAAATTCCACAAAAAGTGTTTCCAATCTGCTCCGCCTAAAGGAAGCTTCAACTCTGTGACTTGAATACCCACAACCCAAAGAAGTTACTGAGAATTCTTCTGTCTAGCATTATATGAAGAAATCCCGTTTCCAACGAAGGCCTCAAATACATCCAAATATCCAGTTGCTGACTTTACAAACTGAGTGTTTCCAAACTGCTCTATGAAAAGAAAGGTTAAACACTGTGAGTTGAACACACACGTACCAAAGTAGTTTCTGAGAATGATTCTGTCTAGTTTGCATACGAAGATATTTCCTTTTCTACCATTGGCCTCAAAGCTCTGAAATCTCCACTTGCAAATTCCACAAAAAGAGAGTTTCAAATCTGCTGTTTCTAAAGGAAAGTTCAACTCTGAGAGTTGAATACACACCAGAAAAAGCAGTTACTGAGAAGTCTTCTGTCTAGCATTATATGAAGAAATCCCATTTCCAACGAAGACTTCAAAGAGGTCCAAATATCCACTTGCAGATTCTGCAAAAAGAGTGTTTCGAAACAACTGTATGAAAAGAAAGGTTAAACACTGTGAGTTGAACGCACACATTGCAAAGCAGTTTACTGAGAATGATTTCCGTCTAATTATTATACGAAGGTATTTCCTTTTCTATCATTGGCCTCAAGCGCTTGATACCTCCACCTGAAAATTCCACAAAAAGAGTGTTTCCAATCTACTCTGTCTAAAGGAACGTTCAACTCTGTGAGTTGAATACACACACACAGAAAGAATTCACTGAGAATTCTTCTGTCTGGCATTACATGAAGAAATCCCGTTTCCAACGAAGGCCTCAAAGAGGTCCAAATATCCACTTGCAGATTCTGCAAAAAGAGTGTTTCAAAACCGCTCCATTAAAAGGAATGTTGAACTCTGTGAGTTGAATGCAAACATCACAACTCAGTTTCTGAGAATGCTTCTGACTAGATTTTATGGTAAGATATTTCCTTTTCTACCGTAGGCTTCAATGCCCTCTAAATACACCCTTGCAAATTCTACAAAGAGACTGTTTCATAACTGCTCTATAGGAAGAAAGGTTGAACTCTGTGAGTTGACTGCAGAGATCACAACGTGGTTTCTGCGAATGATTCTTTGTAGTTTTTACATGAAGATATTTCGTTGTCAACCGTAGGCTTCAAAGCACTCAAAGTATTCACTTGGAACTTTTACAAAAAGAGTGTTAGAAAACTGCTCTTTCCAAAGTAAGGTTCAACTCTGTGAGTTGAATGCACACATAACAATCAAGAAGTTTCTGAGAATTCTTCTGTCCTGGTTTATATGAAAAAATCCCGTTTCCAACGAAGGCCTCAAAGACGTTTAAATATCCACTTGCAGACTTCACAAACAGAGGGTTTCCAAACTGCTCTATGAAAAGAAAGGTTAAACTCTGTGAGTTGAACGCACACATCACAAAGTAGCTTCTGAGAATGATACTGTCTAGTTTTTATACGAAGATATTTCCTTTCTACCATTGGCGTCAAAGCGCTAGAATTCTCCACTTGCAAATTCCACAAAAAGAGTGTTTCCAATCTGCTCTGTCTAAAGGAAGGTTCAACTCTGTGAGTTGAATACACACACACAAAGAAGCTACTGAGAATTCTTTTGTCAAGAAATATAAGAAGAAATCCCGTTTCCAACGAAGGCCTCAAAGAGTTCCAAATATCCACTTGCACACTGCACAAACTAAGTCTTTCCAAACTGCTCTATGCAAAGAAATGTTCAACTCTGTGAGTTTAATACACACATCACAAAGCAGTTTCTGAGAATGATACTGTCTAGTTTTTATACGAAGATATTTCCTTTTGTACCATTGGCCTCATACTGCTAGAATTTTCCACTTGCAAATTCCACAAAAAGAGTGTTTCCAATCCGCTCTGTCTAAAGGAAGGTTCAACTCTCTGATTTGAATACATACATCCCAAAAGAAGTTACTGAGAATTCTTCTGTCTAGCATTATGTGAAGAAATCCCGTTTCCAACGAAAGCCTCAAAGAGGCCCAAATATCCAGTTGCAGAATTTACAAACTGACTGTTTCCAAACTCATCTATGAAAAGAAAGGTTAAACTCTGGGAGTTGAATGCACATATCACAAAGTAGTTCCTGAGAATGATTCTGTCTAGTTTTTATACGAAGATATTTCCTTTTTCACCAATGGCCTCAAAGTGCTTGAAATCTCCCCTTGCAAATTCCACAGACAAGTGTTTCAAATCTGCACTGTCTAAAGGAAGGTTCAACCCTGTGAGTTGAATACACACACACAGAAAAAAATTCACTGAGAATTCTATTGTCTATCATTACACGAAGAAATCCCGTTTACTACGAAGGCCTCAAAGAGGTCCAAATATCCAGCTGCAGACATTACAAACTGAGTGTTTCCAAAGTGCTCTATGAAAAGAAGTGTTAAACACTGTGAGTTCAATGCACACATCCCAAAGCAGTTTCTGAGAATGATTCCGTCTATTTTTTCTACGAAGATATTTCCTTTTCTGCCGTTGGCCTCAAAGCGCTTGAAATCTCCACTTGCAAATTCCACAAAAAGAGAGTTTCAAATCTGCTCTGTCTAAAGGAAGGTTCAACTCTGTGAGTTGAATACACACCACAAAAAGAAGTTACTGAGAATTCTTCTGTCTAGCATTATATGAAAAATCCCGTTTCCAACGAAGGCCACAAAGAGGTCCAAATATCCACTTGCAGATTCTGCAAAAAGAGTGTTTCCAAACTGCTCTATGAAAAGAAACGTTAAACTCTGTGAGTTGAACGCAAACATCACAAAGTAGTTTCTGAGAATGACTCCGTCTAGTTTTTATACGAAGATATTTCCTTTCCTACCATTCACTTCAAAGCGCTTGAAGTCTCCCCCTGAAAATTCCACAAAAAGTGTTTCCAATCTGCTCCGCCTAAAGGAAGCTTCAACTCTGTGACTTGAATACCCACAACCCAAAGAAGTTACTGAGAATTCTTCTGTCTAGCATTATATGAAGAAATCCCGTTTCCAACGAAGGCCTCAAATACATCCAAATATCCAGTTGCTGACTTTACAAACTGAGTGTTTCCAAACTGCTCTATGAAAAGAAAGGTTAAACACTGTGAGTTGAACACACACGTACCAAAGTAGTTTCTGAGAATGATTCTGTCTAGTTTGCATACGAAGATATTTCCTTTTCTACCATTGGCCTCAAAGCTCTGAAATCTCCACTTGCAAATTCCACAAAAAGAGAGTTTCAAATCTGCTGTTTCTAAAGGAAAGTTCAACTCTGAGAGTTGAATACACACCAGAAAAAGCAGTTACTGAGAAGTCTTCTGTCTAGCATTATATGAAGAAATCCCATTTCCAACGAAGACTTCAAAGAGGTCCAAATATCCACTTGCAGATTCTGCAAAAAGAGTGTTTCGAAACAACTGTATGAAAAGGAAAGGTTAAACACTGTGAGTTGAACGCACACATTGCAAAGCAGTTTCTGAGAATGATTCCATCTAATTATTATACGAAGGTATTTCCTTTTCTATCATTGGCCTCAAAGCGCTTGATACCTCCACCTGAAAATTCCACAAAAAGAGTGTTTCCAATCTACTCTGTCTAAAGGAACGTTCAACTCTGTGAGTTGAATACACACACACAGAAAGAATTCACTGAGAATTCTTCTGTCTGGCATTACATGAAGAAATCCCGTTTCCAACGAAGGCCTCAAAGAGGTCCAAATATCCACTTGCAGATTCTGCAAAAAGAGTGTTTCAAAACCGCTCCATTAAAAGGAATGTTGAACTCTGTGAGTTGAATGCAAACATCACAACTCAGTTTCTGAGAATGCTTCTGACTAGATTTTATGGTAAGATATTTCCTTTTCTACCGTAGGCTTCAATGCCCTCTAAATACACCCTTGCAAATTCTACAAAGAGACTGTTTCATAACTGCTCTATAGGAAGAAAGGTTGAACTCTGTGAGTTGACTGCAGAGATCACAACGTGGTTTCTGCGAATGATTCTTTGTAGTTTTTACATGAAGATATTTCGTTGTCAACCGTAGGCTTCAAAGCACTCAAAGTATTCACTTGGAACTTTTACAAAAAGAGTGTTAGAAAACTGCTCTTTCCAAAGTAAGGTTCAACTCTGTGAGTTGAATGCACACATAACAATCAAGAAGTTTCTGAGAATTCTTCTGTCCTGGTTTATATGGAAAAATCCCGTTTCCAACGAAGGCCTCAAAGACGTTTAAATATCCACTTGCAGACTTCACAAACAGAGGGTTTCCAAACTGCTCTATGAAAAGAAAGGTTAAACTCTGTGAGTTGAACGCACACATCACAAAGTAGCTTCTGAGAATGATACTGTCTAGTTTTTATACGAAGATATTTCCTTTCTACCATTGGCGTCAAAGCGCTAGAATTCTCCACTTGCAAATTCCACAAAAAGAGTGTTTCCAATCTGCTCTGTCTAAAGGAAGGTTCAACTCTGTGAGTTGAATACACACACACAAAGAAGCTACTGAGAATTCTTTTTTCAAGAAATTATAAGAAGAAATCCCGTTTCCAACGAAGGCCTCAAAGAGTTCCAAATATCCACTTGCACACTGCACAAACTAAGTCTTTCCAAACTGCTCTATGCAAAGAAATGTTCAACTCTGTGAGTTTAATACACACATCACAAAGCAGTTTCTGAGAATGATACTGTCTAGTTTTTATACGAAGATATTTCCTTTTGTACCATTGGCCTCATACTGCTAGAATTTTCCACTTGCAAATTCCACAAAAAGAGTGTTTCCAATCCGCTCTGTCTAAAGGAAGGTTCAACTCTCTGATTTGAATACATACATCCCAAAAGAAGTTACTGAGAATTCTTCTGTCTAGCATTATGTGAAGAAATCCCGTTTCCAACGAAAGCCTCAAAGAGGTCCAAATATCCAGTTGCAGAATTTACAAACTGACTGTTTCCAAACTCATCTATGAAAAGAAAGGTTAAACTCTGGGAGTTGAATGCACATATCACAAAGTAGTTCCTGAGAATGATTCTGTCTAGTTTTTATACGAAGATATTTCCTTTTCCACCAATGGCCTCAAAGTGCTTGAAATCTCCCCTTGCAAATTCCACAGACAAGTGTTTCAAATCTGCACTGTCTAAAGGAAGGTTCAACCCTGTGAGTTGAATACACACACACAGAAAAAAATTCACTGAGAATTCTATTGTCTATCATTACACGAAGAAATCCCGTTTACTACGAAGGCCTCAAAGAGGTCCAAATATCCAGCTGCAGACATTACAAACTGAGTGTTTCCAAAGTGCTCTATGAAAAGAAGTGTTAAACACTGTGAGTTCAATGCACACATCCCAAAGCAGTTTCTGAGAATGATTCCGTCTATTTTTTCTACGAAGATATTTCCTTTTCTGCCGTTGGCCTCAAAGCGCTTGAAATCTCCACTTGCAAATTCCACAAAAAGAGAGTTTCAAATCTGCTCTGTCTAAAGGAAGGTTCAACTCTGTGAGTTGAATACACACCACAAAAAGAAGTTACTGAGAATTCTTCTGTCTAGCATTATATGAAAAATCCCGTTTCCAACGAAGGCCACAAAGAGGTCCAAATATCCACTTGCAGATTCTGCAAAAAGAGTGTTTCCAAACTGCTCTATGAAAAGAAACGTTAAACTCTGTGAGTTGAACGCAAACATCACAAAGTAGTTTCTGAGAATGACTCCGTCTAGTTTTTATACGAAGATATTTCCTTTCCTACCATTCACTTCAAAGCGCTTGAAGTCTCCCCCTGAAAATTCCACAAAAAGTGTTTCCAATCTGCTCCGCCTAAAGGAAGCTTCAACTCTGTGACTTGAATACCCACAACCCAAAGAAGTTACTGAGAATTCTTCTGTCTAGCATTATATGAAGAAATCCCGTTTCCAACGAAGGCCTCAAATACATCCAAATATCCAGTTGCTGACTTTACAAACTGAGTGTTTCCAAACTGCTCTATGAAAAGAAAGGTTAAACACTGTGAGTTGAACACACACGTACCAAAGTAGTTTCTGAGAATGATTCTGTCTAGTTTGCATACGAAGATATTTCCTTTTCTACCATTGGCCTCAAAGCTCTGAAATCTCCACTTGCAAATTCCACAAAAAGAGAGTTTCAAATCTGCTGTTTCTAAAGGAAAGTTCAACTCTGAGAGTTGAATACACACCAGAAAAAGCAGTTACTGAGAAGTCTTCTGTCTAGCATTATATGAAGAAATCCCATTTCCAACGAAGACTTCAAAGAAGTCCAAATATCCACTTGCAGATTCTGCAAAAAGAGTGTTTCGAAACAACTGTATGAAAAGAAAGGTTAAACACTGTGAGTTGAACGCACACATTGCAAAGCAGTTTCTGAGAATGATTCCGTCTAATTATTATACGAAGGTATTTCCTTTTCTATCATTGGCCTCAAAGCGCTTGATACCTCCACCTGAAAATTCCACAAAAAGAGTGTTTCCAATCTACTCTGTCTAAAGGAACGTTCAACTCTGTGAGTTGAATACACACACACAGAAAGAATTCACTGAGAATTCTTCTGTCTGGCATTACATGAAGAAATCCCGTTTCCAACGAAGGCCTCAAAGAGGTCCAAATATCCACTTGCAGATTCTGCAAAAAGAGTGTTTCAAAACCGCTCCATTAAAAGGAATGTTGAACTCTGTGAGTTGAATGCAAACATCACAACTCAGTTGCTGAGAATGCTTCTGACTAGATTTTATAGTAAGATATTTCCTTTTCTACCGTAGGCTTCAATGCCCTCTAAATACACCCTTGCAATTTCTACAAAGAGACTGTTTCATAACTGCTCTATAGGAAGAAAGGTTCAACTCTGTGTGTTGAATGCAGAGATCACAACGTGGTTTCTGCGAATGATTCTTTGTAGTTTTTACAGGAAGATATTTCGTTGTCAACCGTAGGGTTCAAAGCACTCAAAGTATTCACTTGGAACTTTTACAAAAAGAGTGTTAGAAAACTGCTCTTTCCAAAGTAAGGTTCAACTCTGTGAGTTGAATGCACACATAACAATCAAGAAGTTTCTGAGAATTCTTCTGTCCTGGTTTATATGAAAAAATCCCGTTTCCAACGAAGGCCTCAAAGACGTTTAAATATCCACTTGCAGACTTCACAAACAGAGTGTTTCCAAACTGCTCTATGAAAAGAAAGGTTAAACTCTGTGAGTTGAACGCACACATCACAAAGTAGCTTCTGAGAATGATACTGTCTAGTTTTTATACGAAGATATTTCCTTTCTACCATTGGCGTCAAAGCGCTAGAATTCTCCACTTGCAAATTCCACAAAAAGAGTGTTTCCAATCTGCTCTGTCTAAAGGAAGGTTCAACTCTGTGAGTTGAATACACACACACAAAGAAGCTACTGAGAATTCTTTTGTCAAGAATTATAAGAAGAAATCCCGTTTCCAACGAAGGCCTCAAAGAGTTCCAAATATCCACTTGCACACTGTACAAACTAACTCTTTCCAAACTGCTCTATGCAAAGAAATGTTCAACCCTGTGAGTTTAATGCACACATCAGAAAGCAGTTTCTGAGAATGATTCCCTCTAGTTTTTATATGAAGATATCCTTTTCTACCATTGGTCTCAAGGCTCTTGGAATCTCCACCTGAAAATTCCGCAAAAAGCGTGTTTCCAATGCGCTCTGTCTAAAGGAAGGTTCAACTCTCCGAGTTGAATACATACATCCCAAAAGAAGTTACTGCGAATTCTTCTGTCTAGCATTATGTGAAGAAATCCCGTTTCCAACGAACGCCTCAAAGAGGTCCTAATATCCAGTTGCAGAATTTACAAACTGACTGTTTCCAAACTCATCTATGAAAAGAAAGGTTAAACCCTGTGAGTTGAATGCACGTATCACAAAGTAGTTCCTGAGAATGATTCTGTCTAGTTTTTATACGAAGATATTTCCTTTTCCACCAATGGCCTCAAAGTGCTTGAAATCTCCCCTTGCAAATTCCACAGAAAAGTGTTTCAAATCTGCACTGTCTGAAGGAAGGTTCAACCCTGTGAGTTGAATACACACACACAGAAAAAATTTCACTGAGAATTCTATTGTCTATCATTACACGAAGAAATCCCGTTTACTTCGAAGGCCTCAAAGAGGTCCAAATATCCAGCTGCAGACATTACAAACTGAGTGTTTCCAAAGTGCTCTATGAAAAGAAGTGTTAAACACTGTGAGTTCAATGCACACATCCCAAAGCAGTTTCTGAGAATGATTCCGTCTATTTTTTCTACGAAGATATTTCCTTTTCTACCGTTGGCCTGAAAGCACTTGAAATCTCCACTTGCAAATTCCACGAAAAGAGAGTTTCAAATCTGCTCTGTCTAAAGGAAGGTTCAACTCTGTGAGTTGAATACACAACAAAAAGAAGTTACTGAGAATTCTTCTGTCTAGCTTTATATGAAAAATCCCGTTTCCAACGAAGGCCACAAAGAGGTCCAAATATCCACTTGCAGATTCTGCAAAAAGAGTGTTTCCAAACTGCTCTATGAAAAGAAAGGTTAAACTCTGTGAGTTGAACGCAAACATCACAAAGTAGTTTCTGAGAATGACTCCGTCTAGTTTTTATACGAAGATATTTCCTTTTCTACCGTTGGCCTCAAAGCGCTTGAAGTCTCCCCCTGAAAATTCCACAAAAAGTGTTTCCAATCTGCTCCGCCTAAAGGAAGCTTCAGCTCTGTGAGTTGAATACCCACAACCCAAAGAAGTTACTGAGAATTCTTCTGTCTAGCATTACATGAAGAAATCCCGTTTCCAACGAAGGCCTCAAATACATCCAGATATCCAGTTGCTGACTTTACAAACTGAGTGTTTCCAAACTGCTCTATGAAAGGAAAGGTTAAACACTGTGAGTTCAACACACACGTACCAAAGTAGTTTCTGAGAATGATTCTGTCTACTTTGCATACGAAGATATTTCCTTTTCTACCATTGGCCTCAAAGCTTTGAAATCTCCACTTGCAAATTCCACAAAAAGAGAGTTTCAAATCTGCTGTTTCTAAAGGAAAGTTCAACTCTGAGAGTTGAATACACACCAGAAAAAGCAGTTACTGAGAAGTCTTCTGTCTAGCATTATATGAAGAAATCCCATTTCCAAAGAAGACTTCAAACAGGTCCAAATATCCACTTGCAGATTCTGCAAAAAGAGTGTTTCGAAACAACTGTATGAAAAGAAAGGTTAAACGCTGTGAGTTGAAGGCACACATTGCAAAGCAGTTTCTGAGAATGATTCCGTCTAATTATTATACGAAGGTATTTCTTTTTCTATCATGGGCCTCAAAGCGCTTGATACCTCCACCTGAAAATTCCACAAAAAGAGTGTTTCCAATCTACTCTGTCTAAAGGAACGTTCAACTCTGTGAGTTGAATACACACACACAGAAAGAATTCACTGAGAGTTCTTCTGTCTGGCATTACATGAAGAAATCCCGTTTCCAACGAAGGCCTCAAAGAGGTCCAAATATCCACTTGCAGATTCTGCAAAAAGAGTGTTTCAAAACCGCTCCATGAAAAGGAATGTTGAACTCTGTGAGTTGAATGCAAACATCACAACTCAGTTTCTGAGAATGCTTCTGACTAGATTTTATGGTAAGATATTTCCTTTTCTGCCGTAGGCTTCAATGCCCTCTAAATACACCCTTGCAAATTCTACAAAGAGACTGTTTCATAACTGCTCTATAGGAAGAAAGGTTGAACTCTGTGAGTTGAATGCAGAGATCACAACGTGGTTTCTGCGAATGATTCTTTGTAGTTTTTACATGAAGATATTTCGTTGTCAACCGTAGGCTTCAAAGCACTCAAAGTATTCACTTGGAACTTTTACAAAAAGAGTGTTAGAAAACTGCTCTTTCCAAAGTAAGGTTCAACTCTGTGAGTTGAATGCACACATAACAATCAAGAAGTTTCTGAGAATTCTTCTGTCCTGGTTTATATGAAAAAATCCCGTTTCCAACGAAGGCCTCAAAGACGTTTAAATATCCACTTGCAGACTTCACAAACAGAGGGTTTCCAAACTGCTCTATGAAAAGAAAGGTTAAACTCTGTGAGTTGAACGCACACATCACAAAGTAGCTTCTGAGAATGATACTGTCTAGTTTTTATACGAAGATATTTCCTTTCTACCATTGGCGTCAAAGCGCTAGAATTCTCCACTTGCAAATTCCACAAAAAGAGTGTTTCCAATCTGCTCTGTCTAAAGGAAGGTTCAACTCTGTGAGTTGAATACACACACACAAAGAAGCTACTGAGAATTCTTTTGTCAAGAATTATAAGAAGAAATCCCGTTTCCAACGAAGGCCTCAAAGTAGTTCCAAATATCCACTTGCACACTGCACAAACTAAGTCTTTCCAAACTGCTCTATGCAAAGAAATGTTCAACTCTGTGAGTTTAATACACACATCGCAAAGCAGTTTCTGAGAATGATACTGTCTAGTTTTTATACGAAGATATTTCCTTTTGTACCATTGGCCTCATACTGCTAGAATTTTCCACTTGCAAATTCCACAAAAAGAGTGTTTCCAATCCGCTCTGTCTAAAGGAAGGTTCAACTCTCTGATTTGAATACATACATCCCAAAAGAAGTTACTGAGAATTCTTCTGTCTAGCATTATGTGAAGAAATCCCGTTTCCAACGAAAGCCTCAAAGAGGTCCAAATATCCAGTTGCAGAATTTACAAACTGACTGTTTCCAAACTCATCTATGAAAAGAAAGGTTAAACTCTGGGAGTTGAATGCCCATATCACAAAGTAGTTCCTGAGAATGATTCTGTATAGTTTTCATACGAAGATATTTCCTTTTCCACCAATGGCCTCAAAGTGCTTGAAATCTCCCCTTGCAAATTCCACAGACAAGTGTTTCAAATCTGCACTGTCTAAAGGAAGGTTCAACCCTGTGAGTTGAATACACACACACAGAAAAAAATTCACTGAGAATTCTATTGTCTATCATTACACGAAGAAATCCCGTTTACTACGAAGGCCTCAAAGAGGTCCAAATATCCAGCTGCAGACATTATAAACTGAGTGTTTCCAAAGTGCTCTATGAAAAGAAGTGTTAAACACTGTGAGTTCAATGCACACATCCCAAAGCAGTTTCTGAGAATGATTCCGTCTATTTTTTCTACGAAGATATTTCCTTTTCTGCCGTTGGCCTCAAAGCGCTTGAAATCTCCACTTGCAAATTCCACAAAAAGAGAGTTTCAAATCTGCTCTGTCTAAAGGAAGGTTCAACTCTGTGAGTTGAATACACACCACAAAAAGAAGTTACTGAGAATTCTTCTGTCTAGCATTATATGAAAAATCCCGTTTCCAACGAAGGCCACAAAGAGGTCCAAATATCCACTTGCAGATTCTGCAAAAAGAGTGTTTCCAAACTGCTCTATGAAAAGAAACGTTAAACTCTGTGAGTTGAACGCAAACATCACAAAGTAGTTTCTGAGAATGACTTCCGTCTAGTTTTTATACGAAGCATATTTCCTTTCCTACCATTCACTTCAAAGCGCTTGAAGTCTCCCCCTGAAAATTCCACAAAAAGTGTTTCCAATCTGCTCCGCCTAAAGGAAGCTTCAACTCTGTGACTTGAATACCCACAACCCAAAGAAGTTACTGAGAATTCTTCTGTCTAGCATTATATGAAGAAATCCCGTTTCCAACGAAGGCCTCAAATACATCCAAATATCCAGTTGCTGACTTTACAAACTGAGTGTTTCCAAACTGCTCTATGAAAAGAAAGGTTAAACACTGTGAGTTGAACACACACGTACCAAAGTAGTTTCTGAGAATGATTCTGTCTAGTTTGCATACGAAGATATTTCCTTTTCTACCATTGGCCTCAAAGCTCTGAAATCTCCACTTGCAAATTCCACAAAAAGAGAGTTTCAACTCTGCTGTTTCTAAAGGAAAGTTCAACTCTGAGAGTTGAATACACACCAGAAAAAGCAGTTACTGAGAAGTCTTCTGTCTAGCATTATATGAAGAAATCCCATTTCCAACGAAGACTTCAAAGAGGTCCAAATATCCACTTGCAGATTCTGCAAAAAGAGTGTTTCGAAACAACTGTATGAAAAGAAAGGTTAAACACTGTGAGTTGAACGCACACATTGCAAAGCAGTTTCTGAGAATGATTCCGTCTAATTATTATACGAAGGTATTTCCTTTTCTATCATTGGCCTCAAAGCGCTTGATACCTCCACCTGAAAATTCCACAAAAAGAGTGTTTCCAATCTACTCTGTCTAAAGGAACGTTCAACTCTGTGAGTTGAATACACACACACAGAAAGAATTCACTGAGAATTCTTCTGTCTGGCATTACATGAAGAAATCCCGTTTCCAACGAAGGCCTCAAAGAGGTCCAAATATCCACTTGCAGATTCTGCAAAAAGAGTGTTTCAAAACCGCTCCATGAAAAGGAATGTTGAACTCTGTGAGTTGAATGCAAACATCACAACTCAGTTTCTGAGAATGCTTCTGACTAGATTTTATGGTCAGATATTTCCTTTTCTACCGTAGGCTTCAATTCCCTCTAAATACACCCTTGCAAATTCTACAAAGAGACTGTTTAATAACTGCTCTATAGGAAGAAAGGTTGAACTCTGTGAGTTGAATGCGGAGATCACAACGTGGTTTCGGCGAATGATTCTTTGTAGTTTTTACATGAAGATATATCGTTGTCTACCGTAGGCTTCAAAGCACTCAAAGTATTCACTTGGAACTTTTACAAAAAGAGTGTTAGAAAACTGCTCTTTCCAAAGTAAGGTTCAACTCTGTGAGTTGAATGCACACATAACAAACAAGAAGTTTCTGAGAATTCTTCTGTCCTGGTTTATATGAAAAAATCCCGTTTCCAACGAAGGCCTCAAAGACGTTTAAATATCCACTTGCAGACTTCACAAACAGAGTGTTTCCAAACTGGTCTATGAAAAGAAAGGTTAAACTCTGTGAGTTGAACGCACACATCACAAAGTAGTTTCTGAGAATGATACTGTCCAGTTTTTATACGAAGAGATTTCCTTTCCTACCATTGGCGTCAAAGCGCTAGAATTCTCCACTTGCAAATTCCACAAAAAGAGAGTTTCCAATCTGCTCTGCCTAAAGGCAGGTTCAACTCTGTTAGTTGAATACACACACACAAGGAAGCTACTGAGAATTCTTTTGTCAAGAATTATAAGAAGAAATCCCGTTTCCAACGAAGGCCTCAAAGAGTTCCATATATCCACTTGCACACTGTACAAACTAAGTCTTTCCAAACTGCTCTATGCAAAGAAATGTTCAACCCTGTGAGTTTAATGCACACATCACAAAGCAGTTTCTGAGAATGATTCCCTCTAGTTTTTATACGAAGATAGCCTTTTCTACCATTGGCCTCAAGGCTCTTGGAATCTCCACCTGAAAATTCCGCAAAAAGCGTGTTTCCAATCCGCTCTGTCTAAAGGAAGGTTCAACTCTATGAGTTGAATACATACATCCCAAAAGAAGTTACTGAGAATTCTTCTGTCTAGCATTATGTGAAGAAATCCCGTTTCCAACGAAAGCCTCAAAGAGGTCCTAATATCCAGTTGCAGAATTTACAAACTGACTGTTTCCAAACTCATCTATGAAAAGAAAGGTTAAACCCTGTGAGTTGAATGCACATATCACAAAGTAGTTCCTGAGAATGATTCTGTCTAGTTTTTATACGAAGATATTTCCTTTTCCACCAATGGCCTCAAAGTGCTTGAAATCTCCCCTTGCAAATTCCACAGAAAAGTGTTTCAAATCTGCACTGTCTGAAGGAAGGTTCAACCCTGTGAGTTGAATACACACACACAGAAAAAAATTCACTGAGAATTCTATTGTCTATCATTACACGAAGAAATCCCGTTTACTACGAAGGCCTCAAAGAGGTCCAAATATCCAGCTGCAGACATTTCAAACTGAGTGTTTCCAAAGTGCTCTATGAAAAGAAGTGTTAAACACTGTGAGTTCAATGCACACATCCCAAAGCAGTTTCTGAGAATGATTCCGTCTATTTTTTCTACGAAGATATTTCCTTTTCTACCGTTGGCCTCAAAGCGCTTGAAATCTCCACTTGCAAATTCCACAAAAAGAGAGTTTCAAATCTGCTCTGTCTAAAGGAAGGTTCAACTCTGTGAGTTGAATACACACCACAAAAAGAAGTTACTGAGAATTCTTCTGTCTAGCATTATATGAAAAATCCCGTTTCCAACGAAGGCCACAAAGAGGTCCAAATATCCACTTGCAGATTCTGCAAAAAGAGTGTTTCCAAACTGCTCTATGAAAAGAAACGTTAAACTCTGTGAGTTGAACGCAAACATCACAAAGTAGTTTCTGAGAATGACTCCGTCTAGTTTTTATACGAAGATATTTCCTTTTCTACCATTCACTTCAAAGCGCTTGAAGTCTCCCCCTGAAAATTCCACAAAAAGTGTTTCCAATCTGCTCCGCCTAAAGGAAGCTTCAACTCTGTGAGTTGAATACCCACAACCCAAAGAAGTTACTGAGAATTCTTCTGTCTAGCACTATATGAAGAAATCCCGTTTCCAACGAAGGCCTCAAATACATCCAAATATCCAGTTGCTGACTTTACAAACTGAGTGTTTCCAAACTGCTCTATGAAAAGAAAGGTTAAACACTGTGAGTTGAACACACACGTACCAAAGTAGTTTCTGAGAATGATTCTGTCTAGTTTGCATACGAAGATATTTCCTTTTCTACCAGTGGCCTCAAAGCTCTGAAATCTCCACTTGCAAATTCCACAAAAAGAGAGTTTCAAATCTGCTGTTTCTAAAGGAAAGTTCAACTCGGAGAGTTGAATACACACCAGAAAAAGCAGTTACTGAGAAGTCTTCTGTCTAGCATTATATGAAGAAATCCCATTTCCAACGAAGACTTCAAAGAGGTCCAAATATCCACTTGCAGATTCTGCAAAAAGAGTGTTTCGAAACAACTGTATGAAAAGAAAGGTTAAACACTGTGAGTTGAACGCACACATTGCAAAGCAGTTTCTGAGAATGATTCCCGTCTAATTATTATACGAAGGTATTTCCTTTTCTATCATTGGCCTCAAAGCGCTTGATACCTCCACCTGAAAATTCCACAAAAAGAGTGTTTCCAATCTACTCTGTCTAAAGGAACGTTCAACTCTGTGAGTTGAATACACACACACAGAAAGAATTCACTGAGAATTCTTCTGTCTGGCATTACATGAAGAAATCCCGTTTCCAACGAAGGCCTCAAAGAGGTCCAAATATCCACTTGCAGATTCTGCAAAAAGAGTGTTTCAAAACCGCTCCATTAAAAGGAATGTTGAACTCTGTGAGTTGAATGCAAACATCACAACTCAGTTTCTGAGAATGCTTCTGACTAGATTTTATGGTAAGATATTTCCTTTTCTACCGTAGGCTTCAATGCCCTCTAAATACACCCTTGCAAATTCTACAAAGAGACTGTTTCATAACTGCTCTATAGGAAGAAAGGTTCAACTCTGTGAGTTGAATGCAGAGATCACAACGTGGTTTCTGCGAATGATTCTTTGTAGTTTTTACATGAAGATATTTCGTTGTCAACCGTAGGCTTCAAAGCACTCAAAGTATTCACTTGGAACTTTTACAAAAAGAGTGTTAGAAAACTGCTCTTTCCAAAGTAAGGTTCAACTCTGTGAGTTGAATGCACACATAACAATCAAGAAGTTTCTGAGAATTCTTCTGTCCTGGTTTATATGAAAAAATCCCGTTTCCAACGAAGGCCTCAAAGACGTTTAAATATCCACTTGCAGACTTCACAAACAGAGTGTTTCCAAACTGCTCTATGAAAATAAAGGTTAAACTCTGTGAGTTGAACGCACACATCACAAAGTAGCTTCTGAGAATGATACTGTCTAGTTTTTATACGAAGATATTTCCTTTCTACCATTGGTGTCAAAGCGCTAGAATTCTCCACTTGCAAATTCCACAAAAAGAGTGTTTCCAATCTGCTCTGTCTAAAGGAAGGTTCAACTCTGTGAGTTGAATACACACACACAAAGAAGCTACTGAGAATTCTTTTGTCAAGAATTATAAGAAGAAATCCCGTTTCCAACGAAGGCCTCAAAGAGTTCCAAATATCCACTTGCACACTGCACAAACTAAGTCTTTCCAAACTGCTCTATGCAAAGAAATGTTCAACTCTGTGAGTTTAATACACACATCACAAAGCAGTTTCTGAGAATGATACTGTCTAGTTTTTGTACGAAGATATTTCCTTTTGTACCATTGGCCTCATACTGCTAGAATTTTCCACTTGCAAATTCCACAAAAAGAGTGTTTCCAATCCGCTCTGTCTAAAGGAAGGTTCAACTCTCTGATTTGAATACATACATCCCAAAAGAATTTACTGAGAATTCTTCTGTCTAGCATTATGTGAAGAAATCCCGTTTCCAACGAAAGCCTCAAAGAGGTCCAAATATCCAGTTGCAGAATTTACAAACTGACTGTTTCCAAACTCATCTATGAAAAGAAAGGTTAAACTCT
This sequence comes from Homo sapiens, assembly GCF_000001405.40. Lineage (NCBI taxonomy): Eukaryota > Metazoa > Chordata > Mammalia > Primates > Hominidae > Homo > Homo sapiens. The sequence continues at coordinate 91,929,661 of NC_000003.12, read as the reverse complement.
GTGAGTTGAATGCACATATCACAAAGTAGTTCCTGAGAATGATTCTGTCTAGTTTTTATACGAAGATATTTCCTTTTCCACCAATGGCCTCAAAGTGCTTGAAATCTCCCCTTGCAAATTCCACAGACAAGTGTTTCAAATCTGCACTGTCTAAAGGAAGGTTCAACCCTGTGAGTTGAATACACACACACAGAAAAAAATTCACTGAGAATTCTATTGTCTATCATTACACGAAGAAATCCCGTTTACTACGAAGGCCTCAAAGAGGTCCAAATATCCAGCTGCAGACATTACAAACTGAGTGTTTCCAAAGTGCTCTATGAAAAGAAGTGTTAAACACTGTGAGTTCAATGCACACATCCCAAAGCAGTTTCTGAGAATGATTCCGTCTATTTTTTCTACGAAGATATTTCCTTTTCTGCCGTTGGCCTCAAAGCGCTTGAAATCTCCACTTGCAAATTCCACAAAAAGAGAGTTTCAAATCTGCTCTGTCTAAAGGAAGGTTCAACTCTGTGAGTTGAATACACACCACAAAAAGAAGTTACTGAGAATTCTTCTGTCTAGCATTATATGAAAAATCCCGTTTCCAACGAAGGCCACAAAGAGGTCCAAATATCCACTTGCAGATTCTGCAAAAAGAGTGTTTCCAAACTGCTCTATGAAAAGAAACGTTAAACTCTGTGAGTTGAACGCAAACATCACAAAGTAGTTTCTGAGAATGACTCCGTCTAGTTTTTATACGAAGATATTTCCTTTCCTACCATTCACTTCAAAGCGCTTGAAGTCTCCCCCTGAAAATTCCACAAAAAGTGTTTCCAATCTGCTCCGCCTAAAGGAAGCTTCAACTCTGTGACTTGAATACCCACAACCCAAAGAAGTTACTGAGAATTCTTCTGTCTAGCATTATATGAAGAAATCCCGTTTCCAACGAAGGCCTCAAATACATCCAAATATCCAGTTGCTGACTTTACAAACTGAGTGTTTCCAAACTGCTCTATGAAAAGAAAGGTTAAACACTGTGAGTTGAACACACACGTACCAAAGTAGTTTCTGAGAATGATTCTGTCTAGTTTGCATACGAAGATATTTCCTTTTCTACCATTGGCCTCAAAGCTCTGAAATCTCCACTTGCAAATTCCACAAAAAGAGAGTTTCAAATCTGCTGTTTCTAAAGGAAAGTTCAACTCTGAGAGTTGAATACACACCAGAAAAAGCAGTTACTGAGAAGTCTTCTGTCTAGCATTATATGAAGAAATCCCATTTCCAACGAAGACTTCAAAGAGGTCCAAATATCCACTTGCAGATTCTGCAAAAAGAGTGTTTCGAAACAACTGTATGAAAAGAAAGGTTAAACACTGTGAGTTGAACGCACACATTGCAAAGCGGTTTCTGAGAATGATTCCGTCTAATTATTATACGAAGGTATTTCCTTTTCTATCATTGGCCTCAAAGCGCTTGATACCTCCACCTGAAAATTCCACAAAAAGAGTGTTTCCAATCTACTCTGTCTAAAGGAACGTTCAACTCTGTGAGTTGAATACACACACACAGAAAGAATTCACTGAGAATTCTTCTGTCTGGAATTACATGAAGAAATCCCGTTTCCAACGAAGGCCTCAAAGAGGTCCAAATATCCACTTGCAGATTCTGCAAAAAGAGTGTTTCAAAACCGCTCCATTAAAAGGAATGTTGAACTCTGTGAGTTGAATGCAAACATCACAACTCAGTTGCTGAGAATGCTTCTGACTAGATTTTATGGTAAGATATTTCCTTTTCTACCGTAGGCTTCAATGCCCTCTAAATACACCCTTGCAAATTCTACAAAGAGACTGTTTCATAACTGCTCTATAGGAAGAAAGGTTCAACTCTGTGAGTTGAATGCAGAGATCACAACGTGGTTTCTGCGAATGATTCTTTGTAGTTTTTACATGAAGATATTTCGTTGTCAACCGTAGGCTTCAAAGCACTCAAAGTATTCACTTGGAACTTTTACAAAAAGAGTGTTAGAAAACTGCTCTTTCCAAAGTAAGGTTCAACTCTGTGAGTTGAATGCACCCATAACAATCAAGAAGTTTCTGAGAATTCTTCTGTCCTGGTTTATATGAAAAAATCCCGTTTCCAACGAAGGCCTCAAAGACGTTTAAATATCCACTTGCAGACTTCACAAACAGAGTGTTTCCAAACTGCTCTATGAAAAGAAAGGTTAAACTCTGTGAGTTGAACGCACACATCACAAAGTAGTTTCTGAGAATGATACTGTCTAGTTTTTATACGGAGATATTTCCTTTCCTTCCATTGGCGTCAAAGCGCTAGAATTCTCCACTTGCAAATTCCACAAAAAGAGTGTTTCCAATCTGCTCTGTCTAAAGGAAGGTTCAACTCTGTGAGTTGAATACACACACACAAAGAAGCTACTGAGAATTTCTTTTGTCAAGAATTATAAGAAGAAATCCCGTTTCCAACGAAGGCCTCAAAGAGTTCCAAATATCCACTTGCACACTGCACAAACTAAGTCTTTCCAAACTGCTCTATGCAAAGAAATGTTCAACTCTGTGAGTTTAATACACACATCACAAAGCAGTTTCTGAGAATGATACTGTCTAGTTTTTATACGAAGATATTTCCTTTTGTACCATTGGCCTCATACTGCTAGAATTTTCCACTTGCAAATTCCACAAAAAGAGTGTTTCCAATCCGCTCTGTCTAAAGGAAGGTTCAACTCTCTGATTTGAATACATACATCCCAAAAGAAGTTACTGAGAATTCTTCTGTCTAGCATTATGTGAAGAAATCCCGTTTCCAACGAAAGCCTCAAAGAGGTCCAAATATCCAGTTGCAGAATTTACAAACTGACTGTTTCCAAACTCATCTATGAAAAGAAAGGTTAAACTCTGTGAGTTGAATGCACATATCACAAAGTAGTTCCTGAGAATGATTCTGTCTAGTTTTCATACGAAGATATTTCCTTTTCCACCAATGGCCTCAAAGTGCTTGAAATCACCCCTTGCAAATTCCACAGACAAGTGTCTCAAATCTGCACTGTCTAAAGGAAGGTTCAACCCTGTGAGTTGAATACACACACACAGAAAAAAATTCACTGAGAATTCTATTGTCTATCATGACACGAAGAAATCCCGTTTACTACGAAGGCCTCAAAGAGGTCCAAATATCCAGCTGCAGACATTACAACCTGAGTGTTTCCAAAGTGCTCTATGAAAAGAAGTGTTAAACACTGTGAGTTCAATGCACACATCCCAAAGCAGTTTCTGAGAATGATGCCGTCTATTTTTTCTACGAAGATATTTCCTTTTCTGCCGTTGGCCTCAAAGCGCTTGAAATCTCCACTTGCAAATTCCACAAAAAGAGAGTTTCAAATCTGCTCTGTCTAAAGGAAGGTTCAACTCTGTGAGTTGAATACACACCACAAAAAGAAGTTACTGAGAATTCTTCTGTCTAGCATTATATGAAAAATCCCGTTTCCAACGAAGGCCACAAAGAGGTCCAAATATCCACTTGCAGATTCTGCAAAAAGAGTGTTTCCAAACTGCTCTATGAAAAGAAACGTTAAACTCTGTGAGTTGAACGCAAACATCACAAAGTAGTTTCTGAGAATGACTCCGTCTAGTTTTTATACGAAGATATTTCCTTTTCTACCATTCACTTCAATGCGCTTGAAGTCTCCCCCTGAAAATTCCACAAAAAGTGTTTCCAATCTGCTCCGCCTAAAGGAAGCTTCAACTCTGTGAGTTGAATACCCACAACCCAAAGAAGTTACTGAGAATTCTTCTGTCTAGCATTATATGAAGAAATCCCGTTTCCAACGAAGGCCTCAAATACATCCAAATATCCAGTTGCTGACTTTACAAACTGAGTGTTTCCAAACTGCTCTATGAAAAGAAAGGTTAAACACTGTGAGTTGAACACACACGTACCAAAGTAGTTTCTGAGAATGATTCTGTCTAGTTTGCACACGAAGATATTTCCTTTTCTACCATTGGCCTCAAAGCTCTGAAATCTCCACTTGCAAATTCCACAAAAAGAGAGTTTCAAATCTGCTGTTTCTAAAGGAAAGTTCAACTCTGAGAGTTGAATACACACCAGAAAAAGCAGTTACTGAGAAGTCTTCTGTCTAGCATTATATGAAGAAATCCCATTTCCAACGAAGACTTCAAAGAGGTCCAAATATCCACTTGCAGATTCTGCAAAAAGAGTGTTTCGAAACAACTGTATGAAAAGAAAGGTTAAACACTGTGAGTTGAACGCACACATTGCAAAGCAGTTTCTGAGAATGATTCCGTCTAATTATTATACGAAGGTATTTCCTTTTCTATCATTGGCCTCAAAGCGCTTGATACCTCCACCTGAAAATTCCACAAAAAGAGTGTTTCCAATCTACTCTGTCTAAAGGAACGTTCAACTCTGTGAGTTGAATACACACACACAGAAAGAATTCACTGAGAATTCTTCTGTCTGGCATTACATGAAGAAATCCCGTTTCCAACGAAGGCCTCAAAGAGGTCCAAATATCCACTTGCAGATTCTGCAAAAAGAGTGTTTCAAAACCGCTCCATTAAAAGGAATGTTGAACTCTGTGAGTTGAATGCAAACATCACAACTCAGTTTCTGAGAATGCTTCTGACTAGATTTTATGGTAAGATATTTCCTTTTCTACCGTAGGCTTCAATGCCCTCTAAATACACCCTTGCAAATTCTACAAAGAGACTGTTTCATAACTGCTCTATAGGAAGAAAGGTTCAACACTGTGAGTTGAATGCAGAGATCACAACGTGGTTTCTGCGAATGATTCTTTGTAGTTTTTACATGAAGATATTTCGTTGTCAACCGTAGGCTTCAAAGCACTCAAAGTATTCACTTGGAACTTTTACAAAAAGAGTGTTAGAAAACTGCTCTTTCCAAAGTAAGGTTCAACTCTGTGAGTTGAATGCACACATAACAATCAAGAAGTTTCTGAGAATTCTTCTGTCCTGGTTTATATGAAAAAATCCCGTTTCCAACGAAGGCCTCAAAGACGTTTAAATATCCACTTGCAGACTTCACAAACAGAGGGTTTCCAAACCGCTCTATGAAAAGAAAGGTTAAACTCTGTGAGTTGAACGCACACATCACAAAGTAGCTTCTGAGAATGATACTGTCTAGTTTTTATACGAAGATATTTCCTTTCTACCATTGGCGTCAAAGCGCTAGAATTCTCCACTTGCAAATTCCACAAAAAGAGTGTTTCCAATCTGCTCTGTCTAAAGGAAGGTTCAACTCTGTGAGTTGAATACACACACACAAAGAAGCTACTGAGAATTCTTTTGTCAAGAATTATAAGAAGAAATCCCGTTTCCAACGAAGGCCTCAAAGAGTTCCAAATATCCACTTGCACACTGCACAAACTAAGTCTTTCCAAACTGCTCTATGCAAAGAAATGTTCAACTCTGTGAGTTTAATACACACATCACAAAGCAGTTTCTGAGAATGATACTGTCTAGTTTTTATACGAAGATATTTCCTTTTGTACCATTGGCCTCATACTGCTAGAATTTTCCACTTGCAAATTCCACAAAAAGAGTGTTTCCAATCCGCTCTGTCTAAAGGAAGGTTCAACTCTCTGATTTGAATACATACATCCCAAAAGAAGTTACTGAGAATTCTTCTGTCTAGCATTATGTGAAGAAATCCCGTTTCCAACGAAAGCCTCAAAGAGGTCCAAATATCCAGTTGCAGAATTTACAAACTGACTCTTTCCAAACTCATCTATGAAAAGAAAGGTTAAACTCTGTGAGTTGAATGCACATATCACAAAGTAGTTCCTGAGAATGATTCTGTCTAGTTTTTATACGAAGATATTTCCTTTTCCACCAATGGCCTCAAAGTGCTTGAAATCTCCCCTTGCAAATTCCACAGACAAGTGTTTCAAATCTGCACTGTCTAAAGGAAGGTTCAACCCTGTGAGTTGAATACACACACACAGAAAAAAATTCACTGAGAATTCTATTGTCTATCATTACACGAAGAAATCCCGTTTACTACGAAGGCCTCAAAGAGGTCCAAATATCCAGCTGCAGACATTACAAACTGAGTGTTTCCAAAGTGCTCTATGAAAAGAAGTGTTAAACACTGTGAGTTCAATGCACACATCCCAAAGCAGTTTCTGAGAATGATTCCGTCTATTTTTTCTACGAAGATATTTCCTTTTCTGCCGTTGGCCTCAAAGCGCTTGAAATCTCCACTTGCAAATTCCACAAAAAGAGAGTTTCAAATCTGCTCTGTCTAAAGGAAGGTTCAACTCTGTGAGTTGAATACACACCACAAAAAGAAGTTACTGAGAATTCTTCTGTCTAGCATTATATGAAAAATCCCGTTTCCAACGAAGGCCACAAAGAGGTCCAAATATCCACTTGCAGATTCTGCAAAAAGAGTGTTTCCAAACTGCTCTATGAAAAGAAACGTTAAACTCTGTGAGTTGAACGCAAACATCACAAAGTAGTTTCTGAGAATGACTCCGTCTAGTTTTTATACGAAGATATTTCCTTTCCTACCATTCACTTCAAAGCGCTTGAAGTCTCCCCCTGAAAATTCCACAAAAAGTGTTTCCAATCTGCTCCGCCTAAAGGAAGCTTCAACTCTGTGACTTGAATACCCACAACCCAAAGAAGTTACTGAGAATTCTTCTGTCTAGCATTATATGAAGAAATCCCGTTTCCAACGAAGGCCTCAAATACATCCAAATATCCAGTTGCTGACTTTACAAACTGAGTGTTTCCAAACTGCTCTATGAAAAGAAAGGTTAAACACTGTGAGTTGAACACACACGTACCAAAGTAGTTTCTGAGAATGATTCTGCCTAGTTTGCATACGAAGATATTTCCTTTTCTACCATTGGCCTCAAAGCTCTGAAATCTCCACTTGCAAATTCCACAAAAAGAGAGTTTCAAATCTGCTGTTTCTAAAGGAAAGTTCAACTCTGAGAGTTGAATACACACCAGAAAAAGCAGTTACTGAGAAGTCTTCTGTCTAGCATTATATGAAGAAATCCCATTTCCAACGAAGACTTCAAAGAGGTCCAAATATCCACTTGCAGATTCTGCAAAAAGAGTGTTTCGAAACAACTGTATGAAAAGAAAGGTTAAACACTGTGAGTTGAACGCACACATTGCAAAGCAGTTTCTGAGAATGATTCCGTCTAATTATTATACGAAGGTATTTCCTTTTCTATCATTGGCCTCAAAGCGCTTGATACCTCCACCTGAAAATTCCACAAAAAGAGTGTTTCCAATCTACTCTGTCTAAAGGAACGTTCAACTCTGTGAGTTGAATACACACACACAGAAAGAATTCACTGAGAATTCTTCTGTCTGGCATTACATGAAGAAATCCCGTTTCCAACGAAGGCCTCAAAGAGGTCCAAATATCCACTTGCAGATTCTGCAAAAAGAGTGTTTCAAAACCGCTCCATTAAAAGGAATGTTGAACTCTGTGAGTTGAATGCAAACATCACAACTCAGTTGCTGAGAATGCTTCTGACTAGATTTTATGGTAAGATATTTCCTTTTCTACCGTAGGCTTCAATGCCCTCTAAATACACCCTTGCAAATTCTACAAAGAGACTGTTTCATAACTGCTCTATAGGAAGAAAGGTTCAACTCTGTGAGTTGAATGCAGAGATCACAACGTGGTTTCTGCGAATGATTCTTTGTAGTTTTTACATGAAGAATATTTCGTTGTCTACCGTAGGCTTCAAAGCACTCAAAGTATTCACTTGGAACTTTTACAAAAAGAGTGTTAGAAAACTGCTCTTTCCAAAGTAAGGTTCAACTCTGTGAGTTGAATGCACACATAACAAACAAGAAGTTTCTGAGAATCCTTCTGTCCTGGTTTATATGAAAAAATCCCGTTTCCAACGAAGGCCTCAAAGACGTTTAAATATCCACTTGCAGACTTCACAAACAGAGTGTTTCCAAACTGCTCTATGAAAAGAAAGGTTAAACTCTGTGAGTTGAACGCACACATCACAAAGTAGCTTCTGAGAATGATACTGTCTAGTTTTTATACGAAGATATTTCCTTTCTACCATTGGCGTCAAAGCGCTAGAATTCTCCACTTGCAAATTCCACAAAAAGAGTGTTTCCAATCTGCTCTGTCTAAAGGAAGGTTCAACTCTGTGAGTTGAATACACACACACAAAGAAGCTACTGAGAATTCTTTTGTCAAGAATTATAAGAAGAAATCCCGTTTCCAACGAAGGCCTCAAAGAGTTCCAAATATCCACTTGCACACTGCACAAACTAAGTCTTTCCAAACTGCTCTATGCAAAGAAATGTTCAACTCTGTGAGTTTAATACACACATCACAAAGCAGTTTCTGAGAATGATACTGTCTAGTTTTTATACGAAGATATTTCCTTTTGTACCATTGGCCTCATACTGCTAGAATTTTCCACTTGCAAATTCCACAAAAAGAGTGTTTCCAATCCGCTCTGTCTAAAGGAAGGTTCAACTCTCTGATTTGAATACATACATCCCAAAAGAAGTTACTGAGAATTCTTCTGTCTAGCATTATGTGAAGAAATCCCGTTTCCAACGAAAGCCTCAAAGAGGTCCAAATATCCAGTTGCAGAATTTACAAACTGACTGTTTCCAAACTCATCTATGAAAAGAAAGGTTAAACTCTGTGAGTTGAATGCACATATCACAAAGTAGTTCCTGAGAATGATTCTGTCTAGTTTTCATACGAAGATATTTCCTTTTCCACCAATGGCCTCAAAGTGCTTGAAATCTCCCCTTGCAAATTCCACAGACAAGTGTTTCAAATCTGCACTGTCTAAAGGAAGGTTCAACCCTGTGAGTTGAATACACACACACAGAAAAAAATTCACTGAGAATTCTATTGTCTATCATTACACGAAGAAATCCCGTTTACTACGAAGGCCTCAAAGAGGTCCAAATATCCAGCTGCAGACATTACAAACTGAGTGTTTCCAAAGTGCTCTATGAAAAGAAGTGTTAAACACTGTGAGTTCAATGCACACATCCCAAAGCAGTTTCTGAGAATGATTCCGTCTATTTTTTCTACGAAGATATTTCCTTTTCTGCCGTTGGCCTCAAAGCGCTTGAAATCTCCACTTGCAAATTCCACAAAAAGAGAGTTTCAAATCTGCTCTGTCTAAAGGAAGGTTCAACTCTGTGAGTTGAATACACACCACAAAAAGAAGTTACTGAGAATTCTTCTGTCTGGCATTACATGAAGAAATCCCGTTTCCAACGAAGGCCTCAAAGAGGTCCAAATATCCACTTGCAGATTCTGCAAAAAGAGTGTTTCAAAACCGCTCCATGAAAAGGAATGTTGAACTCTGTGAGTTGAATGCAAACATCACAACTCAGTTGCTGAGAATGCTTCTGACTAGATTTTATGGTAAGATATTTCCTTTTCTACCGTAGGCTTCAATGCCCTCTAAATACACCCTTGCAAATTCTACAAAGAGACTGTTTCATAACTGCTCTATAGGAAGAAAGGTTGAACTCTGTGAGTTGAATGCAGAGATCACAACGTGGTTTCTGCGAATGATTCTTTGTAGTTTTTACATGAAGATATTTCGTTGTCAACCGTAGGCTTCAAAGCACTCAAAGTATTCACTTGGAACTTTTACAAAAAGAGTGTTAGAAAACTGCTCTTTCCAAAGTAAGGTTCAACTCTGTGAGTTGAATGCACACATAACAATCAAGAAGTTTCTGAGAATTCTTCTGTCCTGGTTTATATGAACAAATCCCGTTTCCAACGAAGGCCTCAAAGACGTTTAAATATCCACTTGCAGACTTCACAAACAGAGTGTTTCCAAACTGCTCTATGAAAAGAAAGGTTAAACTCTGTGAGTTGAACGCACACATCACAAAGTAGTTTCTGAGAATGATACTGTCTAGTTTTTATACGAAGATATTTCCTTTCTACCATTGGCGTCAAAGCGCTAGAATTCTCCACTTGCAAATTCCACAAAAAGAGTGTTTCCAATCTGCTCTGTCTAAAGGAAGGTTCAACTCTGTGAGTTGAATACACACACACAAAGAAGCTACTGAGAATTCTTTTGTCAAGAATTATAAGAAGAAATCCCGTTTCCAACGAAGGCCTCAAAGAGTTCCAAATATCCACTTGCACACTGCACAAACTAAGTCTTTCCAAACTGCTCTATGCAAAGAAATGTTCAACTCTGTGAGTTTAATACACACATCACAAAGCAGTTTCTGAGAATGATACTGTCTAGTTTTTATACGAAGATATTTCCTTTTGTACCATTGGCCTCATACTGCTAGAATTTTCCACTTGCAAATTCCACAAAAAGAGTGTTTCCAATCCGCTCTGTCTAAAGGAAGGTTCAACTCTCTGATTTGAATACATACATCCCAAAAGAATTTACTGAGAATTCTTCTGTCTAGCATTATGTGAAGAAATCCCGTTTCCAACGAAAGCCTCAAAGAGGTCCAAATATCCAGTTGCAGAATTTACAAACTGACTGTTTCCAAACTCATCTATGAAAAGAAAGGTTAAACTCTGTGAGTTGAATGCACATATCACAAAGTAGTTCCTGAGAATGATTCTGTCTAGTTTTCATACGAAGATATTTCCTTTTCCACCAATGGCCTCAAAGTGCTTGAAATCTCCCCTTGCAAATTCCACAGACAAGTGTTTCAAATCCGCACTGTCTAAAGGAAGGTTCAACCCTGTGAGTTGAATACACACACACAGAAAAAAATTCACTGAGAATTCTATTGTCTATCATTACACGAAGAAATCCCGTTTACTACGAAGGCCTCAAAGAGGTCCAAATATCCAGCTGCAGACATTACAAACTGAGTGTTTCCAAAGTGCTCTATGAAAAGAAGTGTTAAACACTGTGAGTTCAATGCACACATCCCAAAGCAGTTTCTGAGAATGATTCCGTCTATTTTTTCTACGAAGATATTTCCTTTTCTACCGTTGGCCTCAAAGCGCTTGAAATCTCCACTTGCAAATTCCACAAAAAGAGAGTTTCAAATCTGCTCTGTCTAAAGGAAGGTTCAACTCTGTGAGTTGAATACACACCACAAAAAGAAGTTACTGAGAATTCTTCTGTCTAGCATTATATGAAAAATCCCGTTTCCAACGAAGGCCACAAAGAGGTCCAAATATCCACTTGCAGATTCTGCAAAAAGAGTGTTTCCAAACTGCTCTATGAAAAGAAACGTTAAACTCTGTGAGTTGAACGCAAACATCACAAAGTAGTTTCTGAGAATGACTCCGTCTAGTTTTTATACGAAGATATTTCCTTTTCTACCATTCACTTCAAAGCGCTTGAAGTCTCCCCCTGAAAATTCCACAAAAAGTGTTTCCAATCTGCTCCGCCTAAAGGAAGCTTCAACTCTGTGAGTTGAATACCCACAACCCAAAGAAGTTACTGAGAATTCTTCTGTCTAGCACTATATGAAGAAATCCCGTTTCCAACGAAGGCCTCAAATACATCCAAATATCCAGTTGCTGACTTTACAAACTGAGTGTTTCCAAACTGCTCTATGAAAAGAAAGGTTAAACACTGTGAGTTGAACACACACGTACCAAAGTAGTTTCTGAGAATGATTCTGTCTAGTTTGCATACGAAGATATTTCCTTTTCTACCATTGGCCTCAAAGCTTTGAAATCTCCACTTGCAAATTCCACAAAAAGAGAGTTTCAACTCTGCTGTTTCTAAAGGAAAGTTCAACTCTGAGAGTTGAATACACACCAGAAAGAGCAGTTACTGAGAAGTCTTCTGTCTAGCATTATATGAAGAAATCCCATTTTCAACGAAGACTTCAAAGAGGTCCAAATATCCACTTCCAGATTCCGCAAAAAGGGTGTTTCGAAACAACTGTATGAAAAGAAAGGTTAAACACTGTGAGTTGAAGGCACACATTGCAAAGCAGTTTCTGAGAATGATTCCATCTAATTATTATACGAAGGTATTTCCTTTTCTATCATGGGCCTCAAAGCGCTTGATACCTCCACGTGAACATTCCACAAAAAGAGTGTTTCCAATCTACTCTGTCTAAAGGAACGTTCAACTCTGTGAGTTGAGTACACACACACAGAAAGAATTCACTGAGAGTTCTTCTGTCTGGGATTACATGAAGAAATCCCGTTTCCAACGAAGGCCTCAAAGAGGTCCAAATATCCACTTGCAGATTCTGGAAAAAGAGTGTTTCAAAACCGCTCTATGAAAAGGAATGTTGAACTCTGTGAGTTGAATGCAAACATCACAACTCAGTTTCTGAGAATGCTTCTGACTAGATTTTATAGTAAGATATTTCCTTTTCTACCGTAGGCTTCAATGCCCTCTAAATACACCCTTGCAATTTCTACAAAGAGACTGTTTCATAACTGCTCTATAGGAAGAAAGGTTCAACTCTGTGAGTTGAATGCAGAGATCACAACGTGGTTTCTGCGAATGATTCTTTGTAGTTTTTACATGAAGATATTTCGTTGTCTACCGTAGGCTACAAAGCACTCAAAGTATTCACTTGGAACTTTTACAAAAAGAGTGTTAGAAAACTGCTCTTTCCAAAGTAAGGTTCAACTCTGTGAGTTGAATGCACACATAACAATCAAGAAGTTTCTGAGAATTCTTCTGTCCTGGTTTATATGAAAAAATCCCGTTTCCAACGAAGGCCTCAAAGACGTTTAAATATCCACTTGCAGACTTCACAAACAGAGGGTTTCCAAACTGCTCTATGAAAAGAAAGGTTAAACTCTGTGAGTTGAACGCACACATCACAAAGTAGCTTCTGAGAATGATACTGTCTAGTTTTTATACGAAGATATTTCCTTTCTACCATTGGCGTCAAAGCACTAGAATTCTCCACTTGCAAATTCCACAAAAAGAGTGTTTCCAATCTGCTCTGTCTAAAGGAAGGTTCAACTCTGTGAGTTGAATACACACACACAAAGAAGCTACTGAGAATTCTTTTGTCAAGAATTATAAGAAGAAATCCCGTTTCCAACGAAGGCCTCAAAGAGTTCCAAATATCCACTTGCACACTGCACAAACTAAGTCTTTCCAAACTGCTCTATGCAAAGAAATGTTCAACTCTGTGAGTTTAATACACACATCACAAAGCAGTTTCTGAGAATGATACTGTCTAGTTTTTATACGAAGATATTTCCTTTTGTACCATTGGCCTCATACTGCTAGAATTTTCCACTTGCAAATTCCACAAAAAGAGTGTTTCCAATCCGCTCTGTCTAAAGGAAGGTTCAACTCTCTGATTTGAATACATACATCCCAAAAGAAGTTACTGAGAATTCTTCTGTCTAGCATTATGTGAAGAAATCCCGTTTCCAACGAAAGCCTGAAAGAGGTCCAAATATCCAGTTGCAGAATTTACAAACTGACTGTTTCCAAACTCATCTATGAAAAGAAAGGTTAAACTCTGTGAGTTGAATGCACATATCACAAAGTAGTTCCTGAGAATGATTCTGTCTAGTTTTTATACGAAGATATTTCCTTTTCCACCAATGGCCTCAAAGTGCTTGAAATCTCCCCTTGCAAATTCCACAGACAAGTGTTTCAAATCTGCACTGTCTAAAGGAAGGTTCAACCCTGTGAGTTGAATACACACACACAGAAAAAAATTCACTGAGAATTCTACTGTCTATCATTACACGAAGAAATCCCGTTTACTGCGAAGGCCTCAAAGAGGTCCAAATATCCAGTTGCAAACCTTACAAACTGAGTGTTTCCAAAGTGCTGTATGAAAAGAAGTGTTAAACACTGTGAGTTGAACGCACACATCACAAAGTAGTTTCTGAGAATGATTCCGTCTATTTTTTCTACGAAGATAGTTTCCTTTTCTGCCGTTGGCCTCAAAGCGCTTGAAATCTCCACTTGCAAATTCCACAAAAAGAGAGTTTCAAATCTGCTCTGTCTAAAGGAAGGTTCAACTCTGTGAGTTGAATACACACCACAAAAAGAAGTTACTGAGAATTCTTCTGTCTAGCATTATATGAAAAATCCCGTTTCCAACGAAGGCCACAAAGAGGTCCAAATATCCACTTGCAGATTCTGCAAAAAGAGTGTTTCCAAACTGCTCTATGAAAAGAAACGTTAAACTCTGTGAGTTGAACGCAAACATCACAAAGTAGTTTCTGAGAATGACTCCGTCTAGTTTTTATACGAAGATATTTCCTTTCCTACCATTCACTTCAAAGCGCTTGAAGTCTCCCCCTGAAAATTCCACAAAAAGTGTTTCCAATCTGCTCCGCCTAAAGGAAGCTTCAACTCTGTGACTTGAATACCCACAACCCAAAGAAGTTACTGAGAATTCTTCTGTCTAGCATTATATGAAGAAATCCCGTTTCCAACGAAGGCCTCAAATACATCCAAATATCCAGTTGCTGACTTTACAAACTGAGTGTTTCCAAACTGCTCTATGAAAAGAAAGGTTAAACACTGTGAGTTGAACACACACGTACCAAAGTAGTTTCTGAGAATGATTCTGTCTAGTTTGCATACGAAGATATTTCCTTTTCTACCATTGGCCTCAAAGCTTTGAAATCTCCACTTGCAAATTCCACAAAAAGGGAGTTTCAACTCTGCTGTTTCTAAAGGAAAGTTCAACTCTGAGAGTTGAATACACACCAGAAAAAGCAGTTACTGAGAAGTCTTCTGTCTAGCATTATATGAAGAAATCCCATTTCCAACGAAGACTTCAAAGAGGTCCAAATATCCACTTGCAGATTCTGCAAAAAGAGTGTTTCGAAACAACTGTATGAAAAGAAAGGTTAAACACTGTGAGTTGAACGCACACATTGCAAAGCAGTTTCTGAGAATGATTCCGTCTAATTATTATACGAAGGTATTTCCTTTTCTATCATTGGCCTCAAAGCGCTTGATACCTCCACCTGAAAATTCCACAAAAAGAGTGTTTCCAATCTACTCTGTCTAAAGGAACGTTCAACTCTGTGAGTTGAATACACACACACAGAAAGAATTCACTGAGAATTCCTTCTGTCTGGCATTACATGAAGAAATCCCGTTTCCAACAAAGGCCTCAAAGAGGTCCAAA
Source organism: Homo sapiens (assembly GCF_000001405.40). Taxonomy (NCBI): domain Eukaryota; kingdom Metazoa; phylum Chordata; class Mammalia; order Primates; family Hominidae; genus Homo; species Homo sapiens. The sequence continues at coordinate 91,914,587 of NC_000003.12, read as the reverse complement.
TATCCACTTGCAGATTCTGCACAAAGAGTGTTTCAAAACCGCTCCATTAAAAGGAATGTTGAACTCTGTGAGTTGAATGCAAACATCACAACTCAGTTTCTGAGAATGCTTCTGACTAGATTTTATGGTAAGATATTTCCTTTTCTACCGTAGGCTTCAATGCCCTCTAAATACACCCTTGCAAATTCTACAAAGAGACTGTTTCATAACTGCTCTATAGGAAGAAAGGTTGAACTCTGTGAGTTGAATGCAGAGATCACAACGTGGTTTCTGCGAATGATTCTTTGTAGTTTTTACATGAAGATATTTCGTTGTCAACCGTAGGCTTCAAAGCACTCAAAGTATTCACTTGGAACTTTTACAAAAAGAGTGTTAGAAAACTGCTCTTTCCAAAGTAAGGTTCAACTCTGTGAGTTGAATGCACACATAACAATCAAGAAGTTTCTGAGAATTCTTCTGTCCTGGTTTATATGAAAAAATCCCGTTTCCAACGAAGGCCTCAAAGACGTTTAAATATCCACTTGCAGACTTCACAAACAGAGGGTTTCCAAACTGCTCTATGAAAAGAAAGGTTAAACTCTGTGAGTTGAACGCACACATCACAAAGTAGCTTCTGAGAATGATACTGTCTAGTTTTTATACGAAGATATTTCCTTTCTACCATTGGCGTCAAAGCGCTAGAATTCTCCACTTGCAAATTCCACAAAAAGAGTGTTTCCAATCTGCTCTGTCTAAAGGAAGGTTCAACTCTGTGAGTTGAATACACACACACAAAGAAGCTACTGAGAATTCTTTTGTCAAGAATTATAAGAAGAAATCCCGTTTCCAACGAAGGCCTCAAAGTAGTTCCAAATATCCACTTGCACACTGCACAAACTAAGTCTTTCCAAACTGCTCTATGCAAAGAAATGTTCAACTCTGTGAGTTTAATACACACATCACAAAGCAGTTTCTGAGAATGATACTGTCTAGTTTTTATACGAACATATTTCCTTTTGTACCATTGGCCTCATACTGCTAGAATTTTCCACTTGCAAATTCCACAAAAAGAGTGTTTCCAATCCGCTCTGTCTAAAGGAAGGTTCAACTCTCTGATTTGAATACATACATCCCAAAAGAAGTTACTGAGAATTCTTCTGTCTAGCATTATGTGAAGAAATCCCGTTTCCAACGAAAGCCTCAAAGAGGTCCAAATATCCAGTTGCAGAATTTACAAACTGACTGTTTCCAAACTCATCTATGAAAAGAAAGGTTAAACTCTGGGAGTTGAATGCACATATCACAAAGTAGTCCCTGAGAATGATTCTGTCTAGTTTTTATACGAAGATATTTCCTTTTCCACCAATGGCCTCAAAGTGCTTGAAATCTCCCCTTGCAAATTCCACAGACAAGTGTTTCAAATCTGCACTGTCTAAAGGAAGGTTCAACCCTGTGAGTTGAATACACACACACAGAAACAAATTCACTGAGAATTCTATTGTCTATCATTACACGAAGAAATCCCGTTTACTACGAAGGCCTCAAAGAGGTCCAAATATCCAGCTGCAGACATTACAAACTGAGTGTTTCCAAAGTGCTCTATGAAAAGAAGTGTTAAACACTGTGAGTTCAATGCACACATCCCAAAGCAGTTTCTGAGAATGATTACGTCTATTTTTTCTACGAAGATATTTCCTTTTCTACCGTTGGCCTCAAAGCGCTTGAAATCTCCACTTGCAAATTCCACAAAAAGAGAGTTTCAAATCTGCTCTGTCTAAAGGAAGGTTCAACTCTGTGAGTTGAATACACACCACAAAAAGAAGTTACTGAGAATTCTTCTGTCTAGCATTATATGAAAAATCCCGTTTCCAACGAAGGCCACAAAGAGGTCCAAATATCCACTTGCAGATTCTGCAAAAAGAGTGTTTCCAAACTGCTCTATGAAAAGAAACGTTAAACTCTGTGAGTTGAACGCAAACATCACAAAGTAGTTTCTGAGAATGACTCCGTCTAGTTTTTATACGAAGATATTTCCTTTTCTACCATTCACTTCAAAGCGCTTGAAGTCTCCCCCTGAAAATTCCACAAAAAGTGTTTCCAATCTGCTCCGCCTAAAGGAAGCTTCAACTCTGTGAGTTGAATACCCACAACCCAAAGAAGTTACTGAGAATTCTTCTGTCTAGCATTATATGAAGAAATCCCGTTTCCAACGAAGGCCTCAAATACATCCAAATATCCAGTTGCTGACTTTACAAACTGAGTGTTTCCAAACTGCTCTATGAAAAGAAAGGTTAAACACTGTGACTTGAACACACACGTACCAAAGTAGTTTCTGAGAATGATTCTGTCTAGTTTGCATACGAAGATATTTCCTTTTCTACCATTGGCCTCAAAGCTTTGAAATCTCCACTTGCAAATTCCACAAAAAGAGAGTTTCAACTCTGCTGTTTCTAAAGGAAAGTTCAACTCTGAGAGTTGAATACACACCAGAAAAAGCAGTTACTGAGAAGTCTTCTGTCTAGCATTATATGAAGAAATCCCATTTCCAACGAAGACTTCAAAGAGGTCCAAATATCCACTTGCAGATTCTGCAAAAAGAGTGTTTCGAAACAACTGTATGAAAAGAAAGGTTAAACACTGTGAGTTGAACGCACACATTGCAAAGCAGTTTCTGAGAATGATTCCGTCTAATTATTATACGAAGGTATTTCCTTTTCTATCATTGGCCTCAAAGCGCTTGATACCTCCACCTGAAAATTCCACAAAAAGAGTGTTTCCAATCTACTCTGTCTAAAGGAACGTTCAACTCTGTGAGTTGAATACACACACACAGAAAGAATTCACTGAGAATTCTTCTGTCTGGCATTACATGAAGAAATCCCGTTTCCAACGAAGGCCTCAAAGAGGTCCAAATATCCACTTGCAGATTCTGCAAAAAGAGTGTTTCAAAACCGCTCCATTAAAAGGAATGTTGAACTCTGTGAGTTGAATGCAAACATCACAACTCAGTTTCTGAGAATGCTTCTGACTAGATTTTATGGTAAGATATTTCCTTTTCTACCGTAGGCTTCAATGCCCTCTTAATACACCCTTGCAAATTCTACAAAGAGACTGTTTCATAACTGCTCTATAGGAAGAAAGGTTCAACACTGTGAGTTGAATGCAGAGATCACAACGTGGTTTCTGCGAATGATTCTTTGTAGTTTTTACATGAAGATATTTCGTTGTCAACCGTAGGCTTCAAAGCACTCAAAGTATTCACTTGGAACTTTTACAAAAAGAGTGTTAGAAAACTGCTCTTTCCAAAGTAAGGTTCAACTCTGTGAGTTGAATGCACACATAACAATCAAGAAGTTTCTGAGAATTCTTCTGTCCTGGTTTATATGAAAAAATCCCGTTTCCAACGAAGGCCTCAAAGACGTTTAAATATCCACTTGCAGACTTCACAAACAGAGGGTTTCCAAACTGCTCTATGAAAAGAAAGGTTAAACTCTGTGAGTTGAACGCACACATCACAAAGTAGCTTCTGAGAATGATACTGTCTAGTTTTTATACGAAGATATTTCCTTTCTACCATTGGCGTCAAAGCGCTAGAATTCTCCACTTGCAAATTCCACAAAAAGAGTGTTTCCAATCTGCTCTGTCTAAAGGAAGGTTCAACTCTGTGAGTTGAATACACACACACAAAGAAGCTACTGAGAATTCTTTTGTCAAGAAATTATAAGAAGAAATCCCGTTTCCAACGAAGGCCTCAAAGAGTTCCAAATATCCACTTGCACACTGCACAAACTAAGTCTTTCCAAACTGCTCTATGCAAAGAAATGTTCAACTCTGTGAGTTTAATACACACATCACAAAGCAGTTTCTGAGAATGATACTGTCTAGTTTTTATACGAAGATATTTCCTTTTGTACCATTGGCCTCATACTGCTAGAATTTTCCACTTGCAAATTCCACAAAAAGAGTGTTTCCAATCCGCTCTGTCTAAAGGAAGGTTCAACTCTCTGATTTGAATACATACATCCCAAAAGAAGTTACTGAGAATTCTTCTGTCTAGCATTATGTGAAGAAATCCCGTTTCCAACGAAAGCCTCAAAGAGGTCCAAATATCCAGTTGCAGAATTTACAAACTGACTGTTTCCAAACTCATCTATGAAAAGAAAGGTTAAACTCTGTGAGTTGAATGCACATATCACAAAGTAGTTCCTGAGAATGATTCTGTCTAGTTTTCATACGAAGATATTTCCTTTTCCACCAATGGCCTCAAAGTGCTTGAAATCTCCCCTTGCAAATTCCACAGACAAGTGTTTCAAATCTGCACTGTCTAAAGGAAGGTTCAACCCTGTGAGTTGAATACACACACACAGAAAAAAATTCACTGAGAATTCTATTGTCTATCATTACACGAAGAAATCCCGTTTACTACGAAGGCCTCAAAGAGGTCCAAATATCCAGCTGCAGACATTACAAACTGAGTGTTTCCAAAGTGCTCTATGAAAAGAAGTGTTAAACACTGTGAGTTCAATGCACACATCCCAAAGCAGTTTCTGAGAATGATTCCGTCTATTTTTTCTACGAAGATATTTCCTTTTCTGCCGTTGGCCTCAAAGCGCTTGAAATCTCCACTTGCAAATTCCACAAAAAGAGAGTTTCAAATCTGCTCTGTCTAAAGGAAGGTTCAACTCTGTGAGTTGAATACACACCACAAAAAGAAGTTACTGAGAATTCTTCTGTCTAGCATTATATGAAAAATCCCGTTTCCAACGAAGGCCACAAAGAGGTCCAAATATCCACTTGCAGATTCTGCAAAAAGAGTGTTTCCAAACTGCTCTATGAAAAGAAACGTTAAACTCTGTGAGTTGAACGCAAACATCACAAAGTAGTTTACTGAGAATGACTACGTCTAGTTTTTATACGAAGATATTTCCTTTCCTACCATTCACTTCAAAGCGCTTGAAGTCTCCCCCTGAAAATTCCACAAAAAGTGTTTCCAATCTGCTCCGCCTAAAGGAAGCTTCAACTCTGTGAGTTGAATACCCACAACCCAAAGAAGTTACTGAGAATTCTTCTGTCTAGCATTATATGAAGAAATCCCGTTTCCAACGAAGGCCTCAAATACATCCAAATATCCAGTTGCTGACTTTACAAACTGAGTGTTTCCAAACTGCTCTATGAAAAGAAAAGTTAAACACTGTGAGTTGAACACACACGTACCAAAGTAGTTTCTGAGAATGATTCTGTCTAGTTTGCATACGAAGATATTTCCTTTTCTACCATTGGCCTCAAAGCTCTGAAATCTCCACTTGCAAATTCCACAAAAAGAGAGTTTCAAATCTGCTGTTTCTAAAGGAAAGTTCAACTCTGAGAGTTGAATACACACCAGAAAAAGCAGTTACTGAGAAGTCTTCTGTCTAGCATTATATGAAGAAATCCCATTTCCAACGAAGACTTCAAAGAGGTCCAAATATCCACTTGCAGATTCTGCAAAAAGAGTGTTTCGAAACAAAACTGTATGAAAAGAAAGGTTAAACACTGTGAGTTGAACGCACACATTGCAAAGCAGTTTCTGAGAATGATTCCGTCTAATTATTATACGAAGGTATTTCCTTTTCTATCATTGGCCTCAAAGCGCTTGATACCTCCACCTGAAAATTCCACAAAAAGAGTGTTTCCAATCTACTCTGTCTAAAGGAACGTTCAACTCCGTGAGTTGAATACACACACACAGAAAGAATTCACTGAGAATTCTTCTGTCTGGCATTACATGAAGAAATCCCGTTTCCAACGAAGGCCTCAAAGAGGTCCAAATATCCACTTGCAGATTCTGCAAAAAGAGTGTTTCAAAACCGCTCCATTAAAAGGAATGTTGAACTCTGTGAGTTGAATGCAAACATCACAACTCAGTTTCTGAGAATGCTTCTGACTAGATTTTATGGTAAGATATTTCCTTTTCTACCGTAGGCTTCAATGCCCTGTAAATACACCCTTGCAAATTCAACAAAGAGACTGTTTCATAACTGCTCTATAGGAGGAAAGGTTCAACTCTGTGAGTTGAATGCAGAGATCACAACGTGGTTTCTGCGAATGATTCTTTGTAGTTTTTACATGAAGATATTTCGTTGTCTACCGTAGGCTTCAAAGCACTCAAAGTATTCACTTGGAACTTTTACAAAAAGAGTGTTAGAAAACTGCTCTTTCCAAAGTAAGGTTCAACTCTGTGAGTTGAATGCACACATAACAAACAAGAAGTTTCCGAGAATTCTTCTGTCCTGGTTTATATGAAGAAATCCCGTTTCCAACGAAGGCCTCAAAGACGTTTAAATATCCACTTGCAGACTTCACAAACAGAGTGTTTCCAAACTGCTCTATGAAAAGAAAGGTTAAACTACTGTGAGTTGAACGCACACATCACAAAGTAGTTTACTGAGAATGATATCTGTCTAGTTTTTATACGAAGATATTTCCTTTTCTACCATTGGCCTCAAAGCGCCTGAAATCTCCACTTGCAAATTCCAAAAAAAGAGTGTTTCAAATCTTCTCTGTCTAAAGGAAGGTTCAACTCTGTGAGTTGAATACACACAACGCAAAGAAGTTACTGAGAATTCGTCTGTCTGGCATTACATGAAGAAATCCCGTTTTCAACGAAGGCCTCAAAGAGGTCCAAATATCCACTTGCAGATTCTGCAAAAAGAGTGTTTCAAAACCGCTCCATGAAAAGGAATGTTGAACTCTGTGAGTTGAATGGCAAACATCACAACTCAGTTTCTGAGAATGCTTCTGACTAGATTTTATGGTAAGATATTTCCTTTTCTACCGTAGGCTTCAATGCCCTCTAAATACACCCTTGCAAATTCTACAAAGAGACTGTTTCATAACTGCTCTATAGGAAGAAAGGTTGAACTCTGTGAGTTGAATGCAGAGATCACAACGTGGTTTCTGCGAATGATTCTTTGTAGTTTTTACATGAAGATATTTCGTTGTCAACCGTAGGCTTCAAAGCACTCAAAGTATTCACTTGGAACTTTTACAAAAAGAGTGTTAGAAAACTGCTCTTTCCAAAGTAAGGTTCAACTCTGTGAGTTGAATGCACACATAACAATCAAGAAGTTTCTGAGAATTCTTCTGTCCTGGTTTATAGGAACAAATCCCGTTTCCAACGAAGGCCTCAAAGACGTTTAAATATCCACTTGCAGACTTCACAAACAGAGGGTTTCCAAACTGCTCTATGAAAAGAAAGGTTAAACTCTGTGAGTTGAACGCACACATCACAAAGTAGCTTCTGAGAATGATAACTGTCTAGTTTTTATACGAAGATATTTCCTTTCTACCATTGGCGTCAAAGCGCTAGAATTCTCCACTTGCAAAATCCACAAAAAGAGTGTTTCCAATCTGCTCTGTCTAAAGGAAGGTTCAACTCTGTGAGTTGAATACACACACACAAAGAAGCTACTGAGAATTCTTTTGTCAAGAATTATAAGAAGAAATCCCGTTTCCAACGAAGGCCTCAAAGAGTTCCAAATATCCACTTGCACACTGCACAAACTAAGTCTTTCCAAACTGCTCTATGCAAAGAAATGTTCAACTCTGTGAGTTTAATACACACATCACAAAGCAGTTTCTGAGAATGATACTGTCTAGTTTTTATACGAAGATATTTCCTTTTGTACCATTGGCCTCATACTGCTAGAATTTTCCACTTGCAAATTCCACAAAAAGAGTGTTTCCAATCCGCTCTGTCTAAAGGAAGGTTCAACTCTCTGATTTGAATACATACATCCCAAAAGAAGTTACTGAGAATTCTTCTGTCTAGCATTATGTGAAGAAATCCCGTTTCCAACGAAAGCCTCAAAGAGGTCCAAATATCCAGTTGCAGAATTTACAAACTGACTGTTTCCAAACTCATCTATGAAAAGAAAGGTTAAACTCTGTGAGTTGAATGCACCTATCACAAAGTAGTTCCTGAGAATGATTCTGTCTAGTTTTCATACGAAGATATTTCCTTTTCCACCAATGGCCTCAAAGTGCTTGAAATCTCCCCTTGCAAATTCCACAGACAAGTGTTTCAAATCTGCACTGTCTAAAGGAAGGTTCAACCCTGTGAGTTGAATACACACACACAGAAAAAAAATTCACTGAGAATTCTATTGTCTATCATTACACGAAGAAATCCCGTTTACTACGAAGGCCTCAAAGAGGTCCAAATATCCAGCTGCAGACATTTCAAACTGAGTGTTTCCAAAGTGCTCTATGAAAAGAAGTGTTAAACACTGTGAGTTCAATGCACACATCCCAAAGCAGTTTCTGAGAATGATTCCGTCTATTTTTTCTACGAAGATATTTCCTTTTCTACCGTTGGCCTCAAAGCGCCTGAAATCTCCACTTGCAAATTCCACGAAAAGAGAGTTTCAAATCTGCTCTGTCTAAAGGAAGGTTCCACTCTGTGAGTTGAATACACACCACAAAAAGAAGTTACTGAGAATTCTTCTGTCTAGCATTATATGAAAAATCCCGTTCCCAACGAAGGCCACAAAGAGGTCCAAATATCCACTTGCAGATTCTGCAAAAAGAGTGTTTCCAAACTGCTCTATGAAAAGAAACGTTAAACTCTGTGAGTTGAACGCAAACATCACAAAGTAGTTTCTGAGAATGACTCCGTCTAGTTTTTATACGAAGATATTTCCTTTTCTACCGTTGGCCTCAAAGCGCTTGAAGTCTCCCCCTGAAAATTCCACAAAAAGTGTTTCCAATCTGCTCCGCCTAAAGGAAGCTTCAACTCTGTGAGTTGAATACCCACAACACAAAGAAGTTACTGAGAATTCTTCTGTCTCGCATTATAGGAAGAAATCCCGTTTCCAACGAAGGCCTCAAATACATCCACATATCCAGTTGCTGACTTTACAAACTGAGTGTTTCCAAACTGCTCTATGAAAAGAAAGGTTAAACACTGTGAGTTGAACACACACGTACCAAAGTAGTTTCTGAGAATGATTCTGTCTAGTTTGCATACAAAGATATTTCCTTTTCTACCACTGGCCTCAAAGCTTTGAAATCTCCACTTGCAAATTCCACAAAAAGAGAGTTTCAAATCTGCTGTTTCTAAAGGAAAGTTCAACTCTGAGAGTTGAATACACACCAGAAAAAGCAGTTACTGAGAAGTCTTCTGTCTAGCATTATATGAAGAAATCCCATTTCCAAAGAAGACTTCAAACAGGTCCAAATATCCACTTGCAGATTCTGCAAAAAGAGTGTTTCGAAACAACTGTATGAAAAGAAAGGTTAAACACTGTGAGTTGAACGCACCCATTGCAAAGCATTTTCTGACAATGATTCCGTCTAATTATTATACGAAGGTATTTCCTTTTCTATCATGGGCCTCAAAGCGCTTGATACCTCCACCTGAAAATTCCACAAAAAGAGTGTTTCCAATCTACTCTGTCTAAAGGAACATTCAACTCTGTGAGTTGAATACACACACACAGAAAGAATTCACTGAGAGTTCTTCTGTCTGGCATTACATGAAGAAATCCCGTTTCCAATGAAGGCCTCAAAGAGGTCCAAATATCCACTTGCAGATTCTGCAAAAAGAGTGTTTCAAAACCGCTCTATTAAAAGGAATGTTGAACTCTGTGAGTTGAATGCAAACATCACAACTCAGTTTCTGAGGATGCTTCTGACTAGATTTTATGGTAAGATATTTCCTTTTCTACCGTAGGCTTCAATGCCCTCTAAATACACCCTTGCAAATTCTACAAAGAGACTGTTTAATAACTGCTCTATAGGAAGAAAGGTTGAACTCTGTGAGTTGAATGCAGAGATCACAACGTGGTTTCTGCGAATGATTCTTTGTAGTTTTTACATGAAGATATTTCGTTGTCTACCGTAGGCTTCAAAGCACTCAAAGTATTCACTTGGAACTTTTACAAAAAGAGTGTTAGAAAACTGCTCTTTCCAAAGTAAGGTTCAACTCTGTGAGTTGAATGCACACATAACAAACAAGAAGTTTCTGAGAATTCTTCTGTCCTGGTTTATATGAAAAAATCCCGTTTCCAACGAAGGCCTCAAAGACGTTTAAATATCCACCTGCAGACTTCACAAACAGAGTGTTTCCAAACTGCTCTATGAAAAGAAAGGTTAAACTCTGTGAGTTGAACGCACACATCACAAAGTAGTTTCTGAGAATGATACTGTCTAGTTTTTATACGGAGATATTTCCTTTCCTTCCATTGGCGTCAAAGCGCTAGAATTCTCCACTTGCAAATTCCACAAAAAGAGTGTTTCCAATCTGCTCTGTCTAAAGGAAAGTTCAACTCTGTGAGTTGAATACACACACACAAAGAAGCTACTGAGAATTCTTTTGTCAAGAATTATAAGAAGAAATCCCGTTTCCAACGAAGGCCTCAAAGAGTTCCAAATATCCACTTGCACACTGTACAAACTAAGTCTTTCCAAACTGCTCTATGCAAAGAAATGTTCAACTCTGTGAGTTTAATGCACACATCACAAAGCAGTTTCTGAGAATGATTCCGTCTAGTTTTTATACGAACATAGCCTTTTCTACCATTGGCCTCAAGGCTCTTGAAATCTCCACCTGAAAATTCCGCAAAAAGCGTGTTTCCAATCCGCTCTGTCTAAAGGAAGTTTCAAATCTCTGAGTTGAATACATACATCCCAAAAGAAGTTACTGCGAATTCTTCTGTCTAGCATTATGTGAAGAAATCCCGTTTCCAACGAAAGCCTCCAAGAGGTCCAAATATCCAGTTGCAGAATTTACAAACTGACTGTTTCCAAACTCATCTATGAAAAGAAAGGTTAAACTCTGTGAGTTGAATGCACATATCACAAAGTAGTTCCTGAGAATGATTCTGTCTAGTTTTTATACGAAGATATTTCCTTTTCCACCAATGGCCTCAAAGTGCTTGAAATCTCCCCTTGCAAATTCCACAGAAAAGTGTTTCAAATCTGCACTGTCTAAAGGAAGGTTCAACCCTGTGAGTTGAATACACACACACAGAAAAAAATTCACTGAGAATTCTATTGTCTATCACTACACGAAGAAATCCCGTTTACTACGAAGGCCTCAAAGAGGTCCAAATATCCAGCTGCAGACATTACAAACTGAGTGTTTCCAAAGTGCTCTATGAAAAGAAGTGTTAAACACTGTGAGTTCAATGCACACATCCCAAAGCAGTTTCTGAGAATGATTCCATCTATTTTTTCTACGAAGATATTTCCTTTTCTACCGTTGGCCTCAAAGCGCTTGAAATCTCCACTTGCAAATTCCACAAAAAGAGAGTTTCAAATCTGCTCTGTCTAAAGGAAGGTTCAACTCTGTGAGTTGAATACACACCACAAAAAGAAGTTACTGAGAATTCTTCTGTCTAGCATTATATGAAAAATCCCGTTTCCAACGAAGGCCACAAAGAGGTCCAAATATCCACTTGCAGATTCTGCAAAAAGAGTGTTTCCAAACTGCTCTATGAAAAGAAACGTTAAACTCTGTGAGTTGAACGCAAACATCACAAAGTAGTTTCTGAGAATGACTCCGTCTAGTTTTTATACGAAGATATTTCCTTTTCTACCATTCACTTCAAAGCACTTGAAGTCTCCCCCTGAAAATTCCACAAAAAGTGTTTCCAATCTGCTCCGCCTAAAGGAAGCTTCAACTCTGTGAGTTGAATACCCACAACCCAAAGAAGATACTGAGAATTCTTCTGTCTAGCATTATATGAAGAAATCCCGTTTCCAACGAAGGCCTCAAATACATCCAAATATCCAGTTGCTGACTTTACAAACTGAGTGTTTCCAAACTGCTCTATGAAAAGAAAGGTTAAACACTGTGAGTTGAACACACACGTACCAAAGTAGTTTCTGAGAATGATTCTGTCTAGTTTGCATACGAAGATATTTCCTTTTCTACCATTGGCCTCAAAGCTCTGAAATCTCCACTTGCAAATTCCACAAAAAGAGAGTTTCAAATCTGCTGTTTCTAAAGGAAAGTTCAACTGTGAGAGTTGAATACACACCAGAAAAAGCAGTTACTGAGAAGTCTTCTGTCTAGCATTATATGAAGAAATCCCATTTCCAACGAAGACTTCAAAGAGGTCCAAATATCCACTTGCAGATTCTGCAAAAAGAGTGTTTCGAAACAACTGTATGAAAAGAAAGGTTAAACACTGTGAGTTGAACGCACACATTGCAAAGCAGTTTCTGAGAATGATTCCGTCTAATTATTATACGAAGGTATTTCCTTTTCTATCATTGGCCTCAAAGCGCTTGATACCTCCAACTGAAAATTCCACAAAAAGAGTGTTTCCAATCTACTCTGTCTAAAGGAAGGTTCAACTCTGTGAGTTGAATACACACACACAGAAAGAATTCACTGAGAATTCTTCTGTCTGGCATTACATGAAGAAATCCCGTTTCCAACGAAGGCCTCAAAGCAGGTCCAAATATCCACTTGCAGATTCTGCAAAAAGAGTGTTTCAAAACCGCTCCATTAAAAGGAATGTTGAACTCTGTGAGTTGAATGGAAACATCACAACTCAGTTGCTGAGAATGCTTCTGACTAGATTTTATGGTAAGATATTTCCTTTTCTACCGTAGGCTTCAATGCCCTCTAAATACACCCTTGCAAATTCTACAAAGAGACTGTTTCATAACTGCTCTATAGGAGGAAAGGTTCAACTCTGTGAGTTGAATGCAGAGATCACAACGTGGTTTCTGCGAATGATTCTTTGTAGTTTTTACATGAAGATATTTCGTTGTCAACCGTAGGCTTCAAAGCACTCAAAGTATTCACTTGGAACTTTTACAAAAAGAGTGTTAGAAAACTGCTCTTTCCAAAGTAAGGTTCAACTCTGTGAGTTGAATGCACACATAACAATCAAGAAGTTTCTGAGAATTCTTCTGTCCTGGTTTATATGAAAAAATCCCGTTTCCAACGAAGGCCTCAAAGACGTTTAAATATCCACTTGCAGACTTCACAAACAGAGGGTTTCCAAACTGCTCTATGAAAAGGAAGGTTAAACTCTGTGAGTTGAACGCACACATCACAAAGTAGCTTCTGAGAATGATACTGTCTAGTTTTTATACGAAGATATTTCCTTTCTACCATTGGCGTCAAAGCGCTAGAATTCTCCACTTGCAAATTCCACAAAAAGAGTGTTTCCAATCTGCTCTGTCTAAAGGAAGGTTCAACTCTGTGAGTTGAATACACACACACAAAGAAGCTACTGAGAATTCTTTTGTCAAGAATTATAAGAAGAAATCCCGTTTCCAACGAAGGCCTCAAAGAGTTCCAAATATCCACTTGCACACTGCACAAACTAAGTCTTTCCAAACTGCTCTATGCAAAGAAATGTTCAACTCTGTGAGTTTAATACACACATCACAAAGCAGTTTCTGAGAATGATACTGTCTAGTTTTTATACGAAGATATTTCCTTTTGTACCATTGGCCTCATACTGCTAGAATTTGCCACTTGCAAATTCCACAAAAAGAGTGTTTCCAATCCGCTCTGTCTAAAGGAAGGTTCAACTCTCTGATTTGAATACATACATCCCAAAAGAAGTTACTGAGAATTCTTCTGTCTAGCATTATATGAAAAATCCCGTTTCCAACGAAGGCCACAAAGAGGTCCAAATATCCACTTGCAGATTCTGCAAAAAGAGTGTTTCCAAACTGCTCTATGAAAAGAAACGTTAAACTCTGTGAGTTGAACGCAAACATCACAAAGTAGTTTCTGAGAATGACTCCGTCTAGTTTTTATACGAAGATATTTCCTTTTCTACCATTCACTTCAAAGCGCTTGAAGTCTCCCCCTGAAAATTCCACAAAAAGTGTTTCCAATCTGCTCCGCCTAAAGGAAGCTTCAACTCTGTGAGTTGAATACCCACAACCCAAAGAAGTTACTGAGAATTCTTCTGTCTAGCATTATATGAAGAAATCCCGTTTCCAACGAAGGCCTCAAATACATCCAAATATCCAGTTGCTGACTTTACAAACTGAGTGTTTCCAAACTGCTCTATGAAAAGAAAGGTTAAACACTGTGAGTTGAACACACACGTACCAAAGTAGTTTCTGAGAATGATTCTGTCTAGTTTGCATACGAAGATATTTCCTTTTCTACCATTGGCCTCAAAGCTTTGAAATCTCCACTTGCAAATTCCACAAAAAGAGAGTTTCAACTCTGCTGTTTCTAAAGGAAAGTTCAACTCTGAGAGTTGAATACACACCAGAAAAAGCAGTTACTGAGAAGTCTTCTGTCTAGCATTATATGAAGAAATCCCATTTCCAACGAAGACTTCAAAGAGGTCCAAATATCCACTTGCAGATTCTGCAAAAAGAGTGTTTCGAAACAACTGTATGAAAAGAAAGGTTAAACACTGTGAGTTGAACGCACACATTGCAGAGCAGTTTCTGAGAATGATTCCGTCTAATTATTATACGAAGGTATTTCCTTTTCTATCATTGGCCTCAAAGCGCTTGATACCTCCACCTGAAAATTCCACAAAAAGAGTGTTTCCAATCTACTCTGTCTAAAGGAACGTTCAACTCTGTGAGTTGAATACACACACACAGAAAGAATTCACTGAGAATTCTTCTGTCTGGCATTACATGAAGAAATCCCGTTTCCAACGAAGGCCTCAAAGAGGTCCAAATATCCACTTGCAGATTCTGCAAAAAGAGTGTTTCAAAACCGCTCCATTAAAAGGAATGTTGAACTCTGTGAGTTGAATGCAAACATCACAACTCAGTTTCTGAGAATGCTTCTGACTAGATTTTATGGTAAGATATTTCCTTTTCTACCGTAGGCTTCAATGCCCTCTAAATACACCCTTGCAAATTCTACAAAGAGACTGTTTCATAACTGCTCTATAGGAAGAAAGGTTGAACTCTGTGAGTTGAATGCAGAGATCACAACGTGGTTTCTGCGAATGATTCTTTGTAGTTTTTACATGAAGATATTTCGTTGTCAACCGTAGGCTTCAAAGCACTCAAAGTATTCACTTGGAACTTTTACAAAAAGAGTGTTAGAAAACTGCTCTTTCCAAAGTAAGGTTCAACTCTGTGAGTTGAATGCACACATAACAATCAAGAAGTTTCTGAGAATTCTTCTGTCCTGGTTTATATGAAAAAATCCCGTTTCCAACGAAGGCCTCAAAGACGTTTAAATATCCACTTGCAGACTTCACAAACAGAGGGTTTCCAAACTGCTCTATGAAAAGAAAGGTTAAACTCTGTGAGTTGAACGCACACATCACAAAGTAGCTTCTGAGAATGATACTGTCTAGTTTTTATACGAAGATATTTCCTTTCTACCATTGGCGTCAAAGCGCTAGAATTCTCCACTTGCAAAATCCACAAAAAGAGTGTTTCCAATCTGCTCTGTGTAAAGGAAGGTTCAACTCTGTGAGTTGAATACACACACACAAAGAAGCTACTGAGAATTCTTTTGTCAAGAATTATAAGAAGAAATCCCGTTTCCAACGAAGGCCTCAAAGAGTTCCAAATATCCACTTGCACACTGCACAAACTAAGTCTTTCCAAACTGCTCTATGCAAAGAAATGTTCAACTCTGTGAGTTTAATACACACATCACAAAGCAGTTTCTGAGAATGATACTGTCTAGTTTTTATACGAAGATATTTCCTTTTGTACCATTGGCCTTATACTGCTAGAATTTTCCACTTGCAAATTCCACAAAAAGAGTGTTTCCAATCCGCTCTGTCTAAAGGAAGGTTCAACTCTCTGATTTGAATACATACATCCCAAAAGAAGTTACTGAGAATTCTTCTGTCTAGCATTATGTGAAGAAATCCCGTTTCCAACGAAAGCCTCAAAGAGGTCCAAATATCCAGTTGCAGAATTTACAAACTGACTGTTTCCAAACTCATCTATGAAAAGAAAGGTTAAACTCTGTGAGTTGAATGCACATATCACAAAGTAGTTCCTGAGAATGATTCTGTCTAGTTTTTATACGAAGATATTTCCTTTTCCACCAATGGCCTCAAAGTGCTTGAAATCTCCCCTTGCAAATTCCACAGACAAGTGTTTCAAATCTGCACTGTCTAAAGGAAGGTTCAACCCTGTGAGTTGAATACACACACACAGAAAAAAATTCACTGAGAATTCTATTGTCTATCATGACACGAAGAAATCCCGTTTACTATGAAAGCCTCAAAGAGGTCCAAATATCCAGCTGCAGACATTACAAACTGAGTGTTTCCAAAGTGCTCTATGAAAAGAAGTGTTAAACACTGTGAGTTCAATGCACACATCCCAAAGCAGTTTCTGAGAATGATTCCGTCTATTTTTTCTACGAAGATATTTCCTTTTCTGCCGTTGGCCTCAAAGCGCTTGAAATCTCCACTTGCAAATTCCACAAAAAGAGAGTTTCAAATCTGCTCTGTCTAAAGGAAGGTTCAACTCTGTGAGTTGAATACACACCACAAAAAGAAGTTACTGAGAATTCTTCTGTCTAGCATTATATGAAAAATCCCGTTTCCAACGAAGGCCACAAAGAGGTCCAAATATCCACTTGCAGATTCTGCAAAAAGAGTGTTTCCAAACTGCTCTATGAAAAGAAACGTTAAACTCTGTGAGTTGAACGCAAACATCACAAAGTAGTTTCTGAGAATGACTCCGTCTAGTTTTTATACGAAGATATTTCCTTTCCTACCATTCACTTCAAAGCGCTTGAAGTCTCCCCCTGAAAATTCCACAAAAAGTGTTTCCAATCTGCTCCGCCTAAAGGAAGCTTCAACTCTGTGACTTGAATACCCACAACCCAAAGAAGTTACTGAGAATTCTTCTGTCTAGCATTATATGAAGAAATCCCGTTTCCAACGAAGGCCTCAAATACATCCAAATATCCAGTTGCTGACTTTACAAACTGAGTGTTTCCAAACTGCTCTATGAAAAGAAAGGTTAAACACTGTGAGTTGAACACACACGTACCAAAGTAGTTTCTGAGAATGATTCTGTCTAGTTTGCATACGAAGATATTTCCTTTTCTACCATTGGCCTCAAAGCTCTGAAATCTCCACTTGCAAATTCCACAAAAAGAGAGTTTCAAATCTGCTGTTTCTAAAGGAAAGTTCAACTCTGAGAGTTGAATACACACCAGAAAAAGCAGTTACTGAGAAGTCTTCTGTCTAGCATTATATGAAGAAATCCCATTTCCAACGAAGACTTCAAAGAGGTCCAAATATCCACTTGCAGATTCTGCAAAAAGAGTGTTTCGAAACAACTGTATGAAAAGAAAGGTTAAACACTGTGAGTTGAACGCACACATTGCAAAGCAGTTTCTGAGAATGATTCCGTCTAATTATTATACGAAGGTATTTCCTTTTCTATCATTGGCCTCAAAGCGCTTGATACCTCCACCTGAAAATTCCACAAAAACAGTGTTTCCAATCTACTCTGTCTAAAGGAACGTTCAACTCTGTGAGTTGAATACACACACACAGAAAGAATTCACTGAGAATTCTTCTGTCTGGCATTACATGAAGAAATCCCGTTTTCAACGAAGGCCTCAAAGAGGTCCAAATATCCACTTGCAGATTCTGCAAAAAGAGTGTTTCAAAACCGCTCCATGAAAAGGAATGTTGAACTCTGTGAGTTGAATGCAAACATCACAACTCAGTTTCTGAGAATGCTTCTGACTAGATTTTATGGTAAGATATTTCCTTTTATACCGTAGGCTTCAATGCCCTCTAAATACACCCTTGCAAATTCTACAAAGAGACTGTTTCATAACTGCTCTATAGGAAGAAAGGTTCAACTCTGTGAGTTGAATGCAGAGATCACAACGTGGTTTCTGCGAATGATTCTTTGTAGTTTTTACATGAAGATATTTCGTTGTCAACCGTAGGCTTCAAAGCACTCAAAGTATTCACTTGGAACTTTTACAAAAAGAGTGTTAGAAAACTGCTCTTTCCAAAGTAAGGTTCAACTCTGTGAGTTGAATGCACACATAACAATCAAGAAGTTTCTGAGAATTCTTCTGTCCTGGTTTATATGAAAAAATCCCTTTTCCAACGAAGGCCTCAAAGACGTTTAAATATCCACTTGCAGACTTCACAAACAGAGTGTTTCCAAACTGCTCTATGAAAAGAAAGGTTAAACTCTGTGAGTTGAACGCACACATCACAAAGTAGCTTCTGAGAATGATACTGTCTAGTTTTTATACGAAGATATTTCCTTTCTACCATTGGTGTCAAAGCGCTAGAATTCTCCACTTGCAAATTCCACAAAAAGAGTGTTTCCAATCTGCTCTGTCTAAAGGAAGGTTCAACTCTGTGAGTTGAATACACACACACAAAGAAGCTACTGAGAATTCTTTTGTCAAGAATTATAAGAAGAAATCCCGTTTCCAACGAAGGCCTCAAAGAGTTCCAAATATCCACTTGCACACTGCACAAACTAAGTCTTTCCAAACTGCTCTATGCAAAGAAATGTTCAACTCTGTGAGTTTAATACACACATCACAAAGCAGTTTCTGAGAATGATACTGTCTAGTTTTTGTACGAAGATATTTCCTTTTGTACCATTGGCCTCATACTGCTAGAATTTTCCACTTGCAAATTCCACAAAAAGAGTGTTTCCAATCCGCTCTGTCTAAAGGAAGGTTCAACTCTCTGATTTGAATACATACATCCCAAAAGAATTTACTGAGAATTCTTCTGTCTAGCATTATGTGAAGAAATCCCGTTTCCAACGAAAGCCTCAAAGAGGTCCAAATATCCAGTTGCAGAATTTACAAACTGACTGTTTCCAAACTCATCTATGAAAAGAAAGGTTAAACTCTGTGAGTTGAATGCACATATCACAAAGTAGTTCCTGAGAATGATTCTGTCTAGTTTTTATACGAAGATATTTCCTTTTCCACCAATGGCCTCAAAGTGCTTGAAATCTCCCCTTGCAAATTCCACAGACAAGTGTTTCAAATCTGCACTGTCTAAAGGAAGGTTCAACACTGTGAGTTGAATACACACACACAGAAACAAATTCACTGAGAATTCTATTGTCTATCATTACACGAAGAAATCCCGTTTACTACGAAGGCCTCAAAGAGGTCCAAATATCCAGCTGCAGACATTACAAACTGAGTGTTTCCAAAGTGCTCTATGAAAAGAAGTGTTAAACACTGTGAGTTCAATGCACACATCCCAAAGCAGTTTCTGAGAATGATTACGTCTATTTTTTCTACGAAGATATTTCCTTTTCTACCGTTGGCCTCAAAGCGCTTGAAATCTCCACTTGCAAATTCCACAAAAAGAGAGTTTCAAATCTGCTCTGTCTAAAGGAAGGTTCAACTCTGTGAGTTGAATACACACCACAAAAAGAAGTTACTGAGAATTCTTCTGTCTAGCATTATATGAAAAATCCCGTTTCCAACGAAGGCCACAAAGAGGTCCAAATATCCACTTGCAGATTCTGCAAAAAGAGTGTTTCCAAACTGCTCTATGAAAAGAAACGTTAAACTCTGTGAGTTGAACGCAAACATCACAAAGTAGTTTCTGAGAATGACTCCGTCTAGTTTTTATACCGAAGATATTTCCTTTTCTACCATTCACTTCAAAGCGCTTGAAGTCTCCCCCTGAAAATTCCACAAAAAGTGTTTCCAATCTGCTCCGCCTAAAGGAAGCTTCAACTCTGTGAGTTGAATACCCACAACCCAAAGAAGTTACTGAGAATTCTTCTGTCTAGCACTATATGAAGAAATCCCGTTTCCAACGAAGGCCTCAAATACATCCAAATATCCAGTTGCTGACTTTACAAACTGGGTGTTTCCAAACTGCTCTATGAAAAGAAAGGTTAAACACTGTGAGTTGAACACACACGTACCAAAGTAGTTTCTGAGAATGATTCTGTCTAGTTTGCATACGAAGATATTTCCTTTTCTACCATTGGCCTCAAAGCTTTGAAATCTCCACTTGCAAATTCCACAAAAAGAGAGTTTCAACTCTGCTGTTTCTAAAGGAAAGTTCAACTCTGAGAGTTGAATACACACCAGAAAAAGCAGTTACTGAGAAGTCTTCTGTCTAGCATTATATGAAGAAATCCCATTTCCAACGAAGACTTCAAAGAGGTCCAAATATCCACTTGCAGATTCTGCAAAAAGAGTGTTTCGAAACAAAACTGTATGAAAAGAAAGGTTAAACACTGTGAGTTGAACGCACACATTGCAAAGCAGTTTCTGAGAATGATTCCGTCTAATTATTATACGAAGGTATTTCCTTTTCTATCATTGGCCTCAAAGCGCTTGATACCTCCACCTGAAAATTCCACAAAAAGAGTGTTTCCAATCTACTCTGTCTAAAGGAACGTTCAACTCCGTGAGTTGAATACACACACACAGAAAGAATTCACTGAGAATTCTTCTGTCTGGCATTACATGAAGAAATCCCGTTTCCAACGAAGGCCTCAAAGAGGTCCAAATATCCACTTGCAGATTCTGCAAAAAGAGTGTTTCAAAACCGCTCCATTAAAAGGAATGTTGAACTCTGTGAGTTGAATGCAAACATCACAACTCAGTTTCTGAGAATGCTTCTGACTAGATTTTATGGTAAGATATTTCCTTTTCTACCGTAGGCTTCAATGCCCTGTAAATACACCCTTGCAAATTCTACAAAGAGACTGTTTCATAACTGCTCTATAGGAGGAAAGGTTCAACTCTGTGAGTTGAATGCAGAGATCACAACGTGGTTTCTGCGAATGATTCTTTGTAGTTTTTACATGAAGATATTTCGTTGTCTACCGTAGGCTTCAAAGCACTCAAAGTATTCACTTGGAACTTTTACAAAAAGAGTGTTAGAAAACTGCTCTTTCCAAAGTAAGGTTCAACTCTGTGAGTTGAATGCACACATAACAAACAAGAAGTTTCTGAGAATTCTTCTGTCCTGGTTTATATGAAGAAATCCCGTTTCCAACGAAGGCCTCAAAGACGTTTAAATATCCACTTGCAGACTTCACAAACAGAGTGTTTCCAAACTGCTCTATGAAAAGAAAGGGTAAACACTGTGAGTTGAACGCACACATCACAAAGTAGTTTCTGAGAATGATACTGTCTAGTTTTTATACGAAGATATTTCCTTTTGTACCATTGGCCTCATACTGCTAGAATTTTCCACTTGCAAATTCCACAAAAAGAGTGTTTCCAATCTGCTCTGTCTAAAGGAAGGTTCAACTCTGTGAGTTGAGTACACACACACAAAGAAGCTACTGAGAATTCTTTTGTCAAGAATTATAAGAAGAAATCCCGTTTCCAACCAAGGCCTCAAAGAGTTCCAAATATCCACTTGCACACTGCACAAACTAAGTCTTTCCATACTGCTCTATGCAAAGAAATGTTCAACTCTGTCAGTTTAATACACACATCACAAAGCAGTTTCTGAGAATGATACTGTCTAGTTTTTATACGAAGATATTTCCTTTTGTACCATTGGCCTCATACTGCTAGAATTTTCCACTTGCAAATTCCACAAAAAGAGTGTTTCCAATCCGCTCTGTCTAAAGGAAGGTTCAACTCTCTGATTTGAATACATACATCCCAAAAGAAGTTACTGAGAATTCTTCTGTCTAGCATTATGTGAAGAAATCCCGTTTCCAACGAAAGCCTCAAAGAGGCCCAAATATCCAGTTGCAGCATTTACAAACTGACTGTTTCCAAACTCATCTATGAAAAGAAAGGTTAAACTCTGTGAGTTGAATGCACATATCACAAAGTAGTTCCTGAGAATGATTCTGTCTAGTTTTTATACGAAGATATTTCCTTTTCCACCAATGGCCTCAAAGTGCTTGAAATCTCCCCTTGCAAATTCCACAGACAAGTGTCTCAAATCTGCACTGTCTAAAGGAAGGTTCAACCCTGTGAGTTGAATACACACACACAGAAAAAAATTCACTGAGAATTCTATTGTCTATCATTACACGAAGAAATCCCGTTTACTACGAAGGCCTCAAAGAGGTCCAAATATCCAGCTGCAGACATTACAAACTGAGTGTTTCCAAAGTGCTCTATGAAAAGAAGTGTTAAACACTGTGAGTTCAATGCACACATCCCAAAGCAGTTTCTGAGAATGATTCCGTCTATTTTTTCTACGAAGATATTTCCTTTCCTACCATTGGCCTCAAAGCGCTTGAAATCTCCACTTGCAAATTCCACAAAAAGAGAGTTTCAAATCTGCTCTGTCTAAAGGAAGGTTCAACTCTGTGAGTTGAATACACACCACAAAAAGAAGTTACTGAGAATTCTTCTGTCTAGCATTATATGAAAAATCCCGTTTCCAACGAAGGCCACAAAGAGGTCCAAATATCCACTTGCAGATTCTGCAAAGAGTGTTTCCAAACTGCTCTATGAAAAGAAACGTTAAACTCTGTGAGTTGAACGCAAACATCGCAAAGTAGTTTCTGAGAATGACTCCGTCTAGTTTTTATACGAAGATATTTCCTTTTCTACCATTCACTTCAAAGCGCTTGAAGTCTCCCCCTGAAAATTCCACAAAAAGTGTTTCCAATCTGCTCCGCCTAAAGGAAGCTTCAACTCTGTGAGTTGAATACCCACAACCCAAAGAAGTTACTGAGAATTCTTCTGTCTAGCATTATATGAAGAAATCCCGTTTCCAACGAAGGCCTCAAATACATCCAAATATCCAGTTGCTGACTTTACAAACTGAGTGTTTCCAAACTGCTCTATGAAAAGAAAGGTTAAACACTGTGAGTTGAACACACACGTACCAAAGTAGTTTCTGAGAATGATTCTGTCTAGTTTGCATACGAAGATATTTCCTTTTCTACCATTGGCCTCAAAGCTTTGAAATCTCCACTTGCAAATTCCACAAAAAGAGAGTTTCAACTCTGCTGTTTCTAAAGGAAAGTTCAACTCTGAGAGTTGAATACACACCAGAAAAAGCAGTTACTGGAGAAGTCT